>NC_000008.11:23193435-23496466 GCF_000001405.40 Homo sapiens | reverse complement strand
AGTACCTTGCTCTCAGGGGCATTGGCTACTTAAGAGAGGCATAAACTCTGAAGCCAGACTGATGTAAACAGAATCTGAGCTCCACCCCTTCCTAGGTCTGTGACCTTGAGTAAGATGCTTCACCTCTCCATGCTTCAGTGTCCTCATCTAAAAGCTAAATTAATTAATAGTGCTTCCTCATTGGGTTGCCATAGGATTAAAATACGTTGAAATCATGTGAAGCAGTGGAACATCCAGACAATGGAATATTATCTGGTGCCAAAACTAAATGAGCTATCGAGCCACGAAAAGGCATGAAAGAAACTGAAATGCATATAATTAGGTGAAAGAAGCCAATCTGCAAAGGCTACATACTGTATGATCCCAACTATATGACATTCCAGAAAAGGCAAAACTCTGAAGACAAACAAAAAGATCAGTGGTTGTCAGGGGTTAGGACGGAGGGAGGGATGAAGAGGTGAATCTGGGAGGATTTTTAGGGCACTGAAACTACTCTGTGTGATACGATCAGGGTGGGTACCTGTCGTTATGTGTTTGTCCAATCCCATTGAACATGTACGCCTAGGGTGAACTCTAATGTAAACTATGGGTGATGATGTGTTGATAAAGGTTCATTGATTGTAACAAATGCACCACTCTGGAGGGGACTGTTGAAAGTTTGGGAGACTATGCCTGTGCAGGAGTCAGGAGTGAATAGAAACCTTATGCTTTCTGCTCAATTTTGCTGTGAACCTAAAACTGCTCTTAAAAAATAAAGTATATTTAAAATATAATTACATGAGGCACCTGGAACAGTACCTGGCACATAGGAAGTACCATGTAAGTGGTGTTTAAAATTGTTATTCTTTGCTTAATATATACACCATTTCTACCAATACCACTAAGTCTCTGAATTAAGTAACAAACAATGATAACCCCTCACATGTGCATAGTATAGTGGATATTTCTCAAAGCACATTTGTGCACAGTGTCAGGGGCAGTCTGGACATAATCTATGCATGGGACAGCCCCAGGGGATTCAGAAGCAGGACAGGAGGAATCAAAAGATTTAGCTACAATGAGCCCTGTGTATGATGGGGAAAATTGAGAGCCAAAACAAAGGTCTAACGATAGGACATTGGTTGAATAAGATATGGCACATCTGTATGTTGCTGTCATCATAATTAAGGCAAGAGAACGCTTAATGATATAAAAATTACTTTGGTAGGCCGAGGCGGGTGGCTCGCCTGACGTCAGGAGTTCGAGACCAGCCTGGCCAACATGGTGAAACCCTGTCTCTACTAAAAATACAAAAATTAGCCGGGTGTGGTGGCACACACCTGTAATCCCAGCTGCTCGGGGGGCTGAGGCAGGAGAATTGCTTGAATCCGGGAGACGGAGGTGGCAGTGAGCTGAGACTGTGCCAATGCACTCCAGCCTTGGCAACAGAGTGAGACCCCATCTCAAAAAAAAAATTGTTCTTACTGAGTTATGTGAAAAAGGAAAGTTACAAAAAAGTAAGTAAAGTATGAATCTACTGAGCTTTTTTTTCCTTTCGGTATATTATGCTTGTTAAAGAGACCAGAAAGATATTTATCAGAATAATATTCATATTTATTATTTCTCAATGGAGCAATAAGGAGTCATTTTTCCTTTCTTTTTTTGTGTCTGAAATTTCTATGCAATAACACATAATAAACATGGATTATTACTTTTAAAACAAGGGAAGCTTATTGTTTAAAAATGGAACACATAATTGTATATGCAATGTGATTCAGTTACATAAAAGATACATAAAATAGGAAAATGTTCATGGGAGAAATGTGAGTGACGTTTTTCTTTATATTTTTCAGGTTTTTACAAATGTGCTGCTCTGAGAGCCGTAAGTTGTTTTTATGAAGGTGGTTCAGATAGGGAAACTGAGGCATGGCAGGTTGGCAGGAAGGCTTTCTGGCTCCAAACACACATCTCTGCCTGCCCTGCCCTGCAAGAACCTGAGCAGATGCGGTCGATCATCCCCAGAGATGCCCTGCCTCCAGGTTCATTGCTGACTGTGGTTTAAGGCTCAAGGCGGTGACCAGCACGTAACAACACAATCTGCCTCTGCAGACTGCCAGGCAGCTGCATCTCCCAGCTCCAGAGGCCAGCTGTTAGGGAGGAGCCCCAGAGGCAGACGTGTTCTTAAGCGATAGCAGCCCACCCAGGCCTAATCTCTTGGGCCTCCCTGATCTACTTCCCTGAAAAGGGTGTCTGGAACAAAATAAAACAGAAACAAAAACAGAGGTGAGTGGGAAAGCAAAGGGAAATGAGAATGGAGAAAAGTATTTTCTAGATAAAGCAGTTGGATTTGATGGGTGAGCCAGGAGACCAGCAGCAGGGAGGGTGGGTGGTCCAATGGGCAGAGTTATGGCTAGGAAGTGAAGAGTCAAGAGCCCCTGTTTCACCCACAGTCCATGACTGTAGGATCCAAGGCATGACCCCTTCCCACAGCAGTGCCCCTTTAAGAGAGGGAAATGTGATCAAAAGGGTAAGAAGGGTCCCTTGCTCCTGGAGGGGAACTGCTGGCCCGTCTGCCTGATAGCCACTGGAGGCAGGCCTTGGTTAGGCCTTCCCACTGACACCCAGTGGGACGTGATGGCAGAGCAGTTGGTGCTTTTGTCAACATGCTGCTTCCAGATCTTCAGGTAAGGAAATAGCCCCCGTTTTCAGTGCCCAGAGCAAGGCTTCAGGCCAGATCAGCAGCCCCCATCCTGTCTCTGTGTATGGGAACAGAGCCAGGCTTGGACTTGGGTGCAGTTGGCTGTGAGTAGCTCGATGGCCCATGACTGGCCCTTCTACAGACCCACACAGCACAGGACAGTCACAGAGCTGTGTCCACTGACCTCGGAGCGAAATGGACTTTGGGGATCTTTGTTTTTCCTAGGTGGAATAGAACAAAAAATGTATCAGTGGTTTATTGCCATGGAAATTTTACATACAACCCTGGCAGCTCTAAACATTTCCCAAGCCAGTCTGAAGGTAGTTTCTTACCCTTTGGACTTGGGAAGTCTCTAGCAGTGATTTCAAGGTGAGAATATGCAATGAGAGCAACACTGAAAATTTGAAGAGTAGAAGAGAATAATTCGTCCCTATTCCCTATCTTCCTGACTTTTTTTGTAGGTTACTATTAAAATCCCACCAAACCCTGCCACTGGCGTCCGTCGGGCTTTGTGGATTGATTCAGATTTAAGGTGCGCCCCTCTAGGCCTTAGCACTGGAGGTGGAAAGAGCAGAAGAGTAAAACTTGGTCTTGGGGTCCCCAAATTCAGAGGGAGTGACCGCAACAGGTAAGGTGACAGATTCTAAACCAAATTATGTGATACAGATCATGAATGGTTTGCTTATTCCAAATTAGCACCAACCCTAAACAAAACAGATAAACTGAATCCTAAAATGTACCCAGTATGTTCACACTGGCCTAGGCTGATAATAAATGTTCTGCAGGAGTGGTCTTCCGTCTAAGAAAACAGGAACCATAGGGTGGCCACCCCATACCATGCCTGGGCATTCTGGGAGTACATTAATGTCAACCTATACACGATAGCACCCGGGCCTTTTAAAAAATGTATCTGGCAGTATTTACATATATCTTGCACAGTGGATAATAGAGAGGAGAGAAGATATTTACTGGGACCCAAGATTAACTTCAGTGGCATCGAAGCTGCTTCTAGCAGGGTACAACTGCAGGCTGCAGATTAACCCAAGGATCCACCCCTAATTTGCAGAGTGTATTCTCTTAATTGACTTAAGGTTTCTTTCTCACATTTTCTACTCTCCCATTACTGATGCCTGCAAATGTTCTTCCAATTCCAAGTCAGCGTTACTCAACTAAAACTCATAATTTATATTCTATGTTTTCTATTTACATTTGTATTCTGCATATGTTGTCATTCCAGATGTGTAGCAGCTGATACTTCTTTTAGTTTGTTTGTGTTTGTTTTTGGAGACGGGATCTCACTCTGTCACCTATGTTAGAGTGAGTGGCGCAATCATGGCTCACTGCAACCTCCACCTCCCGAGCTCAAGTGATCCTCCCACCTCAGCCTCCCAAGTAGCTGAGACTATACGTGCACGTCACCATACCTGACTAATTTTTTTAAAATTTGTTGTAGAGACAGAGTCTCACTCTGTTGCCCAGGCTGGTCTTGAACTCCGTGACTCAATTGATCCTCCTGCCTCATCCTCCCAAAGTTCTGGGATTATAGGTGTGAGCCACTGCGCCCGGCCAAGATACTTCTTTAAGTCCCACCATGATGCCTCAGCAAAGCTCGGCGGTCCTGTCATCAGCAAAAGAAGGGTAAACACCATTCTCAGGATCTACTGATTGTACTCTAACATTTAACCAACTATTAAATGAAGTCTGGTGAAAATTTTCATAGGCATATTGGATCAATACCTAGTGATAGCCATGATTTGTACCTTAGCCTGTGTCAATTAGATTTTTGGAATACATTGTTCATACCCATGTTCATGGGCACAAAGTTTACAATCAAAACAGTCATTATTATAAATAGTAATTTGTGTAGTCAGTGGTAATTTCAACAAAATAATATGTATAGTAAACATCGTTTTCAAGAACAAAAATTACCCAAAGAGCACAAATACATTCAAGAAATATTTTGAGGCTGAAACCCACATGCTAACTCTTTTTGGGAGAATAATGAGAAAAACTTTCTTTCCATCTACACACCAGGTCCCATAGCTAATAGTTGATAAGTTTGCCTTGTTACAAAACTTAGAATGATAAGTGATATATATATATAATGCATATGAAGTCGATAAATTATATTATGTGCCCAAAAGATATATATATTTCTATGTATACATCTCTACTCAAGACAGAAATATATGACTGAATAATTCTTCAACAGAATGGAATTGAACACAAAGGTGATACCAATTAATTTATGAATTTTTTCCACTTTGCTAAGAATATTAGTGTTTGTTGCATGTATTAAAGTATATTTCCTTCGCTGATACATTGAATATTAGTAGACGTTTGGTATAGAGATTTTAAATTTCTTACTTTCAAATACTGTACATGAACCAAACTTTCATATTTCCAATAAAAGGTAGGCTTGCAGGCCGGACAAGGTGGCTCACACCTGTAATCCCAGAACTTTGGGAGGCCGAGGTGGGAGGATCACCTGAGGTCACGAGTTCAAGACCAGCCTGGCCAACATGGTGAAACCCCATCTCTACTAAAAATACAAAAAATTAGCCGGGCGTTGGCACTCGCCTGTAGGCCCAGCCACTCGGAAGGTTGAGGCAGGAGAATTGCTTGAACCCAGGAGGCAGAGGTTGCAGGGAGCCAAGATCACACCACTGCACTCCAGCCTGGGTGGCAGAGGGAGACTCTGTCTTAACAACAACAACAAAAAAATTAGGCTTGCAAAGCCTGACCTAGTATAGCTTTGGCTTTAATGAGTAACAAGATACATTTTAATTCAAATACCCAAGCGCCAGCCTAAGAACAATCATGGCTTCTGCTTATAGTGAATTACTGGACGTTATTTACATACAAAAGGATACATTTAAGCGCTTTAAATAGTTTAATACCCTTGGCAGGTAACTAGTACTTATATTGGTTTCTTATGGCTACCCTAACAAATTAGCACAAATTGGGGGCTTAAAATAACAAACTGATTCTCTTACTGGAGTTCTGGAGGCAGGAAGTCTGAAATCAGTTTCACTGAGCAGAAATCAACCACCCAGATGATTGCTTCCTGGGACTCCAGGGGAGAGTGTTTCCTTTTTCTCCTAGTTCCCGGAGCCACCTGGACTCCAGCCATGACTGCCATCACTGCAACCTCTTGCTTTCATTCTCACACCTCTTACTTCCTCCTTCACCTTCTTGCCTCCCTCTTAAAAAGACCCTTGTGATTACCTTTAGAATCTACCCAAATAATCCAGGATAGTCCCCCATCTCAAGATTTTTAATTTAGTCACCCTTGCAAGTCCTTATTGCCATATAAAGTAACAGACACAGGTTCCAGGGATTAGCATGAGACCGTCTTTGGAGGGAGGCATTATTCAGCCTGCCCCAGTGCTCATCTGATCTTATTTGCAGTGAGCACTGACAAAGGCCTTCTTTTAGAGATAGCACAAAGATAAACTTCAGAATGGGGAGCCCTGATCGTGAAAAAGGTGCTGGATGAACGGTGAGGAAGCCGGAGTTCGAGTCCTGCTCTTCCACGGCTGCAGGGTGTAGTGGTTAAGAATACATGGACCCGTTTTGAAATCCCAGATCTGACTTATTAACTGAGTGACCTTGGGCAAGTTGCTTTACTCATCTGCGGAGTAATGAAACCTCCCGGGCGGGGCTGTCCCTGAGATTATAAATGGATTACTCTATGCAAAATACCTGGCACAGTAAGTGTTTTAAGAAATGACTGCCCTTCCCACCCCCAATCTCAGGTATGAAGTCATGCTTGTCAGCTTTTTTTTAACTTTATAAAAGCTGACAGCATCTCACACATATAAATTTATGCTGTTATAAGAGACAAGGTGCATGTAGCCCACCCTCCTATTGTTTCCGTCCTAAGCTGGGAGGAGAACAGGGTTTTGGGTATAGAAAGCCCTGGGTCTACCAGATCTTTAGCAGGAGTGGAAAGTGAAAGTTCATATAGAGAATGACTTTGGGTATAAAGCGATGAAAGAGGGAAAAGAAGATGAAAGAAAAGAGATAATATGGGATCATGGGACTTAGGAAGACAGGAAGGGTCATTTGAGTTCACCTCTGTCACCTGCGTATCATACTGTGTCCGGAATTGGTTCCTGCCAGTGGGTTCGTGGTCTCACTGACTTCAAGAATGGAGCCGTGGACCTTCACGGTGAGTGTTACAGCTCTTAATGATGTCACAGACCCAAAGAGTGAGCAGTAGCAAGGTTTATTGTGAAGAGTGAAAGAATAAAGCTTCCACAGCGTGGAAGGGGACACGAGTGGGTTGCCACTGCTGGCTGGGGGGGTGGCCAACTTTTATTCTCTTATTTGTCCCCTCCCATGGTCCGTTTCTGTCCTATCAGAATGCCCTTTTCTCAATC
Source organism: Homo sapiens (assembly GCF_000001405.40). NCBI lineage: Eukaryota > Metazoa > Chordata > Mammalia > Primates > Hominidae > Homo > Homo sapiens. The sequence continues at coordinate 23,489,404 of NC_000008.11, read as the reverse complement.
CTCCCCGAGAGTGGCTACTTTTAGAATCCTTCTGATTGGTACATTTTACAATCCTTTTGCTAGCTACAGAGCACTGATTGGTGCGTTTTACAGAGTGCTGATTGGTGCATTTTACAATCCTCTTGCTGGCTACAGAGCACTGATTGGTGCATTTTACAATCCTCTTGTAAGGCAGAAAAGTTCTCCAAGTCCCCACTCGACCCAGGAAATCCAGCTGGCTTCACTTCTCAATACCGTACTATATGGATGTCTGTTCCTCAAGTGATAGAGAATGTCTTCACCCATAGAATTTAGGTAAAGATTTTTATCATGAACAGACCTTTTTTGGTGGAAAAAAAAATCATGAATTTCAATGTCCCTATCTGTGAAATGGACATTATGAAGTATATCCCATCTTGCTCCAATTACATACAAGTTGAGGTAATGTTTGTGAAGTGTTGTGGAAGTGGTTTTTATGCTGTGCACATTTAAGCTGGCACCATAACCAATTATTGTTATGAAACATGGCAAGGAGGGGCAGTGACATTCATCCAACTTCAAAACACACTCATCCTGGATCAGCAGGCCTGTGTCAGCCTGGAAGAAACAGGCAATACAGCTAAGAACAGGACTTTGCAACAATAGAATGCAAAAAACCACTCTAGATCTCCCCTCTGTGTAGCCAATACAAATGCCTCCTTCTTTAGGACACACTGCGAGCTGTGTGTGCATCTGTATCCAGCTGCCTTGAAGGAAAAACAGCCTGACAGATGAAGCCCATCCTCCAACCCCCAACCTCTCAGTGTCTCGTTTCAGTCACTCTTCCAAACCTGAACACTGTTTCCTGTTTCTAAGGAAAATGACTTAGAAATGGCTCATGGGAGCCTGGTCGCTCCCAGGGTACCCCGCAGCACCCTGGCAGTGAAAGGATCAGAATCAACCAATTTGCTTCTCCTTGAGTGCCCAAGAACCAAGGGAAATCCACACCAGGATGACGCCCTCAGGGCTTTGTCAGGCACAAAAGCATTGAGAAGTCAGTGAGTCTCTTCCGCAACTCGCAGGGCTCCCAGGGCTTGCTCTTGGGTGTGGAGTCCTATTCTTAGCAACACAACGATTTTCTCCTATGGGCCAAATCTCGGTTTGGTTTTCTTTTCTGGCTTTGCTCCAGTTACTTTCTGGGACAGTCTTAATCCCGGGGCCTCAGTTTCTCCACTTTCCCGTTAAGAGGGTTATGCTCCCTTGATCACAGGCAAGTATGATTTGTATACGTACAATCTTCTAGAACAACCCCCTCATTTTGCAGACAGGGAAACTGAGATCCGGAGAAGGGCAGTGGCTTGGCATCGCTCACACAGGGGATGTGTGCGAAGCTAAGTCTCTGACTCCAGCTCTGTAGCCATCAAATGCAAATCAAATCATCTCAGCACTGTCTGGCTTCTTCCCTCACTGTTCTATGGGTGTTTTTCTTCTCTCCTCAGCCAGCTCCTCAGCTCCTCTTGGGCAGAGGCCATGGCTTGGCCTTCTTTCATGTCCCCTCAAGTGCCCAGGCCCATGGTGGGATTCCTTGGTCACTTGCTGATTGGGAGGGCTGACTGATGGAATGAAGAACTGGTGGATTTGAGTTGGGAAGATGCCAGAGTGATCCAGACCTTGAAGCAGGCCCACATGGGCAGGTGTGGGTGGGGGCTCTGGCCAGCCACTTACCAGCTGGGTGGCCTTGGACAAGTTTCTCAATTTCTCCAGGGCTCAATTTCCCCAGCTATAAAATGGGCATGACATACCCAATCCACGTGGTTTGACAATGTAATAAGATACTGCATGCCTGACGTGCCTCATCAGTATTAAATTATTTTTGTTGTAGTTATTTTTGTAATGGGGGGGTAGGCTTACTGGGCACCAAGATGGGGCAGGAAAAGAAACAATGAAAACATAATGGAAAGACATGGTAAAGCACAGGGACACCACGCTGGCCACCAACCCTGAGACTGGAGAGCACCGTGGGACTGCTATAGGTCCTGGTGGTTCTGAAGGAGAAGGTGAGGCAGACAGAGGAGGAAGAAAGCAATGTGGAAAGCCTTAAGCTCCTTAACCTGTAATTAGTCTGTGAACTCCACCCTGGCACCAAGGTGAAATGGGCGGGGCCACTATTCCCTTTTCCTCCCACACCCTCCTGCCACGCTGATTATCCCTTCAGGCAACTACAAGGCAATAGTGTTTGCCTTGACCTGGCTTTGCTGCATACCTCTAGATGTGACTTCCAGACCACAGACCCCTCCCAGCAATTGATGCTACCCTGGAAGCTGGCTCCTCCAGGATGCCCAGATCATAACTCGCTACCAGCTCACCAAGATTCAGCTGGGCCAAGGAGATAAGAAGGCCCATGCGAGCCACTGGTGTGGGGCAGGTCGCTCTGCTGGGTGGACTGGGTGGGCCACCAAGCTGAAGAGATGTTGACAAGCTATGGGGGCAGAATTCTCCTCTCACCCCTGGAAAAAAAATAATGGCAAAGGGATAAAATGGTTGCAAGGTACTTTTAAGAAATCTCCTCCCAGGGGTCAACAACCAAGGTGCTAATGCCTAGGTGAGCTCAGAAAACAGCTTCTGGCCGCGTGGCCCTGGCTGACAGGTGAGGTTTGGCAGGCGTTTCTTCCAACTCCTGAAGCAGGCCCCCTTCCAGGTGTTAATCCTGTGCCTTCTACCTGCACTCAGTGAAGCTCTGCTTATCCCTGATAATAAGCAGTGAGATAATGATCACAATGGAGGCATCTGACATTTTAATGGAGGCAGAATAAGAAGGAAACCAGTAGGAATGAGGAAATTGGCTTTGGGATCCACAAGGCTTGGTTTTGGGTTCCAGGGACCACTTTTCCCTGGACTTCGCACATGAGACTCTGCAGTAAGGGGGCAGATAATACAATTCATTTCAATAATTTAACACCAAAATGCTCTTCTCTAAGAAATGTGCAGGGCGGCTGGGCCCAGGGGCTCACGCCTGTAATCCCAGCACTTTGGGAGGCTGACGCAGGTGGATCACCTGAGGTCAGGAGTTCAAGACCATCCTGGCCAACATGGTAAAGCCCCGTCTCTATTAAAAAAAAAAAAATACAAAAATTAGCCAGGGGTAGTGGCGGATGCTTGTAATCCCAGCTACTCGGGAGGCTGAGGCAGGAGAATTGCTTGAACACAGGTGGTGAAGGTTGCAGTGAGCAGAGATCGCGCCAGTGCACTCCAGCCTGGGCAACAGAGCAAGACTCCGTCGAAAGAAAGCAAATAAAGAAAGAAAGGAAAGAAAGAAAGGAAAGGAAGGGAGGGAAGGGAGGGAAGGGAAGAAAGGGAAGGAAGGGAAAGAAGGGAGAAAGGGAGAAAGAGAGTCAGGGAGGGAGGGAAGGAGGGAGGAAGGAAGGAAGGTGGGTCCAGGGCATGTTCTAGGCCTTACTTCTTCCATTCTCAGACCTCTCCTGGGAGTTTCAGGGAATTCACTTTGGCCAGTTGACTTTGATTGAGTACATCCTATGTCCCTAGCAGTGCGCCTGGTGTTAGGGACACGACCCGGAATACAATCCATTCCCCACCCTTAAGAAGCTTTTAATCTAGTGGGAGAGAAAATAATCATACCTATTTTACAGATGAAGAAACTGAAACTTTAAGATTCTGATATCATTAAAATATTCATGTTTTTTCTTTCATTCATTTATTTAGAAAATTTTTATTGAGTCCACGTGATGTGCCAGGCACTCCTTGAGGTGCTGCAGGCTGACACAGGGAAAAGTCGGGCACCTTCTGCCCACATGAGACACCTATACAGACAACAACAAATATGTATTTTGTGCACAGAAGCTTTATGACTTTTGTCCAAGTCACTTCAATTTCATCCTTTAAATGTCATTCAGTGGATAATGGGAAGCTATAATTGGAGTGTGTATATGAAATACAGAGGTGTACACACACACACACACACACACACACACACACACACACACGCTACTGAAACTGCTGCCCCAGATCTCAGGGAGGTACAGGAAGAAGGGTACCTGGAGAATGATGGCTGGAGAATGATATAAGAAAGTCACGTCCAAGCCGGGCGCAGTGGCTCATGCTGGTAATCCCAGCACTTTGAGAGGCCGAGGCAGGCAGATCACTTGAGGTCAGGGGTTTGAGACCAGCCTGGCCAACATGGCGAAACCCCATCTCTACTAAAAATAAAAGATTAGGCCCAGCGCGGTGACTCACGCCTATAATCCTAGAACTTTGGGAGGCCGAGGCGGGCTAATCAGGAGGTTAAGAGATCGAGACCATCCTGGCCAACGGTGAAACCCCGTCTCTACTAAAAATACAAAACTTAGCTGGGTGTGGTGGTGCGCGCCTGTAGTCCTAGCTGCTCGGGAGGCTGAGGCAGGAGAATCACTTGAGCCCAGGAGACAGAGGTTGCAGTGAGCCAAGATGGCACCACTGCACTCCAGCCTGGCAACAGAGCAAGACTCCATTTCAAAAAAAAACAAAAACAGGCCAGGCGCAGTGGCTCACGCCTATAATCCCAACACTTTGGAAGGCCGAGGCTGGGGGATCATCTGAGGTCAGGAGTTCGAGACCAGCCTGACCAACATGGAGAAACCCCATCTCTACTAAAAATACAAAATTAGCTGGGCATGGTGGCGCATGCCTGTAATTCCAGCTACTCAGGAAGGCTGAGGCAGGAGAATTGCTTGAACCCGGGAGGTGGAGGTTGTGGTGAGCCAAGATCGCACCACTGTAATCTAGCCTGGGCAACAAGAGCAAATCTCAGTCTCAAAAAAACAAAAAACAAAAAACAAAAACAAGCAAACAAAAATTAGCCAGGCATGGTGGCGCATGCCAGTAATCCCAGCTACTCAGGAGGCTGAGGCAGGAGAATTGCTTGAACCCAGGAGGCAGAAGTTGCAATAAGCCGAGATCGCGATCGCACCACTGCATTCCAGCCTGGGGAAAAAAAAAAAAAAGTCATGTCCACCTTAAATAATGGGCTGGTTCCTGCAGGAGGAGAAGACAGCATTACAGGCTAGAGTTCAAGTGGAGGGTTAAGACATCAAGACAGGGTTAAGAGCAAGGACTTGGAGCTAGTCAGTTAGATCTGCCAGTAACTGTCAATGTGATCTGGAGGAAATCAATTTATCTCTAAATCTCAGCTTTCTCCTCCGTAAAATGAGGAGAACTGTGCATGTCTCATAAGGTGTGTACATACTGAACGTTGTGAAGATTCTCAGAAATGCTCTGTGTAACATGATTGGCCTGTCATAAGAACTCAGGAAGCTATTATCACCCATCACCATCATCATTACCAAAAAAACTGCTGACAGAAGCATTCACAGGAAGGGAATAGGAGAAGGTGGTAATGAACCTGACAGGGGACTTTTGTGGCTGGAGCAGGCTGGGGAAGAAAGTGCTGAGAGAAGGCCACTCCCTATCTTCCTGAAGATCTCCAGCAACCCTAGGAGAGACCCACATCCTGAGCTGAGCTTTCAAGGGCCCAGGCTGCATCTGGCTGGAGGGAGTTTGTTTTATGTGACAACTCGGAACGAGGGAGCCTCTACTCTGGGGGTAGGGCCTTGAGGCCCTTGAATAAGGACAGCAGTTTATCAGTCCTGTCTCCACCCAACCCCAGGAAGAGAGAAACTCAACTCATCAATCTCCCTTCCATAGAGTAGGTATTTTTTTATTTTAAAATAATTGCGGCGTCTCCGCTGCCGCTGCCGCTGTGAGCGCTGCACCGGCGCCCTCTGCCATTGCCGCTGCGGCCGCCACCCAGGGTCTCCAGGCTGAGGACTGCGTTGGCCACTGCCCAGCAGCGTCGCAGAGCGGGGAGCAGGAGCCATGGAGCCGGCGGGAGGGCGGGCGGATGGGCAGATTAGCCTAACAGGGCAGACCAGAGACAGCGTTCACTGTCTACCTCTGGGGAATCATTGTGCCACAGTCTTGGGCTGGACAAGAACGCAACCTCAGATGACATTAAAAAGTCCTATCGGAAACTTGCGTTGAAATATCACTTCGACAAGAACCCTGACAACCTGGAGGCCGCAGACAAGTTTAAGGAGATCAACAAGGCCCAAGCCATCCTGACGGACACCACATAAAGGAACATCTATGACAACTACGGCTCGCTGGGGCTCTACCTGGCCGAACAGTTTGGGGAAGAGAACGTGAACACCTACCTCGTGCTGTCCAGCCGGGGGGGCCAAGGCCCTGTTTGTCTTCTGCAGCCTCCTCACCTGCTGCTACTGCTGCTGCTGTCTGTGGTGCTGCTTCAACCGCTGCTGTGCTGCGGGAAGTGTAAGCTCAAGGCCCCTGAGGGCGAGGAGACAGAGTTCTACGTGTCCCCCAAGGCTGCAGTCTGACGAGAGGGAGGCCGCAGACACACCGATCATCATACAGCCGATGATGGGGCTAGGGGCCAAGTCCTCCTGGCGTCACTGGCATCGCTGTCATTCCTTGGTGTCTGTGCTAGGCACAGTTGGCTTGGGGTCTGTGGTTTCCTGGGCCTTGTGGCAGGGTTTCTCCCGTGGGGGAATTTGGTGTGGAAAGCATAGGAGGCCCCTTCCGAGGTTGACACCGTGTCCTCCGCACAGTGTTTCTATCCTGGGTCTCCTTGTCACGTGGACTCTGCGGCTCCAGTCCTTGGAGGTGTGTCCTTCGCCCACATTGGGGTCGTTTGTCTGTCTTCCTGCACTTTTCCCGGCTGTGAACTGGATTGATGGGGCCAGTCTCCTCCTCCCCTGTCCTGGGGTCATTCTCCACATTCCTTCCAGCCCACCTGTCCTTTCCGTAGCCCTCTTTGGACCTTTACAACCACAGATGGTAGCACCAGCCTGATGAGCCACAGTCAGGAGAGTAGATCGTCCATGTGTAAGCATCTAGCCGCTGGGGACGGGGGCTCTTCCAAGACCCTCCTCCCGTGTTTGCCAGAGCTCCCATCTGCTCCAGTTGCCTTTGCCCTGTCATCGATGATTCAGGCAGAGCCAGATTCGTTATGTCCCTGGAGGAAGGACTGACTGGACCAGAGTGACCCCTCTGGCTCAGAAGGGTTGGGTCCCTGGGAGGCCAGCAGCCAGACCACGGAATCCACGTGTGGACCATTGGAAGTCAGTCTTTTGTCTGTCCTAGACCTTGTTGGTGGCGCCCTGGGTAGAGGAGTGGGGGAAACGGGTCTGATGTCCCTGTGCTGGCCGAGGGCTCAGAGCTGCCCCCACTCTGTGGCTCACGGGATATGCTGGGCCTGCCTTTGGCCCCATGCTGCAGACTCAGTGGGCCTGGCTTCTGCAGAACATCCATGGTGGCCGCTGCAGAGTTCTCAGCAGAGATGAAGCTGAGGAAGAGGCTGTGTGTGGTGGCTCTGGCTGGGACCAACCAGATGAGTCTCCTGAGGCCCTTTTTCCCGGCCTGCCTGCTGACTCATGGCCCCAGCTCACTCATGGCCCTCAGCGGCCCACCCAAGGCTGTGCAGAGGGGTGGGTTGAGGTTGACCAGGAAGTTGCCAGAAGGGACATGGGTGAGGACAAATCTGGACGTGCTTAGGAGCGGGGTGCTGGTTGAGGGCCCCCAGCTGACCCCTATTGCGGATCCCCATGTGGGTGATGAGCTGGCTGCCAGCACCAAGTCCTGGGGCAGTTTTGTTTGTCTCACTTTTCTTTGGTTTTTCTCCCTAAAATGATCATGAAGACCTTTGATGAGAGGAGAGCTATGCACTGTGATATTAAATTAGAAATAATTTGTCAAAATCAGACCTCTCCTAAAAGAATAAGAAATTCATTGTTTGGCCCATCCTGAAATGCGAGGCAGCGAGACGTTGGGGTGCCTCCGTGCCGTTCAACACAGCAGCAAGTTCAGCCTCAAATGCTGGCTGTACTCAGCCTTTGCAATTTTTGCAGATGTAGCTTAGGAAGTGAGTTATTTTTCCCCAGACTGGCCAAGAGCCAGGTTCTAAGCTTGGACCTAAAGTAGAAAGCCACCTGTCAGGGGGCCTGGCTCAGCCCCACCAGGCCCTCTGTTGTGCCTGCACACAGCTCTGTGGCTAGAACACTCCAAGGCCCTTTGGTACCCATCAAAGTGGGCCCCTTGCCAGGTGGCTTTTCAGTTACAGAGTCCAATGGACCATTTTTTAGAACCATGCAGCTCCCCGCAAAGGGTGGGGTAGGGTGGGAAAGAGGAGCAGGTCTGGAGGTTTGTGGAACCCAGTTCCTACAGAATTTGTAAAACCTAAATAAATCATGGCCATGAAAATTCTCACAGTGGTGATTGTGATTATAAGACACCTAGGAAGCCCAGACACTCGGGGCCTGGAGTTCCTCCCACTGCCTGACCTGGAAGCAAAACTGTTTCCGGTGTTCTGCCCTTTAGGTTTTAAGGCCTTGTCTTAATTCAGGAAAAAGAACTTCCCAGGTTTTCTCTTTTTCTTGAGTGGACTGTTTCCCTATTAATTAAAAGAGGTGGTGAGTCCCCGGGGGCAGCTTACGCGCCTCCTTGTCCACATGCTAACAGATCAGAATGCCCCCAGCACCCCTGCCTGCTGGTGGCAGTGACAGGACCCTGACTCCTCACTCTTGGGCTGCGGATGATGCTTGTGAGCCACTGTGGCCATGGGCACAGAACGTCCCATTGGACGCTGCTGCTGGGTGCTGCCAGGGGCCTGCTGGGGTCGTCGTGTTTTTGAGGCATGTTCGGTTCACAAGGGGGTCCAGGCAGCACTGATTGCTTCTGACCTGCAGGAGGCATGGGAGCGGCCCCGCCGGCCCTTTCAAGGCAGCTGCTGGTATGTAGATTTGTCTCCGCTCAGTGATGAGGGATTTTTTGGTCTTCCTTTTGGCTTTATTTTTAAACTGCTTTAGATACTACTGCTCAGTGTTTGTGAACTTTCCTAGTTCTCTGATGTTCAGTTGATGCAGCCAGCACCCAGTGGGGACCTATTAGGAAAAGAAACTGGCATGTGCATGTGCCCAGCAGGAAGCTTCATCTCCACGTCAGCTGCTGCCATCCAGGGAAGGCCCTGGAGCCTCACGCAGTCGAGGCTGCTCTCAGGTGCTACGTGTTGCCAGTGGTGGCACCCGTTGTCCTGCCGAGCCCAGGGCGTTCTGTTCCGGGCGAGCCTTGTGCTGCAGGGGCATCAGCATGCAGGCTGCCCCGGGAGGGTCCAGGTGCTGCAGGCAGAGTTCAACGTGGGGCTTGTCCGCCCTCCCTTAGCTCTGGCTCAGTGCATCCTACTGTGGGGACATCTCATGAGGGGACACGAAGTCACTGATCTCACTCCCAGTATTTGGAGCTGGGAACCCAAATAGTGTGGCGCAGGACTGATCTGTGCCTGTTATTTTGGTTGTGAGTCATTGTCCTGTGGAATTGGCAAAAGCTACATTTTTACTGTCCTTACCAGCAACGGTTCGTGTTGTCACATGCTGTGAGTGCAGGCTGTGGTGTGTCCTTGTGTGTACATGTATGTATATGTATACATCATGCACAAAGCATGTCATGCTGCTGTCCAGCGGTGAAGCAACAAGTACAATAAAATGTGGCTCTAAAACGGCTTCTGATTTCTTGACAAGTCGGGCAGGGACCTTCAGGAGCTTTCCTAGCAGGTGCACAGAAGGAACCACTGAGCCCACAGTGTGCAGAGTGTGTGTGCCCAGGGCACTGCCATGGCCCCCACCGGCACTGGCCTCTGGTCTGCAGAGTCAGGTGCCCATCCTGGGGGCTCTGTCATGCTCACCTGACCCAGGTGTGTGTCCCGGTGTGAAATCTAGGAGGTGACTGGAAACCCTTTCCTCACTTGAAACATTAAAGACGATTTTCTAAGCAACAGATACAAACAGTGGCAAAGCTGCATCTGAAGAGGAGCCCAGGAAGGGGCCCTGTCCTGGCCCCAGAGGAGTCCACACAGCACCACCCTCCAGAAGTGGCTGGGCCCGGGGTCTTGCAGGCGGCACCTTTTGGTAGATTTTGTTTCCCTAGAAAATGGGGAAAATATTTCAAGCCAGGTGAGGGGAGGAAGTTAACACTGAAATATGTATTGTTTTTAAAAATTAAATGCAAATGCATGGAAGCTGGTTGTCCTTTCTCTGGGTTTGGCACTGGCGTCCTGGAATCCAACCGTGTTGGGGTGCAGGCGCTATCAGACTCTGGATGATCCTGGCTCGAGCACACACATCTAAGGGCCAGGCTGGGTTCGCATGGTGATCTCCGTCTTGTATGTCTGAATGTTGACCTGAAATAAAGATTACTGCTGTAAAATAAATGTTTTCACTGCAGAAAAATAATAATAATAATTGCACGTTTTTCCTGTTTACATAAATAACGACTATTTATTAGGTTGGTGCAAGCGTAGAAAAGCCAAGTCATATTTTATAATTACCTGAACTCTCAGCACCCAAAATAATTACCTTTATTGCAGATTATTTCAATGTATTATTTTTGTTTGTTTCAAATGCCATAGACATCATCAGAATATAATTTTATTGTTTCTCACTTAACATTCCTTCATAAACTTTCTTTGTTATTATAGACTTCATATACACAATTTTAAAAGTCCACCTTTGATTTTAATTAGATGGCGTATCCTTCTCTGAGCATTCCTGCATTATTAGGCTTTTTTCAATTTTACACTATTACACAGAATGTTACATTAACATCTGTGTATTATAGCATACTCTATAATTTGAATTACTGTCTGATAGTAAATCTCCAAAATGAAATTTATATAGTTAAAGGACATAAACATGTATAAGGCATAGAATTTAGAATATATAGATCAGGTATCTCAAAATGTTTTCCAGGTCTTTTTTCTTACAGTATATGTCACACATATTCATTGTAAAAATGTTAAAACACAGAGACAAGTACATGGAATGGAAAAAATGATTAACAACCCTGCCACCTCCAAATAATCACCTTGATATTTTCATATATTCCCTTCCTCCCACATTGTTCTGGGACCACTTTGTATATAAAAAAATTGTATTTTTCTCTTATTTTAACTTATTTCTCCACATCATTAAGAATCCTTCTAGAACATGATTTTTTAGCTACCACCAAATGGCCCATTACATGTGTACATCCAAATTTATCCTTTATTGGTGGTTATTCAGGTTTTCCCAGAATTTTTCAGTATTATAAATGACACTACAGCAGATGCTAAAAGGTCACCACATTTATGATGAAGTCCTTAGTGGAAGTCACAGAATTATAGATCTTGAGCACTCATACACCTTGAGAGATTCACTTACCCAGGACCCTGCAACTAATCTCAAAGTGTATCTATATACTCATTTTACAGCAGTAGTATCCTGCACTTAGGAGAATGGGAGTGGAGGCCAGGCACGGCGGCTCACACCTGTAATCCCAGCACTTTGCGAGGCCTAGGCAGGTGAATCACCAGAGGTCAGGAGTTCAAGACCAGCCTGGCCAACATGGCGAAACCCGGTCTCTACTAAAAATACAAAAATTAGCCAGGCGTGGTAGCACACGCCTGTGATCCCAGCTACTCAGGAAGCTAAGGTGGAGAATCGCTTGAACCTGGGAGGTGAAGGTTGCAGTGAGCCGAGATTGCGCCACCACACTCCAGCCTGGGTGACAGAGTTAGACTCTGTCTCAACAACAACAAAAAAAAGCAGAATGGGAGTGGCTTGTGCAAGTTCACAGATCTGGGACGTATCAAAGAAAACAACTGGAAAGCTAATGTGTTGGGTCCAAGGCTCTTTCCCAGGTGATTCAATGAGATCTTGTTATTCTGAAACATTTCTGGGTCTTGAGTATTGTGAATACTAGGAAAGCATGCCATGATGGTATGGTAAGGAGAACCTAGAGAAAGATTGATCCTTTATTCGGTATCAGCCTGAGGGAAGGGAAGGTCTCTCCTGGTGTGTCACAGGTCTCTAGCTTTGACTCTATTCTGTCCAGCACTGGGATGACAATGGATAAAGCAGGCAAGCCTTAGACTTGGAGTCTGGCTAAGTTCAACGACAAATCTATTGGAAGAATGAAGAGTAGTTCACATGGTGAAGGAAAAAGCTGAAGGAGCAGAGTTCTCGGTAGCAGGAACACATGGACAGCAGTCATAGATTGCAGCTGTTAGGATGAAAGAGTTCCATTGCTCTGCATCCTGATTCCAAGGAGAGAGTAACTGATTGGCCAGACTGAGTCAAAGAAGAATAGCCCCCAGACTGTGTTCAGTTGGGTCTGGAGACTTCCTCCAGCAACATCGTGCGTTATTACTTACAGAAGAAGGAAAGGGTCTACACAGACAAAATTGGATGACTACTATGCAGTTATTAATTAAAGTGTAATCAGTCAGTAGGGTTGTGTATTTTCTCCAGCAATACTCAGTCTATCTGGGGCAAGCTCAAAGAAAAGCAAATCACTGAGATTGAATGAGGTGAGTACTGTGGAATAAGGAGCTTATTCTAGCAATTAGAACTTACACAATTGTAGGAGGAGCCAGGGAAGTAAGAATCCAAATATGGAACTGAAGGATCAGAGAAAAGCCACCAAACAGGCCTGCACTGGAGAACGGCTTGGAACTGCAGGCTATGTGGAAGCTAGCCACATTCAGTTGCTGAAAGCGGACTGCAAAAGGGGCTGGTGTCAAAGTTCATAGAAGAGTGCTGCTGCTCTGCAAGTTCACATCAAAGTACCTGGAGATGGGCCTGAGGTCACTGTTGGTCAGTAGAGCAGCAGTTAGGAAGAGAGTCCCAGCGAGGGAAAGAGGGAGTGCACCCTGGAATCTCTGGTGCTCCTGTGTCTACCCCTAACCAATGACAGACACCAGCCTGGGTGTCTACCTCTAATCAATGGCAACCTTCAGAATAATGGCTGCTGTTTCACCTTGACTCCAAAATCTTGCACGTTTTCACTGTTGGCCAAATCTAACTCTGACCTTTTCAGAGGAAGGGATCTGAGAAACAGCTCCCAGTGTAAAGAAGTCACAATAGAAAAAATATGGTATGGTGAGTATAATGGAAGAAAAGACAGACAAAGGGATTTAGGGTGTTTTCAGGGATGTGAAATTATGACGAGGGATCACAGAATCTAGAATACAGGGACCCCATACATTGGCAGTCTCAAGGTCAAAGACACTGTGGGTGGTAGAGTCAGTGAGCTGTAAGCGTAAAAGATGATGGTCAGAGTGGCATGCTTGAACTTGAGATTTTGGATATTGTGACATGGAAACCTGTGATAATGAGGTGTAAGGCAGCTAAAGTGATGGAGACCAGGGCATTGGAAGAATCATCCATGTGGATGTTGAAATAGCTGGGTACAGTGGCTAGGATTGGGCAGACAGAGTCAATGAGCCTTGAGTTGAGGTCTTCAGTAAGCACTGGGGCAGTGGCCAGTAGACTGTTAGGCACAGTAGGGAGGACGGGTGGCGGCAGCTTGGCCCTCAGGTACATGAAGGTGAGGGGGAAAACTCCACCCTTCTGAGAGGGCTGCAGGGGAACCAGTGTCCTGAAGGAAGGAGCCAGATTTCAGGTAACAAAAGCAGGTAGCAGGAAAGAGAGACTACACGGCCGGGTACGTGGCTCACGCCTGTCATCCCAGCACTTTGAGAGGCTGAGGTGGGAGGATCACTTAGGGCCAAGAGTTCGAGACCAACTTAAGCAACATGGTGAAACCCTTGTCTCTACAAAATATTTAAAAATTAGCCAGGCATGGTGGGTGCACACTTGTAGTCTCAGCTCCTCAGGAGGCTAAAACAAAAGGATTGCTTGAGCCCAGGAGGTCGAGACTGCAGTGAGCTATGATCGCACTGCCCCCTGGGCAATAGGGTGAGACCTTGTCTCTTTAAAGAAAAAAAGAATACCAGAGAATGTGCTGATCACTCCGTAAGTGCTCCAAGAGAGGACAATACAATATACAACCCTCTACCCCAGAGGAGGCGTAGGAGAATGAGTCAGGTTAGGGATTATAAAAATGTGCAACCCTCCACCCCAGAGGAGGCGTGGGAGATCGAGTCAGATTAGGGATTATAAAAATGTGCAACCCTCCACCCCAGAGGAGGCGTGGGAGATCAAGTCAGGTTAGGGATTATATTAGGACTCTCCATTTTCAAATGTCAGAAATCCAACTCAAGCTAGATTTAGCAAAAGAGAAGAGAATGTGTTTGTCCATATAACTGGAAGTGTAGTGGGGCTGCTTGCTGGCTTCAGTGCTGATCAGCTCAGGGACCCAAGCCATGTCCTCCAGGGGCTCTCCTTTGGTCTCCCTGCCTTGCTGTCCTCTGTGTTGGCCACACTCCCAGGCAGCCTCTCCCCATGCAGCAGCAGATGGTGGCCCAACAACCCTGGGGAGTGTGGACCTCCCTTATGGCACCAGGGAAATTTCAGCCTGAGCCATCCATGGTGGTTAGTGAGGCTGCATCTCTAGTGGCCACTCTGGGTGGGCAGAACCCACCAGAATCACATGTTGGCAAGCGGGGAAGTGGCCCTTCAAAGGAAAACTGCTTTGCTGACATCAAGAGGAGGGCAGGCCAGGCATGGTGGCTCACACCTGTAATCCCAACACTTTGGGAGGCCAAGGCAGAGGATCGCTTGAGCCCAGGAGTTGAAGTCCAGCCTGGGCAACATAGGGAGACGCCGTCTCTACCAAAAAAATTAAATATTAGCCAGGCGTGGTGGCACGTGCCTATGGCAGGAGGCTCTCTTGAGCCCAGGAGATCGAGGCTGCAGTGACTGTGCCACTACACTCCAACCTGGGTGACAGAGCGAGACCCTGTTTCAAAAAAGCAGGAGTGCAGGGTACTGGATAGACATAATATCAGATACCCTCATCAGACAGACACAGAGGTCGGGAACGAGAGTGAAGGTGATACTGAGTCCCTCCAGAGGCTGGATTTGGACTTCTGGTGGTCACTGAGGAAGACAGGCATATGGGGCAAGATGAGGTTGGCACTGGCTTCTTAGGGAAACCCTCAAGTCACTCTTGAGTACCTGGAATACCTGGGTGGGGCCGTGGTCACAGCGCCATCTAGTGCCATGTCATGACGTAGCCGGGAAGCCAAGGGGGAAGATGCCCCCTTGAGCTCCTTTTGCTCCAAACAGCGTGGTCTACGAGGGGCAAGGGGCCGCTTGACAAATATTTGTAGGCAGCGGGGACATTTGGAGAGAAAAAGCTAAGGAAGATACAATGGCAGTTCTTGGCTATTTGAAGAACTGACCTCTGGGAGAGGGATGAAACTCACAGAACTAGCACCCTTAAGGGGAGCTAGAGGAAATTTGGGGTGAATGATGACAACTAGAACTGTCTAATGAAGAAACGGGCTTTCTTCCGAGGGAATGAATTCCCATCCCTGAAAGTGTTTAAGCTGTGATTTGGATGCCTTTAGTCAAAGATACGATATAAAGTCTCCTATATTGAGTGCAAGATCAAGCCACAACACGTTTAAGGTAGCTTCCAGATTATAATTATATGAGTTATTCACACTCTGAATGAGGAAGAAATCATTCACCGAATGGTGCAGTAGCTAACTTTGTCTTCAGTGTCCTTTCGCCTCCTTTTTGGGGCTCCTTTTTCCTGTCTCCAGGCACCTCTATTTCATACTTGGAAGCTCGAAGCTCTCATGAGGTCTACCGGCTCCCAGGCTTGCTTTCTAGACATAATAATATCCCCGTTGCAAAATTCATCCTCTTCTTCCCATAAAAACTTCTAGGATCTGACATACAGCCTATGATCAACAAATAATCCAGATGTCAACTCGCCTCTTGAATGTCAGAATTCAAGAAACGGAGCTCTGTTTGAGGAGCTATAAACTTAGTTATAAACAGCCAATATCATACATTTTTATTTAATTTATTTTTTTGAGACAGAGTCTCCCTCTGTCGCCCAGGCTGGAGTGCAATGGTACAATCTCGGCTCACCGCAACCTCCACTTCCAGGTTCAAGTGATTCTCCAGCCTCAGCCTCCTTAGTAGCTGAGATTACAGGTGCCCACCACCATACCCAGCTAATTTTTGTATTTTTAGTAGAGATGGGATTTCACCATGTTCGCCAGGCTGGTCTTGAACTCCTGACCTCAAATGATCTGCCCACCTCGGCCTCCCAAAGTGCTAGGGTTACAGGCATAAGCCACCATGCACGACCGATCATACATTTTTAATTACTTTTCATTTAGTAGCTTCTGTGTTCACTGTTAAATGTGTTTTCATTAATCTTGTCTCCTCCAGTTATTTTGTTAGACCCTGTGGGCAACAGTTTGTAATATAATCTTCTGAATCCTCCACAAAATTTGGTGTTTCAGTAATAGAATAGTTGATGAAGATCAATGTTTGCAAATTCCATTAGTGAGTTTGTTCCTCTGCATGGAGGATGTCAGGCGCTGTGATAGACAAGAACATGTAAAGGTGAATAAATAGAGCTCCAATTCACCTAGAATAGAAGTAAGATATAAAGCGCCTACTAAGTGCCAGAAACTGTGCCACACACATGACACAGCATTACTGCATTTTACTCAGGCAGTTTCATGAGGCAGGGATGGATTTCTAGTTTCATTTCATAAACTAGAAATTGAGGCCCGGAGAGGACTTTGCCTAGAAAGTAAGAGCCAAAACTCAAGCCCAATTTAGTATGCCTCTCCTTTTCCTATAAACAAATAAACAAAATAAATTACAAAACAAATTAGTTTTTACTGGAGAAGGTGCACGTTTCCTTTTGGGAGTCCCCAGAAACAAAAGGACCACATTTTCCCTAGGATTGGACCCAGGGAATGGAGAAGCAAAAACTTTCTAGTTTAGTCTTGATGGATACTCCAATGGAATCAGGCAAAACCAGGGGTGGGAGTGGCCGTGTCTGATGGAGGCGACTCTTGTCACCTCCCTGTCCCTGGCCACTGAGGCACCTCTGGACCGCTTCCTGCCGCCTTGCTGCCCCGCGGTGGAGAGCGCGAGCTCGGACGCCATCTAGTGGTGAGTCCGAGGCTTCACTGGAGGGCTCAAAGAGGATCTGGTGCCAACATGCGTTCATGATTCGCGAAGAGCTGGGATTCAGAGTCAAATGCAGTGGGTCCTGAATCCCAGGTCAGAGCCCATCATAGCATCCCAAAAGAAAGCCACTTGCTGCCTGTGTTGCGCTCAGTTCCATATTCCGGAGCTCAGTGGCTTCTCTCCACCCACACCCTTAACTTCCAGGCTTCTGGGAGAGATGCTCTCCTTATCCTTGTTTGTATTACACTTCCATTCATGTTAGTCACAAGTGAAAAACAAAAGCCTCAGCTAACCAAGTCTTGCAACTCCAAGACACACAGACACAGACACACAGACACACAGACACACACACACACACACACACACACACACACACACACTACAACTGTGGCAGGATCATTCATCACGCAGCCTCTCTAGGGGAACTTTTGCTAAATACAAGATCTAGGCGAGAAAAATCCAATACTCTGGGGAGGCGGATGGATGAGGCCCACCAAGGAGGAAGATGTCCTTGCAAAAGGAAGCTCTGCACACAGAGCCTAGGAACCAGAGACATTCTAAGCAGGTCCACCTTGAGGGCCTCGCTCCTACTCTCATCCCCTCTCTCTGCCTGACGCCATGCCAGGTCATGCCTCTGCCCTAGCCCCACCTTCCCACAGTAGCAGGCAGTTGTGCCGAGCTTGAAGAAGGGAGGCAGGCCTGGCCCTGGGGTCACAGGTTATGGACAGCCAGGCTGCACGGTATCCCAGAGAGCTTTCTCTGAATGCCTCCAGGGGATGAAGAGTTCTCTGAGCTCATTTTAATACTTGACTCACCCAATTTAGTCACTTGTTATATAAGTGGATAAATAATGTTATATGTTCCATGGGTGCATATATATACATTTTTAATTTTTTATTTCTATAGGTTTTGGGGGAATAGGTGCTATTTGGTAAAATGAGTAAGTTCTTTAGTGGTGATTTGTGAAATTTTGACGCACCCATCTCCCAAGCAGTCTAACTCAACCCAATTTATAGTCTTTTATCCCTTACTCCCTTCCTATCCTTTCCCCCTGAGTCCCCGAAGTCTATTATGTCTTTCTTAGGATGCATATATTTTTAATTAAAGAAATATATTCCCATTTTAGGTCTTGTAGTAGCCAAAATAATCCCTCTCTCCACCTCTCTCACTCCCACGCACGTCCCTGACCTAATCCTTGGATCCTATAATACATTACCTTACATAACAAAGGGGATTTTACAGATTGATTAAGGTTAAGGACCTTGAAATGGGAGATTAGCTTGGATTACCCAGGTGAGCCCAATGTAATCACGTGAGTCCTTTAACATCGGAGAGACTTTCCAGGCTTTGGGAAGAGAGAGTTGACCTTTGCTGACTGTGAAGATGGAGGAAGAGGCCCAAACAGCAACCAAGCAACGATCTCTGGAATTTGGAAGTGGCAAGGGTGGTCTCTGGAAGTTGGAAGTGGCAAGGAAGCAGATTCCCGCTACAGCCTCCAGAAGGGTATGCAGCCTTGTGGCTGGTGAGACCCTTTTAGGCCCATGTCAACCTAACTGTAGGGTAATAAACTTGCATTGTTTTAAGCCACTAAGTTTGTGACAGTTTGTTAGAGAAGCAATCAAAGCTATTAATAGAGGTCTCACTTAGGCTTTACGATCACACAGTTTCATTTAACATCAAAGCACGAACTGCCTGGAGCTATGCTGCCTCTCAGAGACTTTGCATTATGGTAGGCCACATTTTTGGATTTTGCTTCAGGACCTAAGAGGAAAGGCATCATTTCTGTTAATAATCTACTTTATTACTCAGAAACCAGAAGATCTACTCTGTTCCACCTAACGGAGATGGCCGCTAGTGCTCCAATGAATGTCTTCAGACCCTTCAAAGAGATCTCAGCTAGGGGCCTTTGGAAATGGCCTCTGTGCCTTTTATGGTTAACTAGAACATATCCCGTGAATATGTTCTGTAGAGAGGGCAAACCCTTGAGAAACACACACTGAATCATAAAATTGTCCACACCTCCCAAATGCAGTAATTCCATTCTTGGGAATTCATTCTAAGGCACTTAATTTCAAAGGTTCTAAAAAATGTGCATGCAAATTTTTATGATAATATTATCTACAATAGTAAAAACAGCAAAGGAAACAGTCAAAATTCAAACTAAATGAAACCTTTAATAAATTATGATTCTCTGCTGGTACGGAAACATTAAAAATTATAATTGTTTTTACTCTAGAAGCATAGGGAAATGTTCCTATTACACTCAATGAAAGCAGTGTATTAAAAAATAGCATTCAGGCCAGGCACCGTGGCTCATGCCTGTAATCTGAGCACTTTGGGAGGCCAAGGTGGGCAGATCACTTGAGGCTAGGAGTTCGAGACCAGTCTGGCCAACATGGTGAAACCCCATCTCTATTAAAAATACAAAAATTAGCCAGGCAAGGTGGCGAGTGCCTGTAATCCCAGCTACTCAGGAGGCCAAGGCATGAGAATCACTTGAACCCTGGCCAGCAGAGGTTGCAGTGAGGCAAGATCATGCCACTGCACTCCAGCCTGGGCAACAGAGCGAGACTCTGTCTCAAAAAAAAAAAATATTTATTCAATAATCATTTGTTGGCCACATGCTATGTATCAAGTATTGCACCAAGCACCAAGTAATGAAAGGGCACCAAAATAAATACATTCACTGCCCTTGTAGATTGAAGTATGCCACAATGGCAAAAATGTAAAGTGATCTATTCAGGTGGCCAGTGACATACCAAAAAAAAAAAAAAAACAAGCAAGTTGTTTTGTTAGAGTATAGTTAATATTCTAATTAACTTTCTTACATTACCTTTTCAGTTATGATAATTATATTAAAGCATAGGGCAGAAAGAAAACACAGACCTCTTGATCCAAGTCACGATGCAGTGGACTCCTCACTGAGGAAGCCGGCCCTGAAAGCATTGTTTAGAAACACAACAAACAACAGCCTCTTCCCCAGCAGGGGAGCAGGAAGCCAGCTGTACACACAGGTCACTCCCAGGGGGTGGTCAGCTTTGGGAGGCCACCTTTGAGCCTGAACTGACACCCTCTGTGTATGTGTATCTGGGAAACTTTCATAGGACTGACTAAGCATGGCCCTGAAAGACAGTAACTCCTGTCTCTGCCTGTCCCCCAGCTGCTGAGAGGATAACTATGAAAGCAGATGTGTTGGCCGGGCATGGTGGCTCACGCCTGTAATCCCAGCACTTTGGGAGGCCGAGGCGGGTGGATTATGAGGTCAGGAGATCGAGACCATCCTGGCTGACATGGTGAAACCCTGTCTCTACTAAAAATACAAAAAGTTAGCCAGGTGTGGTGGCAGGCGCCTGCAGTTCCAGCTACTCGGGAAGCTGAGGCAGGAGAATGGCATGAACCCGGGAGGCGGAGCTTGCAGTGAGCCAAGATCGCGCCACTGCACTCCAGCCTGGGCGACAGAGCAAGACTCTGTCTCAAAAAAAAAAAAAAAAAAAAAAAAGAAAGCAGACGTGCTGCCTTGCTCATCATCGTTTTTATGCTGCTGTCGGTGTGGGGCAAGCCACATACACTGCCCTCCATCTCCCTTAGTGGACAAGGAGACTCTGAGCTTGTTCGTTTCTTTTTTGTTTGTTTGTTTTGTTTTTGAGACAGAGTCTCCCTCTGTCGTCCAAGCTGCAGTGCAATGGCATGATCTTGGCTCACTGCAACCTCCGCCTCCCGGGTTCAAGCAATTCTTCCATCTCAGCTGCTCGAGCTGGGATTACAGGCAGCCACCATCACGCCTGGCTAATTTTTGTATTTTTTAGTAGAGATGGGGTTTCACCATGTTGACCAGGCTGGTCTTAAACTCCTGACCTCAGGTGATCCACCAGCCTCAGCCTCCCAAAGTGCTAGGATTACAGGGTGAGCTTGTTCATTTCTAAAGTGCTTTCTGAAACTGCAGCTACCGGAGCTGTCCTGGGCTCTAGGCCAAGTAAGAGGAAACCCAGGTAGGCACAGCCCCTGACCACTGGATTCGAATCTGAAGACACCTTTAGGATGGTACAGACATGAAGAACATTTGGATCACCAAACAACTATGGAGCAAATGACATGAGTGAAAGAGAGACTCGTTAGCAATGTACATTAATTGTCCAACAAGTAGCATAGTTTGATTAGGAAGGGCATTTATAGAGATGTGTTATTCTCCCTTGACTTACCATCCACTATCATATTAGGAGGCGCGGTTTAATAATGATTCACAGTGGACTTTGTATCAATTCTTATTACATATCAAGCTTTGTACTTAGCACTTCATTTGGATTATTTCATTTAATTCTCACAGCAATCCAAACAGGTGGATAATGCTATCTCCATTTACCATTGAGAAAATGGGAGCTTAAAAAAGTAATAACATGGCCAGGCACAGTGGCTCATGCCTGTAATCCCAGCACTTTGGGAGGCCAAGGCGGGTGGATCATTTGAGGTCAGGAGTTTGAGACTAGCCTGGCCAACGTGGTGAAACCCCATCTCTACTAAAAATACAAAAATTAGCGGCGTGTAGTGGTACACACCTGTAATCCCAGCTACTTGGGAGGCTGACGCAGGAGAATTGCTTGAATGTGGGAGATGGAGGTTGCAGTGAGCCAAGATTGTGCCACTGCACTCCAGCTGGGTGACAGAGTGAGACTCTGTCTCAAAAAAAAAAAAAAAAAAAAAAGTAATAACTTGCCCAATGTCTCATAAGTGACTAATGGTTCAGTTCTTGGAAGTCCAGGTTGAGGACTTCATGCATTGTCATTACAATTGGAACTTTGTGTCTGGTTATTTCTACTTGTTCTTCCAAATCCAGCACATGAAACAGCCCACCCTTCCCTCCCACTGCCCCAACTCCAACCAGTCTCCAGCCTTCTGTGCTCTGTGTCTCTGTGATCTGTGATTGCTGCCCATGTGATGTCCCTGCTGCCAGCCCCTTGGTCTTAGACCTCCCAGTCTCTAGGATCATGAGATAATACATTTTTTCTTTCCTTCTTTTTTTTTTTTTTTTTTTTTTTTTGGGACAGAGTCTTGCTCTGTCACCCAGGCTGGAGTGCAGTGGTGCGATCTGGCTCACTGCAACCTCCGCCTCTTGGATTCCAGCGATTCTCCCACCTCGGCCTCCTGAGTAGCTGGGACTACAGGTGTGTGTCGCCATGCCCAGCTAATTTTTATATTTTTAGTAGAGAAAGGGTTTCGCCATGTTGGCCAGGCTGGTCTCGAACCTCTGACCTCAAGTGATCCGCCTGCCTCAGCCTCCCAAAGTGCTGAGATTATAGGTATGAGCCACCTCGCCCGGCCATAAATTTGTTTCTTTTAAAATCTAAATTTCATTATAAATTACCCAGTTTGTGGTATTCTGTTAGAGCAACACAAAATGGACTAAGACATTCCCCATTTCTGGGTATACATCCAAAGGATTAAAAGCAGAGTCCCAAAGACACATTTGTATACCCATATTCATAGTGGCATTATTCACAATACTCAAAGGTGGAGGCTACCCAGTGTCCATCAACAGATGAATAGGTAAATAAAATGCAGTATATCCATACAGTGGAATATTATTTGGTCTTAAAGAGGAAAGACATTCCAACGCATGCTGCAACACAGATGAACCTTGAGAACTTTATGCTAATTGAAATAAGCCAGTCACAAAAAGACCAATGCTGTAGAGTTCCACATATATAAGGTATCCAGAGTAGTCAAATTTATAGGCAGAAAGCAGACTGAGGGTTGCCGGGGGATGAAGAGAGAGGAATGGGGAGTCGTTTAGCAGGTACAGAGTTTCAGTTTTGCAAGATGAAAAACTTCTGGAGATTGGTGGCACAATAATATGTATACACATAACATTACTGAAGTGTACACTTAAAAATGATCAAGATGGGCAGGGTGCGGTGGCTCACGCCTGTAATCCCAGCACTTTGGGAGGTTGGAGCATGAGGATCATTTGAGCCCAGGAGTTTGAGGTTACAGTGAGCTACTATTGTACCACTGTACTCCAGCCTGGGTGACAGAGACTCTGTCTCTAAATAAATAAATAAATAAATAAATAAATTTAAGATGGTAAATTTTATGTTATGTGTATTTTACCACAATTTTTTTTAACAAAAGAGGAATCCTTCCTCCTCTTCACATTTATCGTTCTCTTTGTGTCTTCAGTCACATCTCATGCCACCTCTTCCAGGAGGTTTATTCATTCCTTCTGCGTTCTCCACTCTGGGATTGCCACAAACATTTGGAGGGTCAGGGCTAAGAGGACACACCCATGTTTTAAGATGTTTAAAATGATAAATTCAGATAAACTAGTAAATCAAATGTTATAGCCCCTCTAATTTTTACTTTTTTGCATTTATTTTTAAATCTATATATTAAATCTATATATCTTTGTAACAACAACATGGAAAAGTCTGTAATACTGTGGTTTCTGTAAGACTGAAAGTCAGGCAAGTATCAAGGCTCAAGCTCTGTCCTGAAGCCCCACACTCCCCACTCATCCTCCCAGCTGCTCAGGCCAGCCCACAGCCTTGGGCAACAGCAGAGGCTTCTACAGTCAAGGCCATAGGGCTACATTTTCCTGGGGTAGCTACAGAGCTGCTTCTAGGGCGTGGGACCTGTGCAGTCAGTCACAGATGGCTGGCACTTAGAAAAGCCCTGCACTGATCGGATCATGAGGTCAGGAGTTCGAGACCAGCCTGACCAACATAGTGAAACCCCATCTCTACTAAAAATACAAAAATTAGCCAGGCATGGTGGCACGTGCCTGTAGTCCCAGCTGCTCGGGAGGCTGAGGCAGAAGAATTGCTTGAACCCGGGAGGCAGAGGTTGCAGTGAGCCGAGATCACACCACTGCACTCCAGCCTGAGCAACAAGAGTGAAACTCCATCTCAAAAAAAAAAAAAAAGAAAAGAAAAGAAAAGAAGGCACAATTGGGAAACAAGCAAATAGTCCATTAAACATGTTAGAACACAGCGAAAATATATATAGGGAAGTGTCTGGACATCAGGCTTAAAAGTTGAAAGCAACTTAACCATGGCCTTGGGGTGTCATGCCAAGGAGACTAGTGTGAAGCCATCCTGTCCATGACATCTGGTCACCTCATCGATTTGCAGTTGATTTGCTCAGGAATTTCAACCTTAACTTAAAGGTGATGGTGCAGTAGGGAAGGATGGTGAGAGGAAGAATGGTATGTTATCTGGTGTGAGAAAGGAACAGAGAGAGGTTTAAGGTGTCCAATAAACTACCCACTGCTTCCTGCTTAAGTCTGAATAATTTTAGAAATGAAACAAAAACTATATGAAAACCTGTGAAAGGAAAATATCTTGGGGCCCCAAAATCACTAAGCCAAAGGGAAAATTCAAGCTGGAAACTGCTCAGGGCAAACCTGCCTCCCATTCTACTCAAAGTCATCCCTCTGCTCACTGACATAGAGGCATATTCTGATTGCCTCCTTTAGAAAGGCTTATCAGAAACTCAAAAGAATGCAACCCCTTTTCTCTCACCTACCAGTGATCTGGAAGACCCCTCCTTGCTTTGAGTTGTCCCCACCTTTCTGGATGGAACCAATGTATGTCTTACATATATTGATTGATGTCTCATGTCTCCCTAAAATGTATAAAATGAAGCGGTGCCCCAGCCACCTTGGGCACATGGCGTCAGGATTTCCTGAGGCTGTGCCATGGGCGCACATCCTCAACCTTGGCAAAATAAACTTTCTAAATTAACTGAGACTTGTCTCTGATTTTCTGGGTTTACAAACCAAAGTATCATCTTTATCACAGATGAAGCTGATATTGAAAAATGGAGCTTTTATCTAATCAGAACAACATTGACTCGTGCCAGTCATCATGATCAGGAGACAAAATTACCTTGCTTAACCAGGCCAGGGTCATAATTTCTGACCCAAATGGACCAAATATGACCTGAGTATATTCCTTCAGAAATCTGAGGTACTGTTACCAAAACTAGAGTGATGGGGCCCGAGCAGCAAAAGCAACTATGTCTGCTGCCTACGTGTGTGTGTGTTTTGTGTGTGTGTGTGTGTGTGCATGTGTTTGTGTGTTCAATTACCCATCTCCCATGTGACTCCTTTATGGTACAGTTTGATCACTCTGCTTTGATGAGAAAAGTTTGGAGTAAACCCAGGATTTAGGGCCAGACGTTGTGGCTCACGCCTGTAATCCAAGCACTTTGGGAGGCCAAGGCGGACAGATCACCTGAGGTCGGGAGTTCGAAACCAGCCTGACCAACATAGAGAAACCCCGTCTCTACTAAAAATACATAACAATTAGCCCAGCGTGGTGGCGCATGCCTGTAATCCCAGCTACTCGGGAGGCTGAGGCAGGAGAATCGCTTGAACCCAGAAGGCAGAGGTTATGGTGAGCCAAGATCGCGCCATTGCACTCCAGCCTGGACAACAAGAGTGAAACTTGGTCTCAAAAAATAAATAAATAAATAATTTTTAAAAAAATTTGGAGGAAACCCTGGATTTTGATGTTGCTTTGAACAAGTCACTTTCTCTTTCTCTCCACAACAAAACACCATGAAATAAAAATCCCTTTGCCTTAGGAATGCTGGGCTCATAAATGAGACCATGCCTGTAAAGTGACATGATTTCCTGAAGACAAAGGCTGTGTAAATATATAGGATTATTAGCCAAGCCACTCAAAAATAGTCTGTGCATGAATGTCTTGGAAAGCAAACAGGTCCAAGGAAGAGTAAGAGAACTCCCCATTTCCAAGCGCTGCAGGATTCCTTTGTTTCCTGACATCTAGCATGGTTACCTTCCCCAAACACCCACACACAGCCAGGAGGGACAGGTGAGCCAATTTAGCTTCCTTGGAATGATGGATTAAAACATTTGGAGAGCAGAATTTCAAGCAATTGCCATGTTAGAGGGTTTTCTAGAAAGATAATTAAAGAGAAATCATAATTGGGTTTTAGATATTGATGGTTGTTCATCTGCCCTACTCCATTCATCAACATTCCCATATACACTGTTACAAAGAAATCTCAAGTTCAACAAGAGAAGGAAAGAGGTCTTCTATCTTATGTTTGATTTTTTTTTTTTTAAGTTTTCTTTGGAGACAGGATCTTGCTCTGTCACCCAGGATGGAGTGCAGTGGTGCGATCACAGCTCACTGCAGCCTCAAACTCCTGGGCTCGAGCAATCCTCCCACTTTCACCTCCCAAAGTGCTGGGATTATAGGCATGAGCCCCTGTGCCTGGTCCTTATGTTTTGTTTCTTAAGAAGAAAGAGGCCGGGCATGGTGGCTCACACCTGTAATCCCAGCACTTTGTGAGGCCAAGGCGGGCGGATCACGAGGTCAGGAGATCGAGACCATCCTGGCTAACATGGTGAAACCCCGTCTCTACTAAAAATACAAAAAAATTAGCCGGGCCTGGTGGTGGGTTCCTGCAGTCTCAGCTACTCGGGAGGCTGAGGCAGGAGAATGGCGTGAACCCAGGAGGTGAGCTTGCAGTAAGCTGAGAATGTGCCATTGCACTCCAGCCTGGGTGAGAGAGCTAGACTCCATCTCAAAAAAAAAAAAAAAAAAGAAGAAGAAGAAGAAAGAGAAGGACGGAAAAAAAGAGGGAGAAGAAGAGACTGTCTTAGTTCATTTGTGCCACTATAACAAAGTACCACAGACTGGATAATTTATAAAGGACAGAAATATATTTTCTCACAGTTCTGGAGGCTGGGAAGTCCAAAGCACATTTTCTATCTGGTAAAAACCTGTTCCTCAAAGATTGAGCTATATAGGTATCCTCATCTGACAGAAGGTATGGAAAGACAGAAAGGGGTTGAGTGCTAAGTACTTACAGGGCAGAAGAGCAGAAGAGAGTAAACACGTTTCCTCAAGCCCTTTTATAAGGTCTCTAATCCTACCCATGAGGGCTCCACCCTCATGACTTAATTAATGCTGAGAGGCAGAACCCCTTAATGCTAATCACATTGGTCATTACGTTTCAACACATGAAAACTGGGCGGCACATTCAGACCACAGCAGGGAGGGAAAGGAGAAGAGAGAAAGGGAAAATCTTACTTCTAGTCTTCTCTTTTGCCTCTTAGAAATCATAGATTTTAGACCTGGAAAGAACGTTAAAGGTCAGCTTAGCCATCTCCACAAACCCCTTTCCTTTTACAAATTATATATGGATGGTGAGGACCAGTAAGGCAAACTACAATTTCTAAGCTTACACAGTCTATTGAGGATAAGGATTCAGGTTTCCTGCCTCCCGGCTTGGTACTTTTTACATTAAGTCATCCTGTCTCCCATTTAGTTTTATAACCTTGAGCAAGTCACCCAACCAGTCAACAAATATTTTTAAAGACCTAACAACAAGTAATGGAATATCCAACCAAAAGAAATTTAAACAAATAAAGAGCTTATTTTTCTCTCCTAATAAGAAGTCAGGGGGTAGACACAGTCACTGGTACTAGTTCAGCGGTTTAATGATGCCATCATGGACCCAAACAGTTCTATCTTTCAGTTCCATCGTATTTATTGTTGGCTCTTATCAGGATGACTGTTGTCCCATGGTTGCAAAATGGTCATGTATCTCCAGGTATCACATATTTGTTCAATATTTCATTTAACACTTTTAAAGTCCCATGCACAAAATGAGTTACTTTGATTTTACAACCATGATAGCTGTATTCTTTGTAGATGCTCCATCAAGCTGAGGAAAATCATACCCTTTATAGTTGATAAAGGCTTTTTTTCAAAATTATGAATGGGTGTTGAATTTTGCCAAATTTTTTTTTGCATTGACTGAGATCATACGAATCATATGAATTTTCTTCTTTATTCTGTTTATGTAGTGAATGACATTGATTGATTTTCAAATGTTGAGCCAATTTTGCATTCCTCAAAAAAGAATCCCACCTGGTAATGCTATCTTGCTCTTTCAGATGTCGCTGGATTTGATTTGCCAATTTTGTTTTTGTTTTTGTTTTTTTGAGATGGAGTCTCACTCTGTCACCCAGGCTGGGTGCAGTGGCGCAATCTCAGCTCACTGCAACCTCCACCTCCCAGGTTCAAGCAATTCTCCTGTCTTACCCTCCTGAGTAGCTGGGATTAAAGGTGCCCACCACCTTGCCTGGCTAATTTTTGTATTTTTAGTAGAGATGGGGTTTCACCATGTTGGCCAGGCTGGTCTCAAACTCCTGACCTCAGGTGAGCCACCTGCCTCGGCCTCCCAAAGTGCTGGGATTACAGACATGAGTCATTACACCTGACCTTGATTGGCCAATATTTTGTTAAAATTTTTGCACCTATGTAAGAAATATAGGTGTGTGATTTTCTTTCCTTTTTATTTCTTGGTATCAGGATTATTCTGAATTATAAATTAAAAAGTGTTCTCTCTTCCTTTGTTCTTTCAAAAGAGTTTATATAAAATCAATATTACCTTTCTTAAATGATTGATAAACATTTACTAGTGAAGCCATCTTGCTCTGGAATTTTCTTTTTAGGACCTTAAAGATATGGGGTGATTCAAATGTTCTATTTCTTCCTGTGCCAGTTTTGGGAAGTTGTATTTTTCAAAGACTTTTTCCATTTAATGTAAATTATCGAAATGATCAGCATAAAGTTATTCATAATGTTTTCTTATTATATTTTCAATTTCTGTATATCTGTAGGGATCTTCCTCTTTTATGCTTGATATTTGTTATTCGTGTTTTTTTGTCCTGCTCAATCTCACTAGGAGTTTAGCAATTTTGTTAATATTTTCAAAGAACCAACTTGTAAGTTGGTTAATGTCTCATATTATTTTTTATTATTTTTTTCCTCCTATTCACTTCGAGTTTAATTCACTTTCTTATTCTAATGTCATAAGGTGGAAACTTAGATAATTGATTTCAAACCTTTTTTCTTTACTAAAATAAACTTTTAAAGCTATA
Source organism: Homo sapiens (assembly GCF_000001405.40). Classification (NCBI taxonomy): domain Eukaryota; kingdom Metazoa; phylum Chordata; class Mammalia; order Primates; family Hominidae; genus Homo; species Homo sapiens. Next base: position 23,460,580 of record NC_000008.11, on the reverse strand, counting down.
AATTTCTCTTGAAGGACTGTTCTGACTGCATTCCACATATTTTGATGCAGTTTCATTATCATTCTGTATGCCGTGTTTTCTAACGTTCTTACAACCATGCCTGGCATAAAGTACTTAGTAAGTGTTCCCTCCTGTTAGCTCCAGTTTTTGTTTTTTTTTTTTTGAGATGGAGTCTTGCTCTGTCGCCCAGGCTGGAGTGCAGTGGTGCGATCACAGCTCACTGCAAGCTCCGCCTCCCGGGTTCACGCCATTCTCCTGCCTCAGCCTCCTGAGTAGCTGGGACTACAGGCGCCTGCCACCACGCCCAGCTAATTTTTTGTATTTTTTTTTAGTAGAGACAGGGTTTCACCGTGTTAGCCAGGATGGTCTCGATCTCCTGACCTCGTGATCCACCCGCCTCGGCCTCCCAAAGTGCTGATATTACAGGCTTGAGCCATCGCGCCCAGCCTAGCTCCAGTTTTTGTTTCTCTTGTTAACAAGTGAGAATGGGCCCCTTCAGAGCCTCTTTGCTGTTTCCACTGACTGAAATACTATTCCTTCATATAGGCCCAGAATTCTAATAAATTCCCATTCATTGTGCAGGTGTGACCTCAGACAGCGTTACCTCAAAGAAGCTCTCCCTGATGAACCAGACCAGGATGGTCCTCTCATGTACTAAGTTGAATAGTGACCACCCCCAAAAAATTCATGTCCACCCAGAACCCATGAATGTGACCTTATTTGGAAATAGGATCTTTGCAAATATAATCAAGTTAATATGAGATCATAAGATCACACTGGATGAGGGTGAGCCTTGAATCTAATATGGCTGGTGTCTTTATGAGAAGAAAGAAACTTGGAGACAGAGACACAGACACACAGAGATAATACCATGTGACAACAGGGGCAGAGACCAAAGTGATGCATCTACAAGCTGAGGAAGGCCAAGGATGGCCAGTAGCCACCAGAAGCTAGGAAGAGGCAAAGAAGGATCCTCCTCTAGATCTTTAGAGAGAGCACAGCCCTGCTGACACCTTCATTTCAGGCTTCTACCATCTAGAACTGGAAGACAATAAATTATCTTGCTTTAAGCCACCCAGTTTAGGGCAATTTGTCACTGCAGCTCTAGAATGTAATATGCCAAGTTACACGTTTCCATACTTTCCTATATTTTTCTTTCCTAGCTCTTATCAGACAATTATTACATATAAATTATCAGGAAATATGGATGGTGTGATAATACTTACTAGTCTGGCTTTTCTTCTCTCTCTCTCTGAGATGGAGTCTCACTCTGTTGCTCAGGCTGGAGTCCATTGGCGTGATCTCGGCTCACTGCAACCTCCACCTCCCGGGTTCAAGCAATTCTCCTGTCTCAGCCTCCTGAGTAGCTGGGATTACAGGCACAAAAAAGCCACTATGTCCAGCTAGTGTTTGTATTTTTAATAGAGATGGGGTTTCACCATGTTGGTCAGGCTGGTCTTGAACTCCTAATTTCAGGCAATCCACCTGCCTTGGACTCCCAAAGTGCTGGGATTACAGGCATGAGCCACCATGCCCGGCCTAGTCTGGCATTTTAGTAGAGCCCTCCTTAAGGAAGACTAACATAACCCCAACCAGTGTCTCCAATGGCAAAGATTTTGAAAGGCAGATAATTTCGAAGGAGACTGTCCTTAAAATCACAGTATGTCAGTGGCCAGCTTTAGCTTCTCAATGCTAGCCTTGGGTCACAGGGTTTTCTAGTGTGAAAATTATCCAAACGAGTAATTTCTTATAGCAACAGATTGTCAAAAAAAAGACACTGATGCGCAAGTCATGTGGGAGTCTGAAACATTGGTTCTGCTCTCCTCTGCCTCCAGGGGGTCTTGGCCAAGTCACTCAACCTCTCTGGGTTCCAGGCTCTTAACTGTAAAAGAAGGTGATTGGGGCTACACAGTAGAGTCCCTTTGGCTCTAACCTTCTGAGGCTTCATGGTTTCTTCCGTTAACAGTAGCTGAATCCAGGAAGAGGAGGTGACCCAGGCGGGTGCTGGACCAAGAAGGATTCTGTGTTAAGATGTAGAACTGCCAGTTCTGTCTATGCTTGTTTTACTTGATAAATGGAATGGAGTAGACGTTTCTAGGGCTCTTGTTTTTAAAAATCTTTTAAAGTGGCTGGATTGCTGGTCACTTCCTATCTCTGGGCCACAGTGCATTCACCTGTATACAAGGTGGAAGAAAGGATGGAACCCGGGATTCCCAAGGTCTCTTCCGGCTCTCAAGTGCAAAGTTCTGTGTCTTCAAAGCAGTTTATTGCTAAGCCAGAGAGCTAAGAGAGCTTAGCCTTGTACTAAGTGTAGGTCATGGGGTCAATCTCAGGAACACCCTTCGCTTTATTTCTTCTCATAACCATTGCGTGTGTTGGGGAGGGCTGGGGCAGTCTGCCTCCCCCAACATAGGCACTAACATATGCCATCGACGGGCAAGAATGAAATCCTGGCTCTACCTCTCACGAATCAGGTGGATCTCAAGAGAGACTGAATAAGTGTGAGCCTCCGTTTCCCCATCTGTGAAACAGGGAGAGTTACCGGCAAAGGTGTAAATGTCAAGAGTTGAGCAACAATGCCTAGTCCTTACCAGGTTTTCAAGCGCTATTTTCCATAACCGTTAGGAGCGCTAAGGAAAGATAAACTGCGGTGTCCTAAGTACGCTGAGGCTCGCTGACGACCAGACGAGCACCACGCCACAGTACTGGGTGCCTCCGTGCTCCCACGTCCACATTTCCCGTGCACAGCACACTGGCGTGGCCGCGCGGGTCCACGGAACAGCCCAGCGCTCGGACGCCAATCATCCCGCATCAGGCTCCGCCCCCCAGCGCTCAACGCGCCCCTCGGCGTGCGCGCTCCCGCCGCCAGCGGGCGCGCTCCGGGCGCAGGCGGTGACGTGTTGCCGGCGGGGGCCGGGCGGGGGTGCGGCTCCAGGAAAGGAGCGCGGCCTCCAGGAAGCCGGCTGGCCGTGATGCTGCCCACTGGTGGTCCCCCGCTCCCGGGGTCCCCGGCCGGCCAAGCAGGTGAGGTTGCCTTCCGAGCGTGGGTGAGGGGAGGGCGGGCGGCCGAAGGGGCCGGCGAGTGGGTTGGAGTGCGGGGGCCGGCGGCGCGGCGAGCGGGCCGCGGACGAGCCTCTCTGCCCCAGGCCCCCACAGCCGCCTGCTTAGCCCCGCGGACCGGTTCCCGCCTCCCCTGCCGCGCGGCCACATCCGAGCGCCCCGGGACCAACCCCTGTGAGCCCTGGCGGCCGGCGCGCTCCCCCAGCCCCTGGCAGGGGACACCTGGCGGTCGCGCGCCTCGGGTGACCGCTCGGGATCCCCCCCTCGAATGGGCGGAGCTTGACCGGGCAGCAGGGATGCTGCACCCGGGACCCAGCCGGCCCTGCCTGCCGCTTTAAATGATGACATTCGCTCGTCTTGTCGTTTTCGCTTTGCTTTGCTTTTGCCAGATTTCATGTTAGATTTCTTCTTGGAAAAATGGAGCTTATTGGGCAGTAAAGTGATGATGCACAGCATTGTTTCTGAACTTGAGTAATGCGCGGACCCCTTTTAAAGGAACAATTCTCTCATGGTCTAGAATGTGTCCCAGAACCCTTAGGGTGCTTCAGACCCCAGTTAGATGAACCCTAGTGCAGAGCGTTTTCAGAGAACACTTATCACGAAGGAAACTAAAGAGATCCTTTATGATTCAGGAACTTTCAGGCTAGAAGGTAAACTAGAGGTAATGGAAGAATTCTAAATTAGACACTCAAAGCCCAGGCTAATTTCGCATTGCAGTCTTTGTTGTCTCCTTTTTGTGATGAAAATACCAAATTATCCAGCTTTAGAGAGGCCTAAAAGAGTTATATTATTTGTGTTACCATATATTTGATGTTTTTGTATCAGGTTTGTTAATTCTGTTTGACATAGTAGAATTATAAAATGGAACACTAATTCGTGTAGTTGAATCGTTTATTTCTCTGTTTACCTTAACAGAGGTCTTGTAGTTGTTGCATGTTGAATCTATGGCTTATATTCTTCTACCTCTAATAGGAAATGTGTGACTGAGGCCCTTGAGGATATAGTCTAGGAAGGAGACAAAAATGAACATTTATCTAAGGATTTATATTCTCTACGTATTTACTCAGCATGTTTATTTAAAATAGACTACTCATGAATAAAGAGACGATTCCAATTGTAAGAAAACATCAGGATGTGTAACAGGTTAAATCTTGACAAAGAAACATGTTGACTTGTGCCTTGAAAGAAGTGTAGTCTTGAGAGGAGGACACGGTGGTGGCTCGGAGGAAGTGCTGTTAGTAAATGCCTGAGGCAGGCATGGAGACAGCTTGTGTGGGAGAGAAGAGAGAGACCTGCTGCACTGGAGCTGAGAGATGGTATCTGGGACTGATGAGAGGATAGGTTGGTGAGATAAGGTGGACCAGTTGATGGATAAAAGGTTTCAGGTGCCACACAGGAAACTTGGTGTTGATCCATGGCCTTCCAGAAGGTTCTTAGCTGATCATATTTTGAAGGCCGTGTTTTACAAAGAGTTGCTTGTAAAGTGTGGCGTGCACAGTGAAGGCAGAAGGTGGGTGAGTCGCCAAGAGATCTGTCTTGAGGTAGTGGTGCCTGCTGTGGTCATCTTAGATATGAGGGATATCTGAGGAAGAATCGACTGGCTTGGAGAATGATAGAAGATTGTCAACACCGGATGTGGGAATCAAAGCTGAGAACCAGGTAATCCAGGTCAATGGGGATTGGTGGTACCCGTCTTAGACCTGGAGAATTTGGAGGGTGGTATTAGAGTTTGCATTAGAAGATTTCAACCCTAGAGTTGGACTAGTTGAGCTTGCAGTAACAGGGCTTCAATGAGCTTGGAACGTGGAACTGGAACTTGAGGAAAGTCAGAGTTAATTCAGGAAAAGTGACCAGAAAAAGACTACTTAAAATGGGAACCAGAATTTTGCAAATTAATAGAGGGAGGAAGAGGTTAAGATTTTATATTGAAAAATAAAATTAAAATGTGTAAGATAAATATTGAACATACAGATCATAAATGCAACTACATACATATCTTCTTAAAGAATGAATCAAGTTGTCTTCATGTATCTTTTGTCACTACTGAGTAACGGTGCCACCCGGCAGCCTCCACATCAGCCTCTCACTCTCAGAAAGACAGTTGTTTCTTGCAAAACGCTGCCGGAATGGTTGAGAGCATCTTTAATTTTTCCAGGTTCTCTTGAATCCTTTGATATTCAAATCATTCTTTTCTGAAGTACCCTTCCCTGTGGTACCTTTGCTTATTCAGAAGCTGAGCTCTCCCAGAGGCTGACTTCTCTGTGATTTTGTTTGCCTGTGATTTGAGTTCACTAACATCTGTTTCCTTGCATCTTGTGTTTTTCCACCAGAGGAACCATTTCCCTTTGTGGTTGATTTGCATTGTTTTCGTCGTTATCTGTAGAACTGTCAGTGAGAGACTGACAAAGACATTGACACCTGACTGTAGGCTTTATTCCAATAATGTTCAGCCAAGTAGGGCCCCACTAGCTGAAATCATGAGAATTAATGCATCTCTCTGGTGATAGGTCTAACACAATTTAGGCTTTTTTAAAACATGTCAGTTTTATGTGGTATTACTGAATTTGCCTCCCAGTGCCCTGGTGCGAAGATTCTTAGCTAGAAGGACAATTGGAGTTTACATTTGAAGATCAAATTACCATTTAACTCTTAGGCAATAATCCATTGTACTTTTGTCCTGAGTTAAAATTACAGTGCTTCAGCAGTTATAAGCTGTCCTATTTTCTCTGCTTTTAAACACAAGCTTTGTAACTTAAAATATCTGTTTGTCCTTTTGATCAAAATCATCACATATCTCAAAAAAAAAAAATTCCTGAGACAAACCTCAGATGACACAAAGTTTCCTAAGTGCGCTGTGATCATTCTCTCGGTCACCTTCCTCTTCGAAGTGTGTTCTTTCTCACCCCATCTAGAATTGACCTCCCACCTCTAGGAATCTTTTCCTGCTAAAGCTAGCCTTCTCTGTGCTCTTCTCTGAGCTCTTATAACAAGAATCCCAGTAATTTAACATTGCCTTTAATTAGTATCTTGACTATTTTCTGGGCATTAGTATTTTCTCTGTAGCAATCTGCAAACTCCATGAAATTTGGAGTTGGGTTTGTTACTCCTCATGTCACCTTCGTAGTCCTGACTTTCTTCCTCAAGGACCAGTTTGCCTTTAACCATGACTTTAAGCTGTTAAATAAAACTGTCTTTTCTTTGGTTCTCAGTTCAGCTATCACACAACTATCACTGATGTTTTTTTTAAATGTTCAGATTGGAATTCCTGTGTCCTGATAGGCTTTTAAGATAGGCTTTCTCAATATATTCGGAAAAGTATTTGATCCTGGAAACAAGGTTTCATCCGTCAAAGGTAGCTTGTTAAAAATTGTTATTTCCTCTGATGATAAAATTAATATATGTCCTTTGAAAAATATAGGCAAGCCTAGGGAAGAAAATAAAGATGATACCTGATCTCATTGCCCAGAAATAACTAAGCACTGTTAATATTTTGGTTTCTTTCCTAACATTTTATCCCCCCATGCATGGGGACATTTTTTCACTTAATATATCATGAACTTGTTTTCATGTCAATAAATAGATCTATGTCATCACCTTTAATAGTCACATTGTATTCCATTGCATAAATGTACCCCACAGTGGACATTAGTAACAGTGTTTTGCTGTTCCACACAATACTATGATGACCATCCTATAGATTTTTTAGTGAATTTTCCTGATGACTTCCTAAAGATGAATTTCTGGAAGTGTGATGGGTAGAGCAGAGGATAGGCATGCATAAGTGTTCGTGTGTGTCACCCCAGTACCCCCAGAAGGTTAGTGATGTGCCTGTCCAGAGTCTCACAGCAGTACTCATCGACCTTTTCCCCTTCCCCTGTTAGCCAAGTATCACCAGGCCTTCATGTCTGTCAATATGATAGCTGTTTTTATTTCTATTTATCTGAATACTGATTATTTTATCAGCCATTTCAATGAGATTTATTTCAATAATCTCAAATTGTCTTTGCTCATTTTTCTGTTCAGTCTTTCTCTTATTTCTTTATAATAACTGGCTATGTAAAGGTTATTTACTCTTTGTCATGCACTTTACAAGTACTTTTCCCAAGTTGTGTGTATTCATAGCAGGGAGGGATTTTTTTGTTTGTTTTAAGCACACAGAAGTTTTAAACTTGTGTAGCTATTTTATAAAAACATTAAAATCCATTTAAACGTCTAGATCATTGATTTTTTTTTCTTTTTACTTTTTGTGTAAACTTTTAAATCACAGACATTGTTTGTCCTAAATTTGGGGTACATGGTACAATATGGACACCATATTAAAACTTGAACTAATTAAAGTGATTTTTTCCCCTTTGTCAGGTAGGCATTATTAATACTTTTTACTCTCTAATATCTTTGTGTGTATGTTTTATTTCCTCCACTGCCTTATAGATTCTTTAAGGTCTGGGCCTATATCTAATTCATCTTTGTGTCTCCCATTTCCAGCCATTTGTGAAACCTGCAATAGTTACTCATGATTTGTGTGGCAGGCACTGGTCACGGGGGAAACAGAAGAATAAGAGGCTGTCCCTGCCCTAGTGGGGCTTGTCATGTAATGAGGAAGCCAACCACACGTATAATACTTTAGCCCACTGCTGTGATAAGCAAATACTCTGGGGATATGAGGATTAGGGAAACTCACCGAGGACTCATGCTTGATTTGTGTCAGCATTGATTCTTAGGAATGCAACTGACAACACAAGGAAGAGGTTCATTCTGCTAATGCCAAGGAATGCGAGGCATTTCAGTGATCTGTAGCTTGTGTTTCATGTGGCTGGAGCCTAGGGTACGTAGGAGGGGTCTGTCAGGGAATGAGACAGAAAGATAGGCCCCAGATCAGTACTGTGCAAAGAGCTTTCTGCGATGATGTCAGTGTTTTATGTGTGGACTGGCTAATGCAGAAGCTATATGTGGCTATTAAGCACTTCAAAGGTGGCTAGTACAACTGAGGAACTCAATTTTTAATTTTATTTAAATTTAATTACTTTAAATAACCACACATGGCAAGTGGCTGCCTCATTGGACAGCACCGGACTAAATCATGAGGGACCTCTTTTACACCCTAAGGAGTTGACTGTTTCCTGAGTGAGAGAGAAAAGTTGGGGGATGGGGAGTTATGATTCCCTGTTTGTTTTGGAAATGTCACTCTAGTGTAGAGTTCTTAACCCTTTTGGGTCCCAGAACTCTAAAACTTGACTTCTTGCCAGTCCCTTTCCTAGGGTCTGCAAAGCTACAACTGCAGCACTCAACTGAGCAGACCAAAACCTGGGCCTGGGGGAGCTCCCATTCTGGGGGAAGAGACAAAAAAGAGAAACACAAGACACGCATTATGTTAGAGGACAAGGATGGGTGGATTCTCACACTTGCATCCCACCTCTCCCTCCCAGGAGCTGTGTGACCTTAGACAAGTTACTTAGCCTCTCTGCCTCATCCATAAAGTGTTGTGATAATAGTATCTGTCTTGTAAGTTGTTAGGGGAATGAAGTTAGTATTTGTACAATGTTTGGAACAAGGCCTGGTACATAATGAGCACTATAAAAGCATTTAATAAATAAATAAATGCTAAGGAGAAAAGATCAATCAGGGAAGGGAATTGCTGGGGAGGGGGTAGGCATTGCAGTTATTGATCAGGTGACCAGGGAAGTCCTCCTTGAGAAGGTGACATTATTTGAGTAAAGACCTGAAGGGAATGAAAAAGTGAGCCATACAGATTACTTCCTAGTAGAGGGGGCAACAAGTTGAGAGACCCTGAGACCAGAGAGTGCCTGGCATTTTTGAAGACCACTCGGAACATTGGTGTGGCTGGAATGCAGTGTAAAGGAGGAGAGAGCAGACGATGAGGTCAGAGCCTTAACAGGTGTTAGATCCTGTAGGGCTTTGTAGATTGGAGTCTTTGGAGGATTTCTGAGTACAGAAGTAATCTGATCGGGGTCCTGAGCAAGGGGTGGGAGTGTGGAGCTATCAATTTCCAAGAAAGTATCATTGCCCGAGGGTGATAAAGGCGAGGTCACTGGTTGAGACTGCCGGTAGAAGACTAGTTAGGCTGCTCTTTAGAGCAGGCAAGAGATAAGAGCCTGATCTCAGGCAAAGATGATAAGGAAAGGGATTTTAGATAAGCTGAGGTTAAAGAAATTAAAGGAATCTGTAAGAAATTACATTTGGGGCCAGGCACAGTGGCTCACGCCTGTAATCCCAGCACTTTGGGAGGCTGAGGCCGGCAGATCACCGGGTCAGGGGCTCGAGACCAGCCTGGCCAACGTGGCGAAACCCCGTCTCTACTAAAAGTACAAAAATTCACTGGGAGTGGTGACGGGCGCCTGTAGTCCCAGCTACTCGGGAGGCTGAGGCAGGAGAATCGCTTTAACCTGGGAGGAGGTTGCAGTGAGCTGAGATTGTGCCATTGCACTCCACCAGCCTGGGCGACAAGAGCAAGACTCTGTCTCAAAAAAAAAAAAAAAAGAAAAGAAAAAAAGAAATTACATTTGGAAGATGAAGGAAGAGGGATCACACGTGAATCTGGTTTCCGATTTGTGTAGCTTGGTGGGATCAAGATTGGGACTGCGGGGGCAGAGCAGATTAGGAGAAAAAGGGGAGAAGATTGCAGTTGTTAGGGGTGCAGTTTTAGAATTTTCTCATGGTTCTGTGCAACATTCAGATAGAGATGGCTCATAGGCTGTTGAAAAAGTGTAGAAGAGAAGCCTGGGGTGGAGAAAGAAAAATTTGAGTTACCTGATCATTGAAGCCTCAGTAATGATTGTAGTTAGAAGAGAATGAGGCTAGACAGAGAGCCTGGAAACATAAGAGTAGTCGGGGTTGGCAGAGAACAACGCTTAAAGGATCCTGAGCAGCAGTTATTCCAGAGCTCAGAAGCAGACCAGACGAGACAGCTGTCTTGAGAGGTCAAGCAGCTTTGTGAGACCGAGGAAAGATAGAGACCGCTTGTCCTTTGGCTTCAGCAGATTGGAAGGAGGCCCTGGCTAAAGGCATCTGTCTGCTCTGCAATTTGAGGCCTGGAGGCTGGAGGAGGAGTGATAATGGTGGAGTCGGAGAACTGACTAGGGACAAAGTGCCTTGCACAGTACTTTGTACATAAAAGGGCAGTCTAATAGACATTTATCAAGTGAATGGATATTTCAGGTTCACATTCAGCTTATTCTGCCTTTCTCCTACCTCCACCCCAAATCTCCCTTGTACCATAAGGTATTTAAGGCCTATTTGATATCCTGATATTTTGGGGTCACAGACACTTTAGGTTAGACAGCACTAACTAGTACCAGACGATTATCATCTCTTTTGATTTAGGTCTATATTGGACAGTATGAAATTAACTTAGAAGTGTGTTGCTCAGAATAAACCCTTCCAACAGCTTCAGTGCAAGGATCATGTATAGATTATATGTGGTTGGATTTAAGCACACACTTAAAGAACGTAGATGTTTTCTTTGATGATGCTATCTTTGTGATTTGTCTCACTTCCTGGAACAGGAGGGCTCTAACTCCGTGAGGACCCCAGCATTATTTCTATAATTGTTTGTGAGAAGGACTGAATCCCAGAGCATTGCCTTGTTGCTGACCTTTCAGTATGGGGAGGTAAGTGATGGGCCTAATCACCATGAAACATGAAATCTTGGTGATGCAAAAACAGGTCTTGAGAGAAAAAAAATCTAAATCGCAAGTGAAAAATGTGAAGTTGTGCTGTGCTTCTGTTTAAGACCTTTTTTCTTCCAGGGCCCAGTGAGGTATTTTAATGCATGAAGCACTCTTCAAGGTGAAGAGTAAAGAAATTAACTGTAAAATAATAGAATTTATCCCAAAGGCAGTGAAATTTTTTTAAATCCTAATCATATTTCTAGAATGAGCCTCTCATTCTTGACATAAACTGAGGGGAAAAGTTCTTGATTATTTGCAGAAATGTCTTGTGGGAATATTTCTAAAAGTACAGGACATAGAAAACTCATTTATTGACTTTGTTATGGGGATGTTGTTAAAATGCTGTTTTCTCCCATTACTCAAGTCATCTGGGAGAAATTTGCCTTGGACTTCAGTGTTGAGAAAATTTGTTCCTCCTGAGCTATTTGTATATTTCTGGTGTAATGGGCAATGAGCTCAGTCGTATTTGCAGCAGGCCCAGCTTACGACATGCCTTTCTCCATACTGCATTCCCGTTTGGTCTCATCATCCTTACACTCGATTTCATGATCGATTTATATATTTATGTTATTGAAGTTATTCTCGTAAGCAGTCTCTAATTCTGTATCTATGTTGGAGCAAAGCAGGGTAAAATTAAAAATCTACATAATACTGTCAAGAGAAGGGGAAAACCCAGAAGTGTCGTAACCTTCAGGGCCTGATTCTCATTCAGATGATTTTATGATAAGGGGTTTGTAGCTGTTGTGTAGCATATGCAAGATGCCAGTATACAGATACCTACAGTTAGGGAAATCCAGGTAGCTCAAGCCAAATATCTTATTTTAGGATCACTTTAGGTGAAGGAAGCCTCATTGGAGCAGATTGCTTTAAAATCTTTTTCCTTCTAATTTCAGGATTGGCATCTCCTGTCTTTTTCCTGCTTCTTGGCATTTTAGCATATCTCCAGTAGGGTGTCCTCGAATTCTGAATACCAATTTACGCCAAATTATGGTCATTAGTGTCCTGGCTGCTGCTGTTTCACTTTTATATTTTTCTGTTGTCATAATCCGAAATAAGTATGGGCGACTAACCAGAGACAAGAAATTTCAAAGGTAAGAGATAAAAACATTTGCTTTCTAGACCAGAAGCCTTACCTTCTGTCTTACCTGTTTTAGGCTGCTGGAACAGAATTCCATAGACTGGGTGGCTTATAAACAACAGCAATTTGTTTCTAACTGTTCTAGAGGTTGGGAAATCCACGATCAAGGTGCCATAGGTTTTGTGTGTGGTGAGGGCCTGATTCCTGGTTCTGAGATGAGGAGGTCTTCTTGCTGTTTCCTCACATGATGGAAAGGGGGTGAGGGGGCTCCCTGAAGTTTCTGCCCTCATGAACTAATCATCCCCCTGAGGCCCCACCTCCTAATAGCATCGCATTGGTGATTAGGTCTCCAACATACGAATTTTGGGGGGCCCCAGACATTCAGACCATAACACCATCATTTCATGGCTTCACGACGTTTGGCTTTAGATTGGAATTTAAGGAACTGTAGGAACTAGATTCTGTGCCATGTTCATCATGGCATGAACAGTTAAACCATTTGAAGCTAGTTAACTGCTAACTACCAAATCCATATCATAAGAGGTCCTGGAATAATTATTTATACATAAGCGTCTCGTGTAATATGTTTTAAGCTGATTTTTGAGTTGGTAGTTTAGAAATAGAATTTTGCATTTTGGAATTTGTTTGAACTTCTGTAATGGAGTGTGTGTCTGATTTAGATGATCTTTATCATCATCACTTGTTTTGTTTTCTTTTGACTCTTCAATTATTCAACAGTTGTATTGATGTTATAGTGGTGCTGCTACATAGCTTAGAAATTACTGACTTGGTATTTGCTGCATTTTCTCTGTTAGACTTCAGGTGATATTCTTTGTCTAAATCAAAGCATACGTGTGTTTCTATACAAGGTACCTGGCACGAGTTACCGACATTGAAGCTACAGACACCAATAACCCCAATGTGAACTATGGGATCGTGGTGGACTGTGGTAGCAGTGGGTCTCGAGTATTTGTTTACTGCTGGCCAAGGCATAATGGCAATCCACATGATCTGTTGGATATCAGGCAAATGAGGGATAAAAACCGAAAGCCAGTGGTCATGAAGATAAAACCGGGTATGTAAATGAGAACATCTGCCTGGTAACCAGGGTGTGTACCTTCATTCTCTGTGGCGTCTTTCATATCGTTCCCTTTCTACACCATGGCCCTGAGTCAAACCTCACACCAGGACCTGATGGGTCTCCTTGTTTCACTTTCTTTTCCCTTTTCTGTCCATTTTGCAAAGGGTGACTAACACCTTGATAAAACATCCAAACAGACATGTCTTTTTGTCTCCCATAGCATTTTAAATAGTGCCTTACTCATGGTATCTACGCAGATGTTGCTGGTTGGCATTAATTATGGAGAGTTTTTTCCTATTTAGTAACCATTGGTCTCTATCCTTAATGACAAGGTAATTTCAGATAACTCATGAAAATCTGTAATATATTGGCATATATTTGTCACTTTTAAAAATTGCTGGCCACATGTAGTTCTAGTCATCTAGATTATTTGGTGAGTGTGACCACAGAACTTAGAGCTAATCATAATTATGTATAGTTTTTAAAGATACTGTAATTTCTAAGCCAGTGTGACATGTAAAAGTTTAGGTTTGGCTTCCTTATTAGGTAATTTACATCAGTGATGCTCTTTTTTCTGTATCATCACCATTTCCATGGACAGCAGCTTCTGTCAGGAGCATTTAGAATGGGAGATACCGGGAGTGCCTTGAAACAAGTTTTATGTCTTGATAGTTGATCACTGATTTCAAACAGTTGACCACAGATCTTAATAGAGATGCAGCACTTTTATGTCATCTTACTAATGTATTAAAATAGTAAAATATCAAATGCAAACAATCCAAGAAATTTATCTGGTAAATTATTAGAGAATATTGATAAATAATAATTATTATAGCTTATTATCCCCATTTCAGAAATAAAATTTAAAAGAATATTCAGTTTAACATGAGAAAAATACATATCCTCATAGAAGAGTCTCCAACCATGTAGAATGGTGACCCCTCGAGTCCTCATTCTTTACGGAATAATTCAGACCCCACCTCCTCCTTCAGGCAGCCCTCAACAAGTTGATTATCCTTTGATGTATGGGCAGCTAGGAACCAGCATATTACTCAGAAAATCTAAAGTCTGTACCTCACTTTTCAGGTTAAAGAGAGACAACCTACTGTGTGTCTGTATACCAGCATTATTTTATCAGAGTACATTTCCATGAACAAAGATTAATTTTTTAGTGAGTGTCTTCTAAGTTTTAGTTTTATGTATTTCTACCCCTTAAATTTTTATGTATCCCTAACCTAGAAACATTTTCAGTTAAAGTAATATTGATCAAATAAAAAACTTACGAGAAGACTGAAAAAATAAAGCATTTTACATTTCATCTAGCTTCACGTACCAGGTCCCATCAGTGACTAAACAGATCTCATGGAATAAGATGAAAACTTCCATGCCTTGGAGTTGTCCTTTTAGAACAAAGGGTCAACTACATTATCATCCTAGAGTATACATTAGAATCTCATTAAAATCAGGCTTAACATTGGTCTGTCTTGCACTATACAAAGTGTATGAAATGGAAATCAAAATACCTTTTTATTGCACTACTCTGTCCTGAAGCATGGACTTCCGTGTATAACATTGCAGCAAGGCTCTAGAAATTTCTTAATAGGGTCTGGCTAGTTTAGGGCTTCGAGTGCATTGAAATTGAATTGTATGTGTTGTCAAAAACTTACAGTTTAGTCAATTTTTTGCTAATTCCTTTGATGAATCACTTAATCTTTTTGGGTTTGTAATTTTCTAATGTGTGAAATAAGGTATTTTTAGACTTCTAAAGCGCCCCTCATTTTTAATATTGTAGGCTAAATGACACCTAGAAATATTCATTTGTGTACTCATTCAGCAGATACATGCTGGGCACCTGCCATTTGCTAGGCACTGTGTTAGGTGCTATGAATATAAGTTTGAACAGACACATTTTGTGCCCTTGAGAAGCTTTTAGTTGTAATGAGACAGGCAAGTAAATAGGTAATTTTGATATGGTGTAATGAATGTACATCTAGCAAAAGGAAGTAAGCATGGAATTTAACAAGAGTTGTCTTCAGGGTTCTGTTAGGGTGACTTCCATGGAGGCTGGAGCCAAGTGGGTGTGCAGGAATTAACCAGGTGAAAAGGGGTAGGGAGGTGGATGGAGAAGACTCTTCTTGGTGGTGGAGGAGCAGGGCCCTAAGGCCACAGTAAGGTGCATTATGGAAATGTTAGTTCAGTGTAGCTGAAGGCAATGGAAGGAACATGGGAAGAGATAAGGGTGGGTGAGTTATGCAGAGCAGGGTGTTCTAGAGTTGAGCCTTACCTGGAGGACATTGAGCCACAAAAGAATTGGAAGCCTGAAGAGGCATCCTTTGGGTAGGGAATGGTGGGGAGATGGTCAGGATCAGAGGGTGGGATGTGCTGTGGCAGGCTGGCAGAGGGCGTGTCCAAAGGGATGAGGAGTAAAGTCATGTGAGAGGAACCAAGGAGAGGCGATCTATGAAACCCAGGTTGTGTGTTGGGATGAGGGAGAGGGACTTCATCTAAGACCCTGGCTTGGGCTGCTGGGTGCCCAGCGCTGATGGCCTCGGAGGGAGGTAACCAGCAGTGAGAGCAGGTTTGTAGTGAAAGTTGAGTTCAGATTTTGCCATGATGCATTGGGGGTGGCTGTGAGGACAAGCAAGGGCAGTGTCTGGTGGACAGTTACCCCACGCTCACCTGGAGGCTAATGAGTGCTGCATGGCTGGTGGCACAGTTCGGAGTTCATGGCATGCTGATGGTGATAGCAGCCTCAGGAGGGACTGAGCTCACCTGAGGAGAGGGGGAGCACGTTTCTCGAGGGCAGGCAAGAGCCCATGCGCATGGCAGTGACACACAGCAGATGCTCAGTCAGGTCTGTGTGCTTTGATGAAGAAGAAAAGGACATAGCACTGAATAGTGCCACCAACATTTAAGTAAGGTCTGCAGAAGAAGTTGCTAGAAGGATAGGAAAAACTAAGGAAGTGTAATGTGTAGCATGATTTCCCTAAAATTAGCCACTCTGAAGAAACATCACATGTTATAGCTAAAATATCTGCTTCTTAACTAAAGTATCCTGTTTCTCTAGGCATTTCAGAATTTGCTACCTCTCCAGAGAAAGTCAGTGATTACATTTCTCCACTTTTGAACTTTGCTGCAGAGCATGTGCCACGGGCAAAACACAAAGAGACACCTCTCTACATTCTCTGCACGGCTGGAATGAGAATCCTCCCCGAAAGGTGATCCTCCACAGAAGGGCAAGGGTGAGGGTGGGTTCCTGGAGGGGAGAGGGGGTGTTCTTCTCCCCCTTCCTCCTTCTCCTCTCCATCATCATCATCATCATTGAAAGGAAAATATTCAAAATTCTTTCTTCAAGTCTGTAACAGTACCAGAACTATTCCTTTAGCCAGAATCCACCAAATAGCCTTTAATTGACTTAGGACTATAGGCAACGGTAAAGGTGTCATTTTTAAAAACCTAATCTATTTTACGTAGTTAAGGAATGCTTGCAGTTGTAGTTTTACATCTAGAAATCACATAATTCACACAACTTGTTCATTTTGAAAATTCATTCCTAATATAATCTTTCCAACGAATTTCTTTTTTAAAAAAATTAACTGTTTCATACAAGATATACCAGATCCCTGGTTTTGTTTTTTGTTTGTTTATTTTTTTCCTTTTCTAAACAGAAGATACCAAGCTGTAATCTTTTGATTTGTAAATGTTTTTATTACTTTACAGCCAGCAGAAAGCTATTCTGGAAGACCTTCTGACCGATATCCCCGTGCACTTTGACTTTCTGTTTTCTGACTCTCATGCAGAAGTAATTTCTGGGAAACAAGAAGGTTGGTATATTGGTCTTCAGTTTAAAATTTGGGAAGCTGTTCCTTTAAATCCTCCCCATTTTCACCAATGTACCCTTTGTTATACTCCTATTGTCTTAACATTTGGGAAATAATAGCCTTGAAATATTACAATTTTTAAATTACTAAATCAGTTTCTTATATGACTAGTCTTTGTTGCCCTAACATTAAGCCACTGAAAGATAACCGTTTGTCTTCACCACATGTAGTGACATAGCTTGATATAAACTCACTTTGATAGAAAAGGCTTGTGTGCCTTGCCTAAGTTGTGTGGCTTCCTGGGACGTTGATCATTATTGAGCTGTTGGAGCTTCTTCTCGACTTTGATACACTGAGAAATATCAAATCTTTGTTCTATTTTCAAAGAAATGATTCTCCTTGAGAATGAAATGTCAAGTCAATGAAATTATTTGGGGTATAGCTTGCTAGAAATGTATACCAAAAAGTATTTCAAAAGCCGTCTGTCATTTCAGCATTAATACTTCCTATGTGAAAGAGACTGTAGAGAATACAGAAATGGGGTGAAATTTACACATTGCTATTCAGCTGCTTACAGACAATTGAGCTACACAGTTAGCTGTTCTATGAGGGTTTTAGGTACCAGAAAAAAGATGAGGAAAAAATATCACAGGAGTTCTTAAGAGGGAGGCATTTTTTTTTTTCCAGCTAGGGCCATGATGGAGAAAGTGACATCTGAACTGCACCTCAAGGGAAGGGATAGTTCTAAATAGAACATGCCAGAGCATGGGAAGGGTGGGGCTCTGAGGGAGGGGCAGGAAGCACACACCAGGCAGAAGAAAGGACTTGACTCAGGACAGGTTGGAAAGAGGGCACTGTGGACAGAGAAACACAAATGTTTTAGTTTGACTGGGTGGTGGCCCTTCTGGAAGGAGTGGCGGGAATGTTAACAGTTGGCTGGCTCTTGAATTGTCAGTCCAGGAATTTGGACTTCTTTCTGTAGATGAGTCCAATAGCAGAGAGTAGAGCAGGTTGCAGCAGAGGAATAGGGGCAGGGATGGATTAGATGGACTACCCAAGGTGACAATGAAACCCAGGTGTAGGGAATGTGAAAATAGAATCAGACTTGGCAGCTGAGTGAATGGAGGGATAAAGGAAAGAGCAGAAGATACCTTGAATTTTTTTTTTTTTTGAGATGGAGTCTCGCTCTGTCACCAGGCTGGAGTGCAGTGGCACGATCTTGACTCACTGCAACCTCCACCTCCCGGGTTGAAGTGATTCTCCTGCCTCAGCTTCCCGAATAGCTGGGACTACAGGCGCCGCCACCATGCCCAACTAATTTTTGTATTTTTAGTAGAGACGGGGTTTCACCATGTTGGCCAGGATGGTCTCAATCTCTTGACCTCATGATCTGCCTGCCTCGGCCTCACAAAGTGCTGGGATTACAGGCATGAGCCATTGCACCCAGCTGATACCTTGAATTTTTAAAACCTTGGATTTGACAGGTTTAACATCATAAAAGTGAAAATTATAGTATTTTGAAACATAAATTTCAAAAGAAAACTGGCACCTAGCGTATTGTATTTCCAACCTGTGTAGATGGTATAAAACTATAAACATTAAAGTTGAGAGTTCTTGGAAAGCCATTTGGAGTAATAAAAACATCAGTAGCAAGGTGTTATTTCAGATGATTTTACAGGTTATCAGGGAGTGAAATAAGTGAGACGTTTGCACAGACTGCGCAGATAGGAGTTACACAAAATGTTTTAAAACTTTTTCTTCTCTTCACCCTGTAAAATGTCTATAGGTGTGTATGCTTGGATTGGCATTAATTTTGTCCTTGGACGATTTGAGCATATTGAAGATGGTAAGTGTCATGGTTCCAACAAATGTATCTAGTTGGAAATTGGTGCTTTTCTGTTTAATCCAAAGGCTGAAAAAAGAGCTAAGCTTTGTGACACTCCTAAGCGTGTAGGAGTAGAATGAGAGCAGCTGCAGTTGAACGTAATTCAACTTGATTTTAGTTGGGAGGAGTAGACTGGGTTTGCCTGAATATGCTTGAAATAGACCATGAAAAGAAGGTGACTCTTCAGAAGAGCCCAGTTCTCTGGATTAGTTCTGTTCCAGTGAACACTTTCTGTTCTTTCTAGATGATGAGGCCGTTGTGGAAGTTAACATTCCTGGAAGTGAAAGCAGCGAAGCCATTGTCCGTAAAAGGACAGCGGGCATTCTCGACATGGGCGGCGTGTCGACTCAGATAGCGTACGAAGTCCCCAAAACTGTAAGCTTTGCGTCCTCACAGCAGGTCATTATCTGTACAAATTTCCTTCTGTTTGGTTTGGTTTTCATTTAACGTGTGTCCATCGTTCTTGTTTTGTTTTCTGAGTCTGAACACATCTTTACTGTGCTGGCTGAGGTGCCGCCTCTCAACCCAGGAGAAAGGAGACAGGACGAACAAGGCAGACCTCAGCTGAGCCGCTTGTGTGTGTTCATTGAAATCAGCTGGTTTGTTTTCTGAACGTAGAGTTTTTCTTTGGTATATACGCAGTCGCATGCTTGAGTTTCAGTTTATATTTTCTCTTCAATCACGTCTTTTCTCAACAGGTTTTATGAAATGTAAAATAATAACATCTGATTTTTTAAGTTAGAATTGGGGGAAATTCTTTTTTTTAATGGTTCAGACTTTGAGCTTCCTTGGGGAAGATTGAGGTTTGTATCCACTGCTTCCACATCTTTCAACTGGTGGTTTACTCGAACTGTTCTCCACCCTGTTCTGTGCCCTCTCAGTTGCTGCCTGGGCAGCCTTGTCTAGAGAACCCCGGCACGGTTTCCAGATGTATTTCTGAATTGCTACACGTCTTTATTACTCCATTTGTGTTCAGCTGTAGATTAACACCAAAGCCTAGCTTTCTGGATTTTCCCCTCAAAGGTGGGCGGCAGCATAGCGTGGCCGGCGGGGGACGGTTCAAAGTGAGACCGTGGAGCTAGACAGGCCTGGGTTTCTTCATCATCCTCCTCCTCACTAGTTGTGTGACCTTGTGCAAGTCATGTACCTTCTTTAAGCTGGTTTCTTCATCTGTAAACGTGAACAAAAGTACCTACAACATGGGGTTATTAGAAGGTTTAAATGAGATAATGCATCCAGTATATCTAATGCACTGCCAGGCAGCTAGTATGTTCTCAATAAATGTTACTGACATCTTTATTAAGTTCCTTGGAAAAATGCTTTGTAAATTCAAGTATTACAATTTGTTTTTCCTACCTCCCATTCCAGACATGCCTCTAGAGACTGTTACACTCTTTGTAAAAAATCATGTTTTTCCCTCTCAATATAAAGTAAAAAATACATAGAAATAACGTTTGGAATAAATACTGAAAAATCAAGATTAAAAATTTCCCATGGATTCATCACCTAAAAAAGCCATTGTTAGCCTTTTAGTGAATTTCTTTTTTTTTCTACTCATAGTTTTAAAAAATATGGTTGTTATAATCTTAGTTTATATGATTTTTGTCCTTTATTTAACAGTGCATGAGCATGTTCCTCCATAAGCTATTGATTACTGTAACTAACCTTCCCTTGCTATTATATATTTAGATGACATCTAGTTTTTTCTGTCACAGAATGACAAAGGACATCTTTGCATATAGAAACATTTCCATGTTTAGGTGTATTTCCACAGCATAGGATTCCAGAAATAAATTATGTCAGAGGGTATGAACTATTTTGCTGACTTTCTCTTTCAAAAAGTCATAACAGTATCACAAATTTGCAGCCCATCTGAAATTTCCTAAATCAGAATTGTCATATTGAATTATGAGTGATGCTTAGAAGGGTCCTTGGGAAGTGCAGAAGCAGACATTTTTGTCCCTTTTAGATGAGACTATTTTTAGACTTTTCTTTTTAGTAGGAGGCTAAAGTAGCTTAAGCTATTAAGGTTTGTTATGCTTATGTCTGCAGGAAGAAGTAGCTAAAAACTTGTTAGCTGAATTTAACTTGGGATGTGATGTTCACCAAACTGAGCATGTGTATCGAGTCTATGTGGCCACGTTTCTTGGGTTTGGTGGCAATGCTGCTCGACAGAGATACGAAGACAGAATATTTGCCAACACCATTCAAAAGAACAGGTAAAGCACCTTTCACTACTTGGCAGTCATTTGCAAACCTAGGTCTCTCCTCATAAAAAACAGACCCAGGCAAAGTGGGAAGAACTCAATTAGCAAAAGTGTGTTGCACTGTTAGCTTTTTATTCCCCCACTAGCTGAGCAGGGAGAAGAGATGAAAGCACACCAGGGTCCTGCCTTTGGCCCTCTGTCCCACCGTGCCCTGAAGGAGGTGTGTGCGTGCGCTCTCTCACCCGCATCTCAACTGATGGATTAGAAATTTCACCATCAAGCTATAGAATAGTTTGGAGCCCTGGGTGGTGCTATTCATGATTCAGAGTCCTTGGGAAACCCAGTATCTGGAGCACTCGTGGTGTCCTGGAGGCCTCAGGTAGTGTGTTCTCTTGTTGCTGAGGAGATTGAAATATGTGATGTTCTGGAGACTCTGTGGATGAAGCAGCCAGTGCAGCTAGTTAGTGGATAAGAACCATCGTGAAGGGAATTATTCAAGAGAAATAAATTATCTAGAAGAGTCAGAGTTAGTGGCTTTTGAATTTAGCAATGAAGCTTTAAAAAATGAGTGTATGAAGAATTGTGGTATAGAAAATATATAAAACAAAACAGCACTCTATTGGTTTAAATTGACTGTATAAGTGTAAGTATATAGCACTTATTTATTTGAAATTTGTAAGAACATAAAAGCTATTTGGATAAATAAAAAAATCTGAATCTGGGGTTATGTAAGCTATCCTATTTATTACTGTGTTTTATTTGTTTATTTTGATGAAACAATTTTGAGGGAAAAAAATCCTAGTTCATAGAGCTAAGAGATTGTATACTTCCTTGATTAATGTAATCTTAATAAACCTGTGAAGGCCTGAACTTGAAAAAAGACCAAGTTGGAGCTATTCAGTACATTTACCACAAAGTCATGTGTGTAAATAGGAAAAGCAATAAAAACCTTTTCCTGTGTCTCTTCCAAAAGTTAACTGAATAGTTTTAATTATAAGATTGGTAGTCCCATGATTTTGTATTTTTAATTGGTATTTAGCACATTTTGGTATAATCATTTTTATAGTAGTCTTAAACTAGAAATATTTTATAGACAACATTTGTAACATATTTTTTCCGAAACCTTAATTTTTACTCATTGGTTTTAATGTCAGAAAGCTTTATATAATGGATAGTTTAGTGGTACTTCTTAATTTAGATATAGGACAACTAAAAATAATAGCATGAAATATATATTTGACTACTCTTGGACTTTTATAGTAATTACAGGTGTTTCATATGTCATGAATTGAGCATTGAAGTACACATTTATCTCTTCGCCATTTGTAGTGGTGATTAATTTTTTTAAATTAAGCGAACATTTTTATGGCAAAGACCTTAATTTATTACATTCAACTGCATGATGAGTAACCCTGATCTGAGGAATACACAACTTGTGAGTTGAGTGAAAAGTGAAAACTTGACTGTCGGTGATGAATATTGAATTCTGACCATGCTTAACCCTTTAACAGTTCAACACCTGTCAGGCCCCTGTGATTTCACAGTATCCAACACCAACATCACTTGAGATTTTGTGAGCTCTTCTCTGTTTCTTGTTGCTTGAAGGCATGCACACACAATAGGATGACAGATGTTAACTCCCAGAAATTTCATTAGCAAGTAATAAGCCTAGTGCCTTTCAGTTAACAAAATTAATGTTTATTTTCTACAGGGCATCTCAGAGCCCATTGTACAATGGAAACTGCTGTCTGCTGCAGTTGGGACCCATAGCTGATCAAGGAAAGAAATAAGTTGAAACAGAATGATAAAAATAGAGCCAAGCCTTAGACATTCTGTCTTAACTTCTGTATTCATTTGCTAATCTTTTCCTCTGAACCAAGGTCTGTTTTTAGACTCCATCCTTTCTTTGGCATGCACTGCACCCCTCATTGAGATACCAGTTTGTCTTTGTTTAAAGAATACTGAGGACTTAAAAGAGATTTGCAAGGCAATTTGATACCAAATCCTTCTAGATGTTTGCTAATTTTTCCCAGTTTTAAAAATCCTACCCACACCTAGTTTGATAATTTTCTAGTAACTTTTCTAAAGCATCTAACCTGCTTTGCCCAGGACCGGATCTTGTCACAGTCACGTTCCTTCCATCTGTATTAGGTAAAACCACAAGCACTAGTGCAAAAATGGGGCTGGTAACACAGTTGCCTTGTGCCCAGCAGCTGGGAACATCAGGCCTTGTTGCCAGGATCGTCGGCTAATCGGGTAGGTTATCCAACTGGACTCTGGTAGCCTGTCTGCTGCAGGCAAGTTTGTATCCTGACTCTCCAAGAAAGTCTCAAGTGTGTATTTTCCTAACTAATTATCTCGGAACCCTTTTCTGTTCCACAGACACGGTCCTGCAGGTCTCATGTCCCACAGAGCGTATTTTGAGAAACACTGGTTTGCAGCCACTTCCTGAAAACACAGTTTTCTGTAGGACTCACGATGAAGTTTCTTGTTTTGCCATAGGCTCCTGGGTAAACAGACTGGTCTGACTCCTGATATGCCGTACTTGGACCCCTGCCTACCCCTAGACATTAAAGATGAAATCCAGCAAAATGGACAAACCATATACCTACGAGGGACTGGAGACTTTGACCTGTGTCGAGAGACTATCCAGCCTTTCATGAATAAAACAAACGAGACCCAGACTTCCCTCAATGGGGTCTACCAGCCCCCAATTCACTTCCAGAACAGTGAATTCTATGGCTTCTCCGAATTCTACTACTGCACCGAGGATGTGTTACGAATGGGGGGAGACTACAATGCTGCTAAATTTACTAAAGCTGCAAAGGTACCCTTGAGAGACGCCGTCTGCTCTGCATGCTTTTGAGAGACCAGTGTGGACGGTGACGGGTTATGTCCTCCTTTCACATTGACAGGGAAAGACGGAGTATAGAAGGCTGCACTGCAGCATGTTGGGATCCTGTTCCCTTTGCTTGGAGGGAGGTTGAATAGTCACAGCAGAAGTAAAAAATGTACTGTACGCTGACTTCTGCACCACTCCATTAGCTACCCTGGTCATCAGTTAGCTCCAAATTACAGTCTTTTATGTCATTTTTGTGCTTTGCTGCATGTGACAATTCTCCTACTAGCCTTCCCCCTCCCTGACCTGCCAGGATACTCCTGTTCTTGTGTTCTCTCTGCCTTCCTGACACCCCTTAAACTTAGGTGATGCCAGACTTCCACACTTGGCCCCTGATCTTCAGGTTCTTGGATGGTCTCATCCATATTCAGGGTTTGCTGCTGCCTCTCAAGAAGAGGCTCCAATCCTGACCCCTGCCCGGTTGCCTGCTAGATTCCACAACTCCAGACAAACCCACCATCCTCTCTCCATTCTGTTCCTGTTCTTCTCTCGGTTAATGGCATCGCCAACCATCCAGTCCCCTTCCCTGCAGCCTAGGAGTCATGGACTTCTCCCTCTAACCATTTCATCTCTCCCTATACACCCCAGTGTAATCAGTCACAAGTGTGGTATTTTATCTTCCAAGTATTTCTCAAACCCATCTCGAAGCGCAGAGCACTGTATGCTGTAATCATGTCAGACAGCTGGCTTCCCTCACGCTCTCCGCGACTTCTCTGTGTCCATGTCCATGTTCCTGAAGTGCCTATGCCGAGCCCGTTCCCCAGGCCAAGTGCTTTTTCCTTGTGCTCCCTGTCACACACCCAGGCCCATCTCCCACCTCTCAGCAGTGTCTTCATCCTTTAAATAGAGGTCGGGATGGTAGCCACCTCGAGGAGTTAAGTATTACATTGAGAAGACACACTTACACAATGCTCAATAAAAGTTATTATAACAAATAACTTCAAGAAAAGTGGGATCTCTTTCCCTTCTGTTAAAGACAAAAACCTTTTGCAGTTATTATCCCAGTAGCTTGTACTGTGTCCTCCACAGATGTAGGACTTAGTTTGAAGTAGCTAAAATACTGCTTCACTTTTCCAAAAATGTATGCCCGTACCATGCAGTCATGGAGGGAGAAACTAAACAGTTTTGGAGAGGTTGGTTGTGGACAGCAAAGCTCTCTTTAACAATACCCTGGACAGAATTTTAAGGCAAGGCATTGTGTTTGCGAATCAGTAAGTATTCCCTGAGTGTTTGTGTGTCTTGCCATTTGTTGTATAAGTTAAGCTTGTGTGTTTCCTAATGGGAAGGATATGCTTGTTACAAATATAAATTTGGTAAACCATTTTTAAAGTGAGAATTTTAATAAGCCTTTACTAGTGATCTATTTTGGTGAATTTGTTTTCAGGATTATTGTGCAACAAAGTGGTCCATTTTGCGGGAACGCTTTGACCGAGGACTGTACGCCTCTCATGCTGACCTCCACAGGCTTAAGTAAGTACTAGAAGGTCAAGCCCAGGGCACTCTTAAGAACCATAATGCAGTGTTGGCCCCACTGGCTTGCCACACCCTGGCCTCAGTCCAGCTTCTTCTCACTCACTGTTCTTCCCATCTACCCTGGGCCCCTTTCAAACGGGACAAATACTTGTGCCCAGACATATTCCGTATCTTTTTTGTTTTGGTCACTTTTACTGTCTCTTACCCCTGAAATTCCCCTGTTCATACCTTTGCTTGTTCAAGTCCTGCCCAGACATCAGAGTCCAGCCAGAGGCTGTCCCTTTCCAGTCTTCCTCTGTCCCCTCAATCAGACTTCATCCCTTTCTCTGAGTCTCAAGAATTCATCCTACCTCGCCAATGCATTTATCATGTTCTGCTTTTTCTGTTGCTTTTTAAAAATCCCCTTTCATTGTAAGTCACTTAAGTGCAGACACTGTATCTTACTAATTATTGTATCTTATTACTTGCTTAGCACAGTGCTTGGCAAAAAATAAACCTCTAATAAATATTTAGAGTCATAGAATATCAGAGCTGAAGAGAACCTTCCTACCATCTCATTTTATAATAAACTGAGGTACAAAGAGGTTGGAACCTGTTCAGTATTCATTCAAGGAGTACATGGTGAAATGCCAGCTGGAAAAGAAACCTATCTCAGGGATATATGACATTATGCCGAGACCGGGTTCATGCACTGATTGATTTGACAGGTGAACTGCTCCATGTTGTGGGACCAGGGATGTGAAGCAAGTACATCAACCTTGAAACGCGCGCAGTTGGTTTGGGAGAGCCGGCCTGAGGAAGCCCCTGCCCCAAGGCTGCCCACAGAGGGAAGGATTGTGTGTGTGTGTGTGTGTGTGCCATCTTGACAGAGTGAGTCAGTCTGACTTGCCTTTGTGCTTGCCGTTTGTAGGTATCAGTGCTTCAAATCGGCCTGGATGTTTGAGGTGTTTCATAGGGGCTTTTCGTTTCCTGTCAACTATAAAAGCTTAAAGACTGCCTTGCAAGTTTACGACAAGGAGGTTCAGTGGACCCTTGGAGCCATCCTCTACAGGACCCGCTTTCTACCATTAAGGTAGGGCTGTGAATTTGGGAACGAGAATCAAAAAGATGCTTTTCTGCAGTTACAGCACCTCATGGCAGCTGTGGTCTGTGGCTGTTTGGGGCATTGCTGTTAGAGCCGGCCACGGCAGAATTGTAGGGACAGTGACGTTTGCTTTTGGTCTTGCCCCCTCCCCACAAGTGCTTCCTCCCTTCTCACCCTACCATCCCGTAATACACAGCACTCCTGTCCTACTGCCCTGTGTTTGGTTATTCTCAACTGTCTGTTCCCCAGCCCCGGCAAAAGGGTCAGTTCCGGGGTTCTTAACCTTTATGACTCAGGCCTCTTCTCCAAATACTGTTTAAATGCATGTATAAATACATAGGATTACAGAAGAAACCATCATATTGAAATAATACCAAAATATTACAGAAAACAAGTTTGTGATACTGTAATATGTGTTCTTCTCTATTAACACATTAAATAACAGGATCTGGCAGCAGAATTAGCACTTTCTGTAATTTCAGTGTAGTCAATGAGCGTCAATGATATTTTGAGGCATTGATGATACCATAATGGGACATGAAAGATCTGTGATTTTCGTTAGTAACAAAGTTGCAGGTGCTGCCAACGCTAATGATAGTTTGTTGTCTGCATTCATGGTCAAAGAAATGCTACATCTCAGTCAGCGCTTGGGTAGAACAAAGATGTGCGTTTTTCCCCATTCACGTTTGCAGATCTGCTGTCAGTTGACCTGTGCTAAGAACCTGAGTTACCTGATAGATGAGACATTTGCTCTTCCCCCCACCCCCTCCATTTAATTGAGCATTTCTCAGCAACCCTTTTAACTGGGTTAACTGTAAAAATGGTGAGTCATGGGTGTTACTGATCACAAGCATGCAGTTTGTTTACATGTTGACTTCTTTGTATCAGCGAAACCTTCACGGCTCTTCTAAATTCCTCTGATTTTGGTTGCCCAAATTATAATGACCGACTTCAGAGTATACTTTCACATGTTATCTCACTGATACTTAGAAGCCCCCTGCATTGGGCTGTTCCGTTCTCCATTTCAGAGGTAGGGTTGCAGTTCCTAAAGTGCAGCTCTGGGGCCTGGGTCCCGCCGTCCCCCTGTGCACCCTTTCCACCCCTTTCCTTGCTTACTGTCCTGTTTGTTGTTTGGTGTTCACATGGGCAGAGACATCCAGCAGGAGGCCTTCCGAGCCAGTCACACCCACTGGCGGGGCGTTTCCTTTGTCTACAACCACTACCTGTTCTCTGGCTGCTTCCTGGTGGTGCTGCTGGCCATCCTGCTGTACCTGCTGCGGCTGCGGCGCATCCACAGGCGCACTCCCCGGAGCAGCTCGGCCGCCGCCCTCTGGATGGAGGAGGGCCTTCCCGCCCAGAATGCCCCGGGGACCTTGTGATCCAGCTCACAGCTCCACGAAGACTCAAAAGGAAAAGCCATTTTTGCCTCAGGGTTTCTCCTCTTTATTTTCCTGTGGTTTTGTTTTTTCTTTCCCTTTTTTGTTCCTCCAAACAAAAACAAAATGCAGGCCGAGCGCGGTGGCTCACGCCTGTAATCCCAGCACTTTGGGAGGCCGAGGCGGGCGGATCATGAGGTCAGGAGATCGAGACCATCCTGGCTAACACGGTGAAACCCCGTCTCTACTAAAAATACAAAAAATTAGCTGGGTGTGGTGGCGGGCGCCCGTAGTCCCAGCTACTCAGGAGGCTGAGGCAGGAGAATGGCATGAACCTGGGAGGCAGAGCTTGCAGTGAGCCGAGATCACACCACTGCACTCCAGCCTGGGCGACAGAGTGAGACTCCGTCTCAAAAAAAAAAAATGCATTGTTTATAAGCCCTGCTGTCTAGAAGTATTGCGTTTAGCCATTTTGAGTACAGCATTAAATTGAGGAGTGGGGAAGAGGGAAATTCACTTGATTTTTGCTGCACAGGATATCTGCCAAAAATAAATGAGATTTCTGGGGTTTCTCTAAGGAATGTTAAATTTAAACACATGCACTTTGATACTGGAGGGAGGTGGAAAGATGCATTCTGTCAGTGGAGAGGGGACTGAATAGTGATGCTTTCATAGAACCAAAAAACTTACTGCCTGAAATGATAATCCTCTTTTTTCTCTATCTTGAAAGCTCTAACCTGAAGAGGGTGATTTTTTTTTTTATTTATTGTTCAGGTCTGTTACTGTATATGTTTTCTTTGCAAATTTAAATTTTTTAAACCATTTATATCCAAAACAGAGAAACATGGGCACCAGGAGATAACCATTTATAAAAGTGATAGTGAACTATCGACTACAGCTTTGTGCGAGTGTGTGAAAAATCCCAAGAAACCAGCGTGAGGGGAGGCAATGCTGGTTCTTTAAAAACACACACTTCAGAATTTACTGGTACATTTTATTTAGAAAAATCCTCGTTACTGTTATCTTTTCCTGACCGCAGGTAATTACGCTCCTTATTCCATATTTCAGTGGCATTAGAACACTGTGGTTTTGAAAGAATTGGAAATTCCTAGTTTCACCAGTTTCGGTTTTATTGGAACTAGAGCACATGCCCACTTCTTGCTCAGTATTCCTCAGTGTTTCTGCTTAATCGTGCCTCAGTTTCTTCCAGCTTCCAATTGGTGTTTCCCCCACCCCCCTTAATTAAAAGTCATCTCAGCTTTTAATCGTACTGGGAGACCCCATGCACAGCCTGCCGAGTCCTCTTCCTAACCGCATTGACTGAGGCTGTTGCTGGCAGCACCACTGTAAATCCAGAAGGGAAGAGTCTGCATCCAATACAGGAAATAAATTCACATTTTGAAGGAAAAAATTCGACAATTTAAGCCAAAATCTAAAAAGGACAATTGGATTGGCATATGTGAGATTGGTGTTTTTTCACCTATTTATTTAGTTGAGAAGTTTGGGGAATTCTCGTACAGTTTTTTTAGGTGGAGTTTGTTTTGTGCGAGTGTCTGTGTGTGCTGTTCCCTAACTCCAGAACAGTTAAATTCCTGTAGTTGGTAGCAGATTAGTACCCAGAAGTGGGGTTGTTGCTATAACAGATAACTGAGGATATTATAAAAGTGGCTTTGGAACTAGGTACTGGGCAGAGGCTGGGAGAGTTTGGAGAAACAGGAGAGAAAAGGCCTGTATTGCCATGAACTGAGCATTAGGGGCAGTTCTGCTGAGGGATCAGAAGAGAAGACCAAGGGAATTCTGTCCCAGTTGTGGCTCAAACTGCCTCAGGTGCAGCTTAACCTGCGTCTCTGGAAGGTAAAATGCATCTGATCCTTGAGGCAAGAGCTGTGGGGGCATGGCTCCCTCACCTGGATTTCAAAGCGTGTTACCAGCAGCCTGGGGACCCAGGCTCTGCCTCTGGATTTACCTGCATCGTATTTGCGCTTCGTGGTCAAAGTTGTTAAGAAAGGGGTGAGCTTCTGGCTACCTAATAAGTTGGTCTTGGCCACCTGCCTGCGACACTTCCTGGAGGAGCCATGGATTATTGGTGGAGGCTGCAGGGAGCTGGCGATGGAGCCACTGGTGTCAGCAGCAGAGAGGGAAGAAAGGAAAGGAAGGGGCCACAAATGGTTGAAGTGGGCAGGTGGGCACCCAGGGAGTTAGGGGACCCCGCCTTCCAGCTCTGGGCATAGAAGAGTTAGTCACATACCTGAGGATCCTGAAACAAGGGCTGAGAAAACCTCATTGCTCCAGCTGAGAGGTAGTAGTGGATTTGCCATTTTTAAACAGTTGCCTAAGAAAAAACGTTGAAGAATATGCAGCAGACACTATATGTGGCCTGTAAAGCCTAGAATATTTACTAAAATATTTACAGAAAAAGTTTGCTGGTCCTTGTGAGAACAATGCAGTTCAAAAAAGGATACAGACAGAAGCATCCTCTTAAATCAGGAATGTAGTTTCCATTTGTGGGCACGAAAAGATGGACAAGAGAAGTAACCAAACTTCAATCTTAAAATATTTGTTGCACCAGAATTTCACTTCGGATTTTTCCGTCTAGATTATTTTCAAGATGAGTTTTGAAACAAACCAAGAAACCTGCCCCTCACCCAAAATTGTTTAAAAAGAGACCACTCAAGGGAGTTCATTATGCCGTATGGAGATGTCTGCAGTCGCAGCAAATCACATTCCAGAGAAGGTCTCGCGTAGGTGAAGACAGCCAGGTGCTTTCTCTAAGAGATACAGGGTGGGTGAGAGACAAGCCAGGGAGGATCTTAATTCAAGAGAAGAATTCATACCAAGAGCTGACCAAGAAGGCAGTAAATTCTGTGTACTTGTAGCAGAAGAAATTGGACTAGGAACTTGCCCAAAGCTTTATCAAAGAAAAGCATTGTGTTCAATCTTGGTAGAAACATGCCAGCAATAAGTGCTTATGTTCCATAGCCATATCATGGGCTTCTCACTTTTAAACCTCCTCCAGGGGATGTTCTCAGACATTTCACAATCCCTCTGGGGACATTACAGTAGAAGAGAAACACATGGAACTGTACCAGTGCTTTTTGCCCATGTTCATCCTAAGCTCCGGCTTTAGGCAGTGCTTTCTGACCTGGGCGGAGTGAAGACGCTGCTGGTGGCTGAGGCCAGTAACATGGGGCCCCTGCCCAGCCACCCTGAAGGCTGGGTAGGTCCCTCTTTTCACCACCAGTTTTCCACATCTGTGTACTCTAGATTAACAAACTCTGGATAAACAGATATTTACATTTTAAACTCAGGCCTACACAGAGTAGTTTTCCTTATAAGGAGCATGTATCACTTAGCAAGAAACTAAAAATGGCAAATGAGTTTTTCATCCTTTAAGAAAAAAATCAGCTTTAGAATTCTCTGCGGTCAGTTGTGTGCAATGCAACAAAACTACCTTTCAGTAAATTACTTAGTTATTTATTTCAGTGTTTTGTTTCTTTTGATACTAAGTTTCCCTTTCAATAATGAATGATGTGACCAACCAAGGAGAATTTGTTTGTTCTGTACTAAAATTATATTTTACAGTTAGGAATTATAAAAAGCAAGGGAGCATCTTTAAATGTTTTTTGTTTAAGCGATGTCTTCCATCCAAAGTAAGAATAATACTCTCGGAAGGTCCTTTTGGTGTCATGTCACTTGCTGTATGTGGCAGCCTTACAGTGCCACACTTGGGTACTGAAAAATCAATAAAACGAAAGTTCATCATCCCATGGCCCGTAGACTGTGTGGGCTTGCTTCCTTGTCATCTTTGAATCTTCTTACTCATTAGAATGATGAGTTGAACTTGAGTCCAAATTCAGTGAAATACATTGTCTGAGTCTGACGCACACTCTTTGCATGTGTTGTGTTGGGTGTGCATACAGTGAAGCACAATTGTGTGGGGTTGTGGAGAGGGCGTCCACACTCTCTGCAGCTCAGAAAGCAGATATTTCACAAGTAGTGACCAACCCACGACGTTAAGCCATTCACCAACAATAATTGCCACTCTGAGATGACTGTTTATAAGGTCACCATTTTAAGTACCTACTTGTATATAGACAAGGAAAAGTAATAAAATTAACCAATTTTTATGTATTTAATAGTAACAGCAAATGCTGACTTTATGTTACACTGTTTTGCAGTTCGATCTAAGCTTAGAACCTTTGGCTTACTTCCAGAAAATTATGACTGTCATTATTAATGTTACGTGTTACCAATATGGAGGATGACATTAGACGCTCAGCATGTTTCTCAGCCGTTGGAGAATACATAGATGTTCTCCTGGAGCAGGAAGGTGGGCCTGAGCCATAACCTGAAAATAGATGATAGAGACAGATGGGAAGGGAAGGGGACCAGCTGTTAGGACCAACAAAAATAAAGGCCTGAGACATGCCGGAGAGGAGAGGGAAGCGCAAAAACAAAATGAGAGAACAGAGCCAGCAAAGTGAGCTCAAGGGAGGTCCTCAAGCCATTGATCGCTAGGAAAACAGGACACAGCATTAAGATAGAACTGTCGTAAATAATTTTTGAGGCAGTGCAATGACTATAGGGCTTTTTGCCTGACTTTAAATACGTTAAAATATCTAAGATGTTAAAAGACATCTAAATTTTTATTCCACTTGGTGGAAGAGAAGTCAGTGCCTATTTCCAACACTAACCATGTTGACAGGTCTGAAAAGCCATGGTTCTGTGTTTTTGTTTTCAGTCTGTTTCCATTTGTCCTATGAATTGGCATGTGCCCTGTGGGTTTTTTTGGTTTTTTTGAGATCCGGAAATGCTAATGGTTTGCACAGAGGGGGTCGTGAGGTGCAGGTCACCTCTGTCAGAGTCACAGTGTCTTCTTTTGGAAACGTCATGAAAAGACAAAGGAGTGCCCGGCTAATCCCAAAGCACGCCTTGGCAGAGTGGATCTGCCTGGAGCATCCATCCGTGGCAGCATGAAAGGCAATCCTGTGAGAGTCTTCCTGGCCCCACCTCGTCTGGGAGCATGTGGGCCTGTGATCCCACCTCCTCCTAACAAAAGAAGAGTGTGTCTGTTGATGTGTTTTATTTTGCTTTTAGCCAGGCTAGTCCCCCTGCCCTTGCGCAGTCCAGCCTCTTTCTATTAATAGATCTATTAAGGTTGACTGAGACCTGCTGCAGGGGACGCTAGGGGCACTTTGGCCTTCGATCTTTGCCTTTCACCCTTGACACTGTTTGGCAGGTGAACGACATCCGGGCTCCAGACTTCATGGCCACTTCAACATTTCTGTCAACAGCCTGTGTCTGTTTCATGTAAGAGGCCCAAACAAGAAAATCAAGGCTTAAGAAGGATTTCTGCCTTGAGTAAAGGACTGAAACCTCCTCACAGAACACGATGGTGACAGGCACAAAAGACAGACTTCTTGTTTAAGTAGGTGAACTCCAAAGACGAGAGAAAAGGAGTTTTTTTCCTCCCGTTCAACCAGTCATCAAATAAACATCTCAGGCATCTGGTGTTTTGTCAAGGGATTGGGATTCCAGTGGCCCCTGTGTGACTGGAAGGGGAAAGGTTTGTCGGTGGCAACGCCATCGAAACACAAAGGAGCAGCTTTAGAATCCCCAGTGTGGGTCTTCTCTTGTGTTATTTCTACAACATCCTTGTGCCAGCTGTTCTTGCTGTTCTCTCAGGCTTCTAATTGGGAGTGTGAATACTACCTTTCACCCTTTTTGCCTTCATGAGAATCAGAGTTTGAAGTGGACAGTTCTGAAAATATTAATCATCTTTTTTTTTTTTTTTTTTTTTTTTTGAGACGGAGTCTCACTCTGTCGCCCAGGCTGGAGTGCAGTGGCGCGATCTCGGCTCACTGCAAGCTCCGCCTCCCGGGTTCACGCCATTCTCCTGCCTCAGCCTCCCTAGTAGCTGGGACTACAGGCGCCTGCCACCACACCCAGCTAATTTTTTGTATTTTTAATAGAGACGGGGTTTCACCGTGTTAGCCAGGATGGTCTCGATCTCCTGACCTCGTGATCCACCTGCCTCGGCCTCCCAAAGTGCTAGGATTACAGGCGTGAGTCACCGCACCGGGCCTAATCACCTTATTCTTGCCTGTCATTACACAAGCCTTAAACTCCAGGGACCAGACTTAGCACTTTCTTTTCCTAAGATTGCTTTTTCTCCCACTTGGCCCAAGCTTTAATACCCAGATTTTAGACTCAAAACACTTAAAACATTTGGTGGGCTCTCCTCAGCCTTGTAAAGTTCTTTGATACTGGTCATGGCAGCACAAGAGAATTTTCTGGAAGTTCCTGGCTGTTTAATGTTCAAATTACACGTTTAAATTCTCTCCCACCTCCCGTGGCCCTGTTTTCCATCAGTGTATCTATTTCTGGCCCAAATGTCCTTGAACATGGACCATGACAGGTCCTGTGTTTACTTTCCATGTTTCTACATTTATAATCCAGTAAAGAAGACACCGAGTAGTACATAGTATTTTGTAAATATTTGTAAACTAATGAAAATCTGGTTTCTTTCACAAATCACCTCTTTAGGTTTCTAAAATTTATGAAAGAAATCTTTTAAAATCTATTCTAGGCCGGGTGCAGTGGCTTACGCCTGTAATCCCAGCACTTTGAGAGGCCAAGGCAGGCGGATCACGAGGTCAGGAGTTTGAGACCAGCCTGGCCAACATAGTGAAACCCTGTCTCTACTAAAAATACAAAAATTAGCTGGGCAAGGTGGCGGGCGCCTGTAGTCCCAGCTACTCAGGAGGCTGAGGCAGGAGAATCACTTGAACCCAGGAGGCGGAGTTTGCAGTGAGCCAAGATTGTGCTACTGCACTCCAGTCTAGGCGACAGAGCAAGACTCTGTCTAAAATATATATATATTTTATTCTCAATTTTTGCTGTTCTTTCCAGATGTGCAGAGTTGTGTGTGGTTTTAAAACCATATGCAATGTGCCGTGAAGGGCGGGATGGAACCCAGGCCTCTGAGTCTCAGTTCTCTGTTCACTTCCCTCCACCAGAGTTTGTTAAGGGAGTGTTGCATTTTAAAGCTTTATTTAGAAAAACTTAGGAAAACCAAGTTTACCTCAAGTGGTTTCCTTTTTTCGCAACCTGTTCAGCCTTGACAGAAAGGAAAAAGAAATCCCAGAATTAGGTAGTAATAATAGAGGCAAAGTGAGATTGATATTTTCTGAAGCCCTGCTTACAGAAAATAATTCCTGCATATTTATTTTATTCTAAACATAGCTTCAGATTGTTTTTCATTCTAAGTTGTCCTTAAAAGTCACTTTTTAAACCTCACAAGAAGCACCAAATGTAAGGGGGAAAGGATGGATTTGACTACATCTAAAGTAAGACTTTCTGTTCATCAAAGCTAACAGATGGCAGACTAAGAAGGTATTTGCAGTGACTGAAATTGAAAAGGGATTAAAATGTACAAAGTTTCATGCAAAACAACAAGAAAAAGGAAATCCAAAAGAAAAAACCGGCCATGGATATTAATAGGTGATTCACAGCAGGGGAAACCCAAATGGTGAACAAGAGATAAACTAAGCTGAAGAAATGCAAATGTAAATTAAGACCCACTACCTTATGCCCCTCAGAATTGCCAGACTTCAAGTGCTGGCAGTGATGCGGGGCCTGGACTTCAATATTGCTGGTGGTGGTGCAAACTGCAATGCGTACCCCAGAAGGGAAGCTGGCAGCTTAAAAGTTAGCAGCGTGTGTGCCCTTTGATTCAGAGAGCCACTTGCGCGTGGCTCTCCGGAGAGATTTCTACCTGGGTCCATGAATGGACTTACGGAAGGATTCCTTGGTAATGATTCTGAGTGACTGTGTTGATGGAGGCAAGCAAGGTCTTGGACAAGTCAAAGGCGGCAGGTGCGTACCATGGAATACTGTATAGCCATGAGAGACAGACCTAGAACTATGAACAGCAAGCGGGTGGCTCTTAAAAATAGTGTTGAATACTGAAAGCAAGACATGAGAATTGTTGTATAATGCCATTATGTTAATGTAGGGCATACGGCACTGTATGTCCTATGAGGATGTGCATATTTTGATTCAAATACATTAAAATGGACGTTATGGGGACACAGATTATTTATGAAAGGAGGAGAAAAGATAAAACTGATTTCCTTGTTTTAGGGTGACCTCACATCCCAGTGAGCCCCTCAATTCAGGGCCAGGGAGGTTGATTGGTTACCCCACCCCAACCCAACCCAGGCTGTTTTCAGCACGGCAGCCTGATAAGCTGTGATTCAGACCTTGAAGTTGTTAGGCAAAAGCTCTCCACTCGGCTCTGTATTTGACTCAGGAAGAACTGAAGTCTTTATAATGGCCTAGACAGCCCTGCACCGTGGCCTCCCACTCCACACCTCTCTGACCGCAGTCCTCATTTCTCCGAGACTCCGCTCCAGCCACCCTGGCCTCAGGGCCCTCTCAGGACTTTCCATCCCCCTCACCCTGCTTCACTTTCCCCCATGATGCTTATGACCTTAGATCTAGTACACTCTGTTTTCATTACGTTCTATGTACGACTCTCCCTATTACCCTACTAGAACATGAGCCAGGGGGCAGGGGGCTTTTGTCTGTGTGTTTTCATGTTGTATCCCCAGGCACAGGATCTGATAGGCGGTAGACATTCAATAAATATCTGTGGAATGAATGAACAAGGCAGGATCCTTAAAGCGAGGGGGAATGACCAGGCTGAGAACTGAGAGAGCATGCTAAACTCCACAGTCTGGCCCCAGGGATGGGGGCAGGAAAGATGGCACCACCTCCTTGCTTTATTAGAGGGAAAGAAGGTGCTTCTTGTGCAGAACCGTCATCATAACAGAAAGATAGCTTATTACACGCCAGGCACTGTTCTAGCTCTTTGTTAGCTTACATAATCCCTGTATTAGTTCGTTTTCACACTGCTATAAAGAACTTCCCAAGACGGGGTAATTGATAAAGGAAAGAGGTTTAATTGACTCACAGATCAGCATGGCTGGGGAGGCGTCAGGAAACTTACAATCACGGCGGAAGGTGAAGAGGGGGAACCAAGACACCTTGGCAGGTGGCAGGAGAGAGAATTAATGCAGAAGGAACTACCAAACACTTATAAAACCATCAGATCTCCTGAGAACACTATCACGAGAACAGCACAGGGGAAACCACTCTCATGATTCAATTACCCCCACCTGGTCTCCCCCTTGACATGTGGGGATTGTGGGGATTATAATTCAAGATGAGATTTGGGTGGGGACACAAAGCCTAACCATGTCAGTCCCCAAAATGACACCATGAGGAGGTGCTTTGATTACCGTCACTTTACAGGTGGAGAAACAGATGTGGAAAAGGCACACAACTTGCCCAAGGTACCGAACTAGCCAGTGGTGGGGCTGGGATTTGAACGCAGGCAGCCTGGCTCCATTCTGTACTCTAGAGCTGCACTGTCCAGTATGACGGCCACTAGCCACATGAAACAGGCCAATCTAAACTGAGATGAGCTGTAAGTATAAAATATACACCAGATTTCAGGCCGGGCACAGTGGCTCATGCCTGTAATCCCAGCACTTTGGGAGGCCAAGGCGGGCGGATCACGAGGTCAGGAGATTGAGACCATCCTGGCAAATATGGTGAAACCCCGTCTGTACTAAAAATACAAAAATTAGCCAGGCATGGTGGTGGGCGCCTGTAGTCCCAGCTACTCGGGAGGCTGAGGCAGGAGAATCGCTTGAACCCGGGAGGCAGAGGTTGCAGTAAGCTGAGATCTCCCCACTGCACTGCAGCCTGGCAACAGAGTGAGACTCTGTCTCAAAAAAATATATATCTATATCTGTCTGTCTATATATAGATATAGACACACCAGATTTCAAAGACTTCATGTAAAAAAAATATGAAATATCTCAGTTTCTTTACATTGGGTACATGAGACATGACAATATTTTAGGTATATTGAGTTAAATAAAATATTATTGGATTAACATCACCTGTTTCCTTCTACCTTTTTAATGTGTACACTAGACAACTCTAAATTGCCTGTGTGGCTCACAGTATATTTCCGTCAGACGGAGCTGCTCTCGGTACTTGCTTCTCAAAGTGTGGTCCTTGAATCAGCAGCATCAACATCACTGAAGCCTGACGGAAGTGCTGGATCTCAGGCTTGGTCTCAGACCTCTTGAATCAAATTCTTCATTTTGCCAGCCTTCCAGGTCACTCATAATGCATGCTCACATTTGAAAAATGCCGCTTCAGACCAGGCAGCAATTTTTTTCTCTAAAGGGCCAGATAATAAACATTTTAACTTTGCAGGCCACATGACTTCTGTCCAAAACTCACCTCACTGCTTCTGTAGTATGAAATGAGCCAGAATATGCACGTGAATACGGATTCCACTGTAACCTGCACGGACCTAGGGGGACTGAACAAAGCGGGGCAAACACGGGAATAAAAGACAAGAGACAAAAGAGTATATTTTGAAGAAGGGGTCAGGGGGTACCTTGCCCCTAGTGGACAAGGGCCCTGAGCTTTATACAGCCCTCCTTATTTATTAGGCAAAAGAGATAGTGAGAAGCGGGGTGGAAGAAGGGGTCAGCTGCTCAGTCTAGAGCAGGCTTGCAAGACTGCATTCCTCGAACAACAGGCTAAATGTTGCAGTAGATAACCTCAGCGCCAGGGAGTGATTGCCTCCAGCAAACCTTCTGTCGGCAGGAGCAGTCGTCAGTTTTCTCACATCCTGCATTCATGATAAACAGTTTGCTGTTGGATCATATAGCCTCCAGTGGAATGCTGCGTTGGTCACATCCCATGGGCCTTCGGCTCCCTGCATATCCCCCTTTCTGTTTATGAATTAATTGAAAAAATGTAAGGCCAGGCTGGGCAGCTCTCATTCTCCGATTGGCAGTCCATCCGATTTTACAGACTATAAACAGAAGACAGAGACGAAACAACATTATTCCAAGAACTACATATAAGATGTTAATGTGGTGCCTTAGATAGGTCCAAGGGTTGAGGCTCTCCAGGCCTTGCTGGAATTTGGTCCCGTCTTCTAAAGAAGGCTGAAATTCTTGAGTTTGCCTATTTAAATCAAGAATTTTGTTTTGTAATTCACCAATATCAAAGGTGATGTTGGATGTGAACGCTCCCTGCAAATGGGCTTTCACAAGGTCCCACGGATACTCACTTTGGTTGTATTCTAAGTTGGTTACACAAATATGAGTGTGATTAAAATGACAGCGCAATTACTGCTGCAACTGCAAGCTTTGTACTTGTGCCCCTAACCACAGAACCGTGGATTTCAGCATTGCCACTTCAGTTTGTAGCTCAGTGTTAATTTTATTCTGAAGTCGCCACGCTTGGTCAGCTGTGCGCGTCCAGTTCTCCACGTACTGAGCTATTTGAATAGAATTATGCAAAGCTACAGAAGATATCACAACAGAAGTTACTAGCATGACCAAGTAAACAGTAGCAAAAATTATCATGCCTAAGGCTCTACGGGCACGATGAGTCAGCTGAGTTAGAAGTTTCACA
Organism: Homo sapiens; assembly: GCF_000001405.40. Lineage (NCBI taxonomy): Eukaryota > Metazoa > Chordata > Mammalia > Primates > Hominidae > Homo > Homo sapiens. The sequence continues at coordinate 23,421,414 of NC_000008.11, read as the reverse complement.
AAATGCAAAGCAGGTGTGGCAGCCCAAGGCTCAGACAGATTAACAGGAATCCCTAGCCCAGGGATACCACCTAAAATCATCACAGTAGAGATATTATGTGTTTGCAATGTGCTATGATTAGTGCAGTGATATAACTGGCAAGATTTACAGGTCAATTGGGTATTGTTTACCTGGAGCTGGTCCTTCTTAGCTGCCAAAAAGACATAAGGATTAAAAACACAAACTGTAAATTGAGTGATGATATTCTTTACAAATGTAACCTTAGAACTGTGTTGTGACTCCGGTCGGCCTTCTCTCCGTCTTTGCATTCAGGCTCAGCTGACTCATGGCTCATACCGGGACCGGGTCCATGGTTGGCCACCCTGGGTTCCTCCAGTCTCCCATTCCATGGTCGCACGCACCTTGAGGGCACCCACACAGTTCATCCATCTCCTGCAAAAACACAAGTATACCCTCTTCCCCACATTAGTAAATCCACTGGACCTTTCCATTGGCCTTCTTCCGGGGATTTCCGTAACACTTTCGGATAAACTTTCCTCTTTTCCTCTAACACTTGCCAATGTCTTTCTGCTGGAGTCTTTACCTTCCATACCAGGAGTCAGAAAATTTAAAGTAAGGCTAAATGTAGTTTTGATTGAGGTGGTAGTTGGTCTCCTATACCCCCTTTTTGTTTTTTCAATATGCGTTGTAATGTTTGATGTGCCTGCTCTATAATGCCTTGTCCTCTAGGATTATAAGGAATTCCTGTTTTATGGGTTATAGCCCAAAGCTGTAAGAAATTTTGAAAAGCATGACTAGTATAAGTGGGTCCATTGTCAGTTTTTAATTGTTTAGGTATCCCCATGTGAGCAAATGATGACAGACAATGTGGCCATACATGACCAGCTGTCTCACCTGTTTGGCATGTAGCATGCAGCATATGAGAATAAGTGTCTATAGTCACATGAACGTAGCTAAGCTTACCAAAGGTTGCTATGTGTGCAACATCCATTTGCCAAATTTCATTTGGAGCCAAACTTCGTGGGTTACAGCCTTCTACAGGTATAGTTCCAGGGACATGCTGGCAAGTAGGACAGGCTTGTATTATAGCCCTAGCTTGGCTATGAGATAAATGGAACATGCGAGTAAGGGTGGAAGTATTTTGGTGCAGAAGTGCATGAGATGCTTGAGCTTGCCGAAACACAGAACCAATCAGTTTGTCTGCTTTCTCATTACCTAGAGATAGGGGTCCAGGAAGTTGTGTGTGAGAGCAAATATGAGAAATATGAAAAGGAGCTGCATGAGAACGAATAACTTGTTGAAGTCTTAAAAATAAATTAAGCGGCTGGGCATGGTGGCTCACACCTGTAATCCCAGCACTTTGGGAGGCCGAGGCAGGTGGATCATGAGGTCAGGAGATCGAGACCATCCTGGCTAACATGGTGAAACCCCTTCTGTACTAAAAATACAAAAAATTAGCCGGGCGTGGTGGCGGGCGCCTGTAGTCCCAGCTACTCGGGAGGTTGAGGCAGAAGAATTGCGTGAACCCGGGAGGCGGAGCTTGCAGTGAGCTGAGATTGTGCCACTGCACTATATCCTAGGCAACAGAGCAAAACTCCATCTCAAAAATAAATTAATTAATTAACTAATTAAGCAGTTCTGGGTCTAGTGTACTTTTAATTGTGGCAGTTTCTATGCGACTGGCTACATTTACAACATAAGCTGAATCACAGACAAAGTTAATAGGATCTGAGGCTGTGAGCTGTAAAACCTGAATGACTGCAATTAGCTGTAAGCGTTAAGCTGAAACACCAGAGGTATCTAGCTTCTCCTGTGTTAGGGGCACAACTGTGAGAGCATAAGTGTCTGCTATTGAGGCCACCCAGTTTGTGGTGCTTTGTCATGAGGGCCCTAGGAGGCGAATATACTTACCAAGAGCAGGGGACACTTGAGCTCAATAGGAAAGGCTGTGGAGCTTTCAGAGGGGACCGTACAGGAAAACGCGGTGGGCAGAATTAACAGCACGAAGGCAGGGCCTACAATGTGGAAAAGCACAGACACAGTTGTGCAGGCTGGAAGTCAAGTTGAGGAGTCCGCAGGGCGACGCTCCCTCTGAGACCTTGCAGAATCCTTCCTTGCCCCTTCCTGGTTTCTGGCGGTGACCAGCGATCCTCAATGGTCCTTGGCCTGCAGCTGTGTCACTTTTATCTCTGCCTCGGTCTTCACGTGGCATTTTCCTCTTCTTATAAGGACACCTGTCATATTGGATAGGGACCTGCCCTGATGACTTCATCTTAAATTTACTGCGTTTGCAAAGACTCAGTTTCAAACAACGTCACATTCAGAGCTCCCAGAGTTAGGACTTCAACATAACTTTTGGGGGAACACACGTCAACCCCCAACTGGAAGTCTTGCTTGACTGAGTTCAGGTCCTTCTCTCTGCTCGCATGGCATCTTTTTATCGAATTTGTCATTGGAAGTGTCTGTTTATATACTTGTCACCCTGCCCTCTGTCCCACCTCCAAGACTATGAGCTTTCCTTTTTTTTCTTTAGAGGCAGAGTCTTGCTCTGTCACCCAGGCTGGAGTGCAGTGATGCAATCATAGCTCACTGCAGCCTCAAACTCCCGGCTCAATCAATTCTCCCGCCTAGGTCTCTCAAGTGGCTGGGACTACAGGTGCATGCCACCACACCCAGCTAAGTTCTTCATTTTTTGTAAAGACAGGGTCTCATTATGTTGCCCAGGCTGGTCTCTAACTCCTGGGCTCAAGCAGTTCTCCCACCTTGGCCTCTCAAAGCACAGAGATTATAGGAGTGAGCCACCGTGCCCGGCCTGCTGAGTTCTTTAAGAACAGGGACCCCACGTAATCTTTATTTCCGTGTCCCCATGGCCCAGCGCCCTGGATCATTTGTAGTAAGCATCTGATGAAAGGAGCTTGCACTCAGAAAGCCCTGGCTGTGGCCTGGAGTCAGAAGGCCCAGCCAAGCCCTGCCTCTGTCACTTCAAATGTGGCCTTCAGCAAGCCATGTCACTTCTCTGGACTTCAGTTTCCAATCCTATAAAATGTGAGTAAGAACTCCTGTCATACCTGCCTCACAGAGAGGTCGAGGGGCTCCAAGATGATGCGTGTGATGAAAGCCCTTCGGAGCCACTGTCTGTAAAATGGAGAGAGTTGTGACATTCATTCTTTTCCAGCCCAGGACTTTATCTCCTGCTCCATCTTTCCTGACTCAGGCCTCAACTGCAGCCTCGGTCATCCCGTCTGGAAGGTTTGCCTCAGAGCCCAGCCAAGGTCTGGGCAGGTCTGGGCATCCCATGATTGGAGTTGGAGGTCACCTGCAGAGAAACAATGTCACCACCCAGTGGCTGCGCAACCCAGTTTAGTTCCAACCTGAACTGCCCTGCTGAAAAGACAATGTGACCTTTGCAGCATAATCACTGCCAAAAGTAGTCATTTTATAGCAGAAATACAGAGATACTGGGTGAACTCTACAAAGTGGAAGAGACAAGAAAGGTGAAGTTTTCCTCCACCTCTCATTGCAGCTCCACTGTTGGAGGGGCCACAGGGATGGGGTAATGGGACCAATTTATTCCCGTGGATAGTAGTTCCCCTGGGTGTCTACATCCAGGGCTCTTCCTCTGGTGTTTGTCTACTCTGGGTGTTTACACCCTGCCAGAGCAGAGGCTGGCTTAAGACCTGTGGGTGGGCAGATCCCAGGGTCCCTCACTCTCACACAGGCAGGTTTTAGCCCATGTTGGTGAGGCGTGAGTCACAGGCTGGAGAGGAATTCACTTCAAGTCAGTGGTTTGGGATGGCAGGGATATTCATTTCCTGATTCTCCTTGCATTGCGCCTCTCTTAATAATTACACCTAATAATGACGGAACAATGTTCTCTTGTTAGAGAACATTCACATTTAATTTATTTGGCTTCCTTAACAGCTTTGTGAGATATGTAGGGGATATAAAATTATATCTCAATCTATGAAAAAGAACACCAAGATTCAGGGAAAATGGGACAATGCCATTTTTACAGTGAGGAGGAGGCTTTGTTATCTAAGTCAATGCCCCATTTCCTGAGGGGAAATCTAAGACTGGAATCCAAGTTGCCTGATGTCCCTGGAGCTCTCCCCAATGATAAGTCTTGGTCAGTTTGGAGGAAGTGGCTCCAGCTGCTCCTGACATATCACCAGCTCTAAAAAAATGAAATTAAAAGGGCAAATAAGGTCTTAGTTTTATTTTAAAAATAGTTTGATCCAGTGGACCCCCTGAAAGGGTCTTGGTAACTCCCAGTGGTCCCCAACCATACTTCTAGAACAACCGCTGGCCCAGAGCAGGAAGGTAAACTGTGGAGGGGGTGAACAGAGAAGCAAAGTCTCCAGTGTCCCAGTGTTGGTCACAGCCAGCTGTGGCTGGAAGGCTGGGAAGGGAACACCACTCATATGTTTGTCTCAGTCAGCTCAGCTGCTATGACAAAACACCAGACTGGGTGGCATAAACAACAGACATTTCTCATGGTTCTGGAGGCTGGGAAGTTCAAGGTCAAGATGCTGGCCAATTTGGTTCCTGGTTCATAGACCCATCTTTTCACTGGACCTTTCCTGGCAAACAGAAAGAGTGATTTCTCTCTCTGCCTCTTCATAGAAAGCCACTAATAAAATAAAATCCTGAGGGCCCTTCCTCATGACCTCATCTAACCCTAATTACCTCCCCAAGACCTCATGTCCAAATAACATCTCATTGGGAGTTACCGCTTTAATGCGAATTTTGAAGGGACATAATTCAGTCCAGAGACGTGTTCGTCCTATTTTGCTGCTAACGCTATTGAGGTCTGGGGGCTCTTTTTCCTGAACCATGGCTTCCTCTGAACATCTCATCCTCTGCCCACCATGGGCACCTCCTGGAGTGCAGGGGGCTGGCGGGCAGAGCAGAATTTGTACCTTTCCCGCCTCCCCTGTGGTGCAGACCTGGGTCTGGGCTCACAGGAGGCTCATAAATACCAGTGACTGGAACAGAGCAGTCAGGCTGTGTCCTCAGCCAACCCTGAGCGCCCTGAGCAGGCATCTCATATGCTTTCTGGGAGACCAGTGAGGCTGTGCTGGGCTGCAGCCCGGAGCGTGGGCCTTGCCAAGCGCCAGCCCATCTCTCTGCAGAAAAGCTCCCATTTTTGTCTGGTGCTCCCCCTTCCCTCTTTCAGCTGCATCTTTGAGACAAGGTGGTCAGAGCTGGCAGAAGCCAGGTGTCTGGGAATGAGATTTGAATCAGCTTTTTTTCCCCTCTGCATGACTGTGCTAGGTGAAAGTCTCCCTTTTCTCTCAGCAGGAGACTTTCCATGTGGAGGGGGCAAAAGGGAAGTTAGGAGAAGCAGCAAAATGAGAATATTGGCCCAGCTTGTCTTCAGAATCTGTCACCCCATGTTCCGAGCATAGTTCAAATTGCCAGGGTCCATCCGCTGTAGCCCCTCCCTACCTGCCCCATTCCCAGATGTCCTGGGGCTCCTGCAGGAGGAAGGATTAAGCTGGCCTCCCTGGTCTGTGACTCTCTCATGCCACCCAGCACCTACTCCAGTCTGGAATGCTTTGCTCTTCTTTCCAGGTCATTCCTCCTCTCACCTCAATTTCCTCCTCCTGCACATGGGCGCCCCCTCCAGACTCCATGCAGCCCCTACCACCATCTCCAATCCCTCAGATCTCTGCTTGCTGCAGGGTGCCAGGCATTTGCAATGAATCTCACATTGCTTTTTCTTGTTATTGAATATGAGATCGTCTCTCTCAAATCAGAATATAAGAAGCCCCTTGAAGACTACATCAAGTGTTATTCATTCCTAGTACCCTCCCTTCCTTCCGAATGTTGTCCTTCTTTCTCCTACTCCCACCCCACAAAACACAAACACAAACACACACACACACACACACACACACACACACACACTCGTAGACAGGGAGGTATGATGGCATTCTAGATGCTTGGTGGAAAACAATTTGGAGAATGAAAAGACAAGCCACGAACTTGGAGAAAATTTTGCAAAACACATTATCTGATAAAAGACTTCTGTCCAAAAGATACAAAGAACTTTTAAAAGTCAACACCCAATTTTTAGAAATGAACAAAAATACAAAAAATAGCCGGGTGTGGTGGTAGGCACCTGTAATCCCAGCTACTCAGGAGGCCAAGGCAGGAGAATCGCTTGAACCCGGGAGGCAGAGGTTGCAGTGAGCCAAGCTCACACCACTGCACTCCAGCCTGGGTGACAGAGCAAGACTCTGCCTCAAAAAAAAAGTGGGGGGCAAAAGATCTGAGCAGATACCTCACCAAAGATGTACAGATGGCAAACACAGACATGAAAAGATCCTCCACATCATATGTTATTAGAATTGCAAATTAAAACAATAATGAGACACCACTGGGCATCTGTTGGAATGGCTAATTCTAATAGATGGCTAAAATCCAGAACACTGACAACACCAAATGCTGACAAAGATGTAGAGTAACAGCAACTTTCATTCGCTGCTAGTTGGAATGCAAAATGGTACAGGCACTTCTGAAGACAATTTGGCAGTTTCTTTTTTTTCTTCTTCTTTTTTTTTTTTTTTCGAGACGGAGTCTCACTCTGTCGCCCAGGCTGGAGTGTAGTGGCGCAATCTTGGCTCACTGCAAGCTCTGCCTCCCAGGTTCACGCCATTCTCCTGCCTCAGCCTCCTGAGTAGCTGGGACTACAGGCGCCCGCCACCACGCCCGGCTAATTTTTTGTATTTTTAGTAGAGACAGGGTTTCACCATGTTAGCCAGGATGGCCTCGATCTCCTGACCTTGTGATCCGCCTGACTCAGCCTCCCGAAGTGCTGGAATTACAGGCGTGAGCCACCACGCCCGGCCAGTTTGGCAGTTTCTTACAAAACCAGACGTATTTTTACAATAAGATCCAGCAACTGGTGTTTGTACTCCTTGATATTTGCCCACAGGAGTTGAAAGCTTAAGTCCACACAAAAACTTATACATGAATGTTTACAATAGCTTCATTCATAATAGCTCAAACTCAGAAACAACCAAGATGTCTTTTAATAGATGAATGGGTAAATAAACTGTGGTACATCCCAACAGTGGAATATTATTCAGCAATTTGAAAAATGAGCTCTCAGCCGGGCACGGTGGCTTATGCCTGTAATCCGAGGTGAATGGATCATTTGAGGTCAGGAGTTCAAGACCAGTCTGGCCAACATGGTGAAACCCCGTTTCTACTAAAAATACAAAAATTCGCTGGGCATGGTGGTGAGCGCCTGTTATCCCAGCTACTCGGGAGGCTGAGGCAGGAGAATCACTTGAACCCAGGAGGCAGAGGTTGCAGTGAGCCAAGATCGTGCCACTGCTCTTGAGACTCTGTCTAAAAAAAAAAAAAAGAAAGAAAAAAGAAAAGAAAAAGAAAAATGAGCTATCAGGCCATGAGCAGGCGTGGAATCTTAAATGTCTATCGCTAAGTGAGACCGGTTGCAGTGGCTCACGCCTGTAATCGAAGCACTTCAGAAGGCTGAGGTGGGAGCATCACTGGGCAATATAGTGAGACCCTGTCTCTAAACATAAATAAATAATTATGTACATAATTAAGTGAAAGAGACCCCTCTTGGAGAGTCTACATACTGTATGACTCCAACTATGGGACACTCTGGAGTCGGCAAAACTATGGAGACGGTGAAAAGATCCGTGGTTGCCAGGGATTATGGGGAAGGGAGGGGTAAAAAGGTGGAACACAGGGAATTTTTAGGGCAATGAAACCATTCTGCATGATGCTGCAATGATGGATACATTTGTGAAAACCCATTGAATGTACAACACAAAGAATAAGCCCTAATGTAAACTGCGGACTTCAGTTAATAATAATGTGTCCATACTGGCTCATCAATTGTGATAAATGTGCCACCGAAATGCAAGATGAAAATAGTAGAGGAAACTCACTGTGTATGAGGGGCATATGGGAGCTCTCTACATTTTCTGTTTATTTTTTTCTGTAAATCTAAAACTGCTCTTAAAATTTTTAAAGAATCATAACTAGAAAAAAGCTGTCAATTTGAAGCTAACAAGTCACGTCCATGTAAATTAGTTTCAAACTGAGTGGCACTTGCTGTCTGCCAGGCATTGGGCTCTGAGCACTTCACACGCATACATTCATTTCAGCCTTACAAGAATCCTATGAGGTCCCTCCCTATTTTACAGGTGAGAAAACTGAGGCCCAGTGAAGTTAAATAACTTGCTCAGTTATGGTTAGTAAGTGGTGGAGCTGCGATTCAAACCCAGGCAGTGTTGCTCCAGCTACTATACTCTAAACCACATATTACCCCGCATTACTCTTCCCCAAACTTTTCATTTTATTTTATTTCTTTTTTTTTTTTTTTTTTTTTTTGAGACAGAGTCTGGCTCTGTCACCCAGGCTGGAGTGCAGTGACGCGATCTTGGCTCACTGCAAGCTCCGCCTCCCGGGTTCACGCAATTCTCCTGCCTCAGCCTCTGGAGTAGCTGGGTCTACAGGTGCCCGCCAACATGCCTGGCTAATGTTTTGTATTTTTAGTAGAAATGGGGTTTCACCGTGTTAGCCAGGATGGTCTTGATCTCCTGACCTCGTGATCCGCCCATCTCGGCCTCCCAAAGTGCTGGGATTACAGGCGTGAGCCACCGCACCCAGCCTATTTCATTTATTTATTTAGAGATAGGATCTTGCTACGTTGCCCAGGCTGGAGTGCAATGGCATCATCATAGTTCACTGCAGTCTTCACCTCCTGGGATCAAGCTATCCTCCCATCTCAGCCTCCCAAAGTGCTGGGATTACATACAGGCATGAGCCATCAAGCCTGGACCAAACTTTTCATTTTGAAAGAGGATAGAAAAGGGGCACCCAAGGGACTAATTTTTAAAATCAACTTTATTATGGAGTAATTTACCTAAAATAAAGTCACCCATTTTAAGTGTTCAGTTTCATGAGTTTGGGACAAACACATATGCTAATATAAACACCACCACAATCAAGGAATAGGCCATTTCCATCACTACAGAAAGCTTCCTCATGCTCCTTCCCAGGCCACCTCACCCACCTCCAGCCTCAGGCCACCAGTGATCTGCTTTCAGTCCCTGCTGTTTAGTTTAGACTTTTCTAGAGTTTTCTAGAGTTATGACTGGATCATACAGTATGTCTCCTTTTTGTGGCTGGCTTTTTTGTGCATGTCAGAGTTGGGGGCAGGCATCCTGATATGTTTGAGATTCAACCATACTGTTTGCTATGGTTTGAATGTGTCCGCCAGAGTTCATGTGTTGGAAACTTAACCCCCAGTGCATCAGAGCTGGGTGTTGGGGTCTGATAAGAGGTGACTAGGTCATGACAGCTCTGTCCTCATGAATGAATTAATGTTATTTCAAGAGTGGGCTTTTTGTAAAGGGGACTCTGGCCCCCTCTTGCTCTCTTGCTTGCTCTCCCTTCCAAGTGCCATGCCCTTGGACTTCCCAGCCTCCAGAACCATGAGTCAAATATATTTCTGTTCATTTTAAATTACCAAGTCTGTGGTATTCTGTTATAGCAACAGAAAATGGACTAAAACAGTGTTGCATGTATTGGTAGTTCACTCAAAGGAACTAATTTCTAATTGCAAGATTTCAGATATGTTAATCCCCAGGAGAGGAAAGCACACTTTTTTTATTATTATTATGACTAGGACCTTCCCAGGCTGCTTGAGTTGTACTGATCCTGGTCCCACTTCAAAGCAGGGGAGGCACTGAGTGACATCACCCTGAACTGGACCCCAAATGGGCTCCAAGCACAGGAAGTTGTTGGAGGGATTGAGTCACTCCCAACTCAAGCGGGTGATGGAAAGGGCAAGTTAGTCATGTAACCTGGTCTCATGGAATGCTTCTCCCTCCCAGACTGAATTTCCTTCTTTGCTGAATACACAGGACTGCCCTGCATAGCCTTCTTCATTAGAGAAAGCTATGAGAAGCTTTGAGCTCCTCCAAGTAAACTGTTTCATACTCTCAAACAGGCTGTTAATGATGATGATTAATAATAAATTAAGCAAAAGAAGGCCAGGTGCAGTGGCTCATGCTTGTAATCCCAGCACTTTGGGAGGCCGAGGCAGGTCAATCACTTGAGGTCAGGAGTTAGAGACCAGCCTGACCAACATGGTGAAACCCCATGTCTACTAAAAATACACACACACACACACACACACACACACACACACACACACACACACACAAATTAGCTGAGCGTGGTGACGCACGCCTGTAATCCCAGCTACTCAGGAAGCTGAGGCAGGAGAATGGCTTGAAGCCAGGAGGTGGAGGTTTCAGTGAGCCGAGATTGCATCACTGCACTCCAGCCTGGGCAACAAGAGTGAAACTCTGTCTTAAAAAATATATGTAATAACAATAATAATAATAAAGTAAGCAAAAGAAAAGGAAAGGGATGAAGTTAGCACACTGTGGTTGACAGAATAATTTTACATCCTAGAAAATAGATTAAATGAAATTACACTTTTCAATGTAAAAACGTTGTGTTTCCTGGGAAAAAGGCAGATGCGTCCTAACCACTCCTGATTGCATACATATGCAATTTACAATTGTACTTTCTGAGCAGATTTGGAACTCTCCTGGGGCTTAGCTGACTTGGTCTGGGTCTGGTCTCAGCACCCCTGCTAAAGCCTCCTAGGGAAGGTGCTCGGGTTGACAGCTCTCTGGGCCTCTGGTTCCATGTCTGTAAACAAGATGCTTGGAGCACAATTTCTCAAGTTACCTGGCGGCTCTTTAGATCTTAACCCTTTAAATCTCTAGAATTTTAGGGTTTCAACCCCATTGGTATAGCTTGGCCCTGAAGAGAGCAAGCGCACATTGCCGTGTGAGAGACAGACCACTAAGGGGCGCTGCTTCCTCGGAGGAGGCGGGAGTTCTCCTCCTCCTCCGCATTCTCTCCTCTGATGAAACCACACTCATCAAAAGTGGTTGTGACAGAATGCTCAGATTTGGAATGATGAGAAACACGGAAGCCACATCATAGGACCTGATAGATATCTGGCCAACACAGGAACACTGGAATATGTGATCTATGTGACCATCCCCTTCCCAAGGCCAGATCGAACACCCACCCCTTGACATATACCAACGTTAATTGCTTAATGACACGAGGAAATACATTCTGAAAAATTCGTCATTAGGCGATTTTGTCATTGTGCAAACATCACAGAATGTACTTATGCAACCCTAGGTGATATAGCTTACTACACTCCTAGGGTATATGGGATAGACTGTTGCTCCTGCACTACAGATTTGTATAGCATATGACTGTTCTGAATACTGCAGGCATTTGTAACACAGTGGTAAGTATTTGGGTATCTAAACATATCTAAACATAGAAAAGATACAATTTAAAAAAATGATAAGGCCAGGCACGGTGGCTCACGCCTGTAATCCCAGCATTTTGGGAGGCCGAGGTGGGCGGATCACGAAGTCAGGAGATCGAGACCATCCTGGCTAACACGGTGAAACCTCGTCTCTACTAAAAATACTAAAAATTAGCCGGACGTGGTGGCGGGCGCCTGTAGTCCCAGCTACTCCGGAGGCTGAGACAGGAGAATGGGGTGAACCTGGGAGATGGAGCTTGCAGTGAGCGAAGATCGCGTCACTGCAGCCTGGGCAACAGAGCCAGACTCCGTCTCAAAAACAAAAAACAAAGAACAAACAAAAAAGATAGACCGGTTTAGGGAAGGCATTTCCCATGAAGGGAGCTTGCAGGACTGGAAGTTGCTTTGGCTGAGTCAGGGAGTGCGTGGTGAGTGAATGTACACTGTACACTGCTGTGGGCTTTATAAACACTGCACACTTAGGCTACACTCAATTTATACATAATACTTATTTTTTCAATAATAAATTAGCCTGAGCTTACTGTAACTCTTTTACTTTATAAACTTTTTAGTTTTTAAAACATTTTTTGACTCTTGTAATAACACTTAGCTTCAAACACAAACACTTTGTACAGCTGTACCAAATTTTTAAATTTCTTTAGTATTCTGTAAGCTTTTTTTCTATTTTAAAAATTATTTACTTTTGTCTGTGTTGTAAACTTTTTTGTTAAAGACGAAGACACAAACACGCACATTAGCCTAGGCCCGCACAGGGTCAGGATCATCAATGTCAGTCCTCCACCTCCACATCTTGGTCCAGGAAGGTCTTCAGGGGCGTTAACAGACATGGAGCTGTCATCTCCTAGGATAACAATGCCTTCTTCTGGATACTTCCTGAAGCACCTGACTGAGGATGTTTTACAGTTAGGCTTGTTTTTTTTTGTTTTTTTTTTTTTTGAGATGGAGTCTCACTCTGTCACCCAGGCTGGAGTGCAGTGGCACAATCTCGTCTCACTACAACCTCCACCTCCCGGGTTCAAGTGATTCTCCCACCTCAGCCTCCCAAGTAACTGGGATTACAGGCGCCCGCCACCATGCCTGGGCTAATTTTTATATTTTTTAGTAGAGACAGGGTTTCACCGTATTGGCCAGGCTGGTCTCGAACTCCTGACCACAGGTCATCCGCTTGCCTTGGCCTCCCAAAGTGATGGGATAACAGGCATGAGCCACTGCACCCGGACAGCTTTTTTTTTTTTTTAATAAGTAAAAGTACACCCTAAAATAACAATTAAAAGTATAGTATAGTAAATATATAAGCCAGTACCATAGTGATTTATTATCATTATCAATTATTATGTACTATACGTAGTGACATGTGCTAGACTGTCATATGACTGGCAGCTTGTATGTTGTTTACACCAGCATCACTACAAACACATGAATAATTTATTGCATGACAATGTCACAACAGCTATGGCGTCAATAGGAGAGAGAAATTTTTCAGCTCTATTATAACATTATGAGACCACCAAGTGATACGGGACCACCAACATATACCTGGACCATCATTGACTGAAATGGCATTATGCGGCACGTGACAATATTTCCAAATCACCTTCCCAGATGGCTGGATCAATGTTTGTTTGGTTGGTTGATTGGTTCCCCATTTAATTCAACAAATAGACCATATGGAGCCTCTTCTGCAGTTCTATAAATTTAACTACTCGTTTCTGCATTTTTATTCATCTAAGTAATCATTACTAATACCTACTAAAATTATTCCTACTTTCCCACTTCATCAGACGGGCCTTCCCTGGCCACCCCTACTGGACTAGCACCTGAGCCTCCTTCACCTTCTGTGCTCACCAGCTTTAGTCTTCTCTGTAGCACTCTGTCACCAACCGACTCCCACATTTCCTCATTTCTGTGTCTTTGTGTCTTGTCAGTCTCCTACTCTGGCATATAAGCACCATGAAGGCACAGACCGGCTACAGCATTGGCTGGGCCTCCCTGGAGCCTCAGGCTATGCCTACTGGGACATGCTATGCTTCTTTCAATCTAAGTCGGTCCAGACTGGTAGGAGAGTGATTTGGCAAGAGAGTGCAAAAGCCAAGGGAAAAAAAAGAAAGAATCGCCTCTAGCCTTTGACTCAGTAATCACATTCTGGGAATGGATCCTAATGCAGTAATTCACATGACCCCTGGGGATGGGGTGGACAGGAGGTGTTGCCTTCCCTCTCCCTGTGTGGGGTCTGAAGCCCTGAGGGACAAGGAGTCACTGTGCCCTCCTCAAAGATGCCCTCCTCACAACGCAACATTTATTGTCCAAGTACCATACGAGGGACTGTTCTGAGTCTGAGCCCATTCAGTCCTTTTACTCCTTTGGAGCTTTTTTTTTTTTTTTAACAGATACCGCTTTGTCACCCGGGCTGGAGTGCAGTGGCATGATCTCAGTTCAAATGCAGCCTTGACTTCCTGGGCTCAAGTGATCCTCCTGCCTCAGCGCCCCAAGTAGCTAGGACTACAAGCCCATACCACCACGCCTGGCTAATTTTTATATTTTTTGTAGAGACAGGGTTTTGCCATGTTGCCCAGGCTGGTCTCAAACTCCTGGACTCAAGCAACCCACCCACCTTGGCCTCCCACAGTGCTGAGATTACAAGCTTAAGCCACTCCACTCAACCTCTTAGGAGCATTTTGAGGCGCTTCTTACAGATGAAGCATGTGAAGGAAAAGGGAGTTCACATCAGTTAATGGTGGAGCCAAGATTTGAACCCAGGCCCCCTGACTGCACAAGCATGCCCTGAACCTACTGTACGACTCTGCCTCTGCAGCAGTGCAGGACCTGAGTGGTGGAGGTGGCAGGGTGGGAGGTGTATCCAGACTTACAGACATAAGGCATCCCGCCATCATTTTGTTTCATCTGGGACAAGGGTCTACTGTTGTCCTGAAGTAGTCTCCTAGGTCTTGATTTCAATTCAACAAAAGGGCATCAATAAAACACTCAGTGCAAACTTCAGATACTCTACTCATTTCCTCTTGGAAGTGAGGACATGGTAAGGCAGAGATGGACTTACTGAGGCCTCCAGTGTGGGCCACTAATACTTGCTGGACGAGTCAAGCTCCTTTTGGTTCTCCCAGCTCGGCCATTCCCTGCCTCTGTGACGCTGGGAAAATCACTTCTCTGAGCCAGGGCTTTCTCATCTGTAACAATTAGCAGGAACCACACTGTACCCAATCAATAAATATTACTTTCACAGGGGTAATTGTCATGGCGTAATTTACACTAGCAAAAAGCTGTAAACAACTGAATATCCAATAATGGAGAAATGACTCCATTGCACAATAATTTCAGACCAGAACTGTCTAAAACCATTAAAAATTACATTGAAAAATTAACACAAAATGATATAGTAAAAAAAATCAGAGGCCAGGTGAAGTGGCTCACGTCTGTAATCCCAGCACTTTGGGAGGCAGAGGTGGGTGGATCACTTGAAACCAGGAGTTCAAGGACAGCCCGGCCAGCATGGTGAAACCCTGTCTCTACTAAAAATACAAAAATTAGCCACACGTGATGGCACATGCCTGTAATCCCAGCTACTCGGGAGGCTGAGACAGACTTGGGAAGCTGAACCTGGGAGGGGGAGGTTGCAGTGAGCCGAGACTGCGCCACTGAACTCCAGCTTGGGAGTCAGAGCTAGAGTCTGTCTCAAAAAAAAAAAAAAAAAAAAATCAGGATACAAAAACTGTAACTACAATTTGGTTGAACAAATATTCTGAAGGAAAGACTCCAAACAGTAGGTGTTTATGGGTGATAAGACACCAGAGTGACAATTTCTTCCTTACATTTTACATATTTTCTGAATATTTCACAAGAAGTTTGCTTTTCTTTATAACAGACAAAAGATTATTTACAAAGTTGGTCTCCTTTCATTTTCTACCTTATTAGTGAATGCTTTAGCAAGAGAGGGTAGGACTAGAAGTGGAAGGATGGGAGATGGGGAAAGGGGAGAGCTCAGTTTCACCAGCATTTATTGAGCATCTGGTACGTCCAGGCACTGTGTAGGGTGTGACAGCTGAGTGAAAGCTCAATAACCAGGCATTACTGTGCAGAGAAGCCAAGGGAATGTCACGTTCAAAGGTCCTGGGGTGTGAAATAGAAGGCTTATAGGAGCACAGAAAGTAAGGCCCAGGGGGAGAGGTGAGATGTGGTTGGCAGTTGGGCAGGCTGGAAATGCCCCAGAGGCCCTGTCAGCTTAATCAAGGGATTCAGATTACATTTTTCTTTTTCTGAGACGGAGTCTCGCTCTGTCCCCGAGGCTGGAGTGCAGTGGCGGGATCTCGGCT
Organism: Homo sapiens; assembly: GCF_000001405.40. Lineage (NCBI taxonomy): Eukaryota > Metazoa > Chordata > Mammalia > Primates > Hominidae > Homo > Homo sapiens. The sequence goes on along the minus strand of NC_000008.11, from coordinate 23,405,715 downwards.
CACTGCAAGCTCCGCCTCCCGGGTTCACCCCATTCTCCTGCCTCAGCTTCCCGAGTAGCTGGGACTACAGGCGCCCGCCACCACGCCCGGCTAATTTTTTGTATTTTTAGTAGAGACGGGGTTTCACCATGTTAGCCAGGATGGTCTCGATCTCCTGACCTTGTGATCCGCCTGCCTCGGCCTCCCAAAGTGCTGGGATTACAGGCATGAGCCACCGCACCCAGCCAGGATTCAGATTACATTTTGAGGACCTTGGAGCCACGGAGGATTTTTTTAAATTTTTAATTGAAATTTTATTGGGTGTATTACGTTCTATACAATTTTATCACCTGTGTGGTTTTCTGTATCTCAAGACACTGAATAGTTCCACCACCACAAAGATCCCTCCTCCTGCCTTTGATAACTACACCCCCTTCCTCTGACCCTTGCCCTCTACTGCCCACCAGAGTCAGGGACTGATCAGTGGGGAGGGTAAGGAGGAGGCAACGGAGAAGACCCCATATCTGCCTGGGAGAGCTCACAGGAGTCAAGGTGGACCGTGAGTTGCAGTGCCAAGTTTGGGGCTTGCCAGGTTAGCTACGGCCATGGGAATGTCCAGGTGAAAGTCTTTCGGGGCCAATGGATTTAAATATCCATGGCTTAGGAGAGAAGCCTGGGCTGGAGGTGAGATTTGGGAGGGGTTTGTCTCCTCAGGGAGTGGAGTAAGAGAGGACTGAGGAAGGAGCCGCCTTTCAGGTGACAGTCTACTTCTGCACAGGGGTCCCTTGTTTTGCAGCTCGCTGCCTCCTTGGGACTGGCAAAGCCCTGCTCTTGCTTAAGGAGCCCTCTCTGTGCAGAGGGCTCTCCCAGCATGCCCATCCCCCACCCGGAGCCTCAGAGCCAGGCACAGGAGGTCCTTCTGCACAATGGCCACGCATTAGCTGTGTCCTGTTCAGTCCCCAAGCACAGGGCTTGTTAATCCCAGCCCTACCATTCCAGGAAGGACCCCAGAGGTCACGGAATCCAAAGCGTTGAATTTACAAAGAAGAAAACTAGTCCTCGGAGAAGAGGCTTGGCCAAGGCCATAGACGTGATCTGCTGGCCGAAAGGGGGCTGTTTATTTACTGGTTCAGGATCGGTTTTCCCCCTACAGGAAAAGGGAGGTGAAACCCAGGCGAGATGGGTGCAAGTTTCTGAACACTTTCATTCGGCAGCTTTAATTGAGCGTGTATTATGTGCCAAGGAGGGCCAGGGTTTTCGGGATAGGAGGTGGACAAGGCACGGGCCCTAAGGCTGGTGGATAAGGACATCGAAGGGTTAAATTCTGGGACGGCTGCAGGGAGGAAAGGGTAGAGGAATCTCCCGAGGAAAGGCCCCCTTCCCGGCATCTCAGGCTCCGGAAACCCGGGCGCGAGGAGCCTGGGAAGGGCTGCCCCGCAGGCCTTGGCCTCCCCCGCGGAGCTCCCTCTGGCCCTGGGAGTGGCCGCTCTCGAATTACAACAAAAGAGGCCGGAGGCCGGGCCTGCTGCGGCGGCCGCCTTCGGGGAAGGGGGTGGGTCCGGGGAGGGGTTTGCCATCCTCCTCTAGTTAAAAGTAAGGGGGAAAAGAGTAAACGCGCGACTCCAGCGCGCGGCTACCTACGCTTGGTGCTTGCTTTCTCCAGCCATCGGAGACCAGAGCCGCCCCCTCTGCTCGAGAAAGGGGCTCAGCGGCGGCGGAAGCGGAGGGGGACCACCGTGGAGAGCGCGGTCCCAGCCCGGCCACTGCGGATCCCTGAAACCAAGTAAGAGCGCTTCCCGCGCCACCCCCTCCCCGAAGCGGTTCGCGAGAAAGCGGGAGCGTCCCTATGGGGTCTCCAGGCTTCGTCCTGCGCGGGGCTGCCTCTCGACAGTGCCTGGGGGTTCCCAAAGACTTCTTGCGGGGAGCGATGCGAGGACGTGCAGGCTAACGGGTCCTCCTGCCGCCCCGGGCGGCCCCGCCCAACCCCACCTCGTACGGGCCGGGCGCGGCGCGGCTGCTGGCGCGCCCGGGGAGCGAGGCGCTGGGTCCCTGGATCGTCCCGAGCGCCCGTAATCAGGCGGGACAGAGCCCGTCAAGTCTCGGTGTGTGCTGGGCGTCTTGGAGAGTGCAGCGTGGCTCCAGGGACAGCGTCTCCGGAATTCTGGCTTTGAGGAGTGGGGCACGCGGGGGACGGGTCGGGAGACAGTGACTGCCCTCGGGGCTGTGGTTTTGGGGATGTAGAGCGTGCTGGGCTGGGACGGAGTGGGGGCGGGGACCCCGGGGGCTGCGCCCGGGAGCTGTAGCGTCCACTGCTTGAACCCGGTTCAACCCCCAGCCTGCTCGAAAGGCTGTTGGGAGCGCGGGAGCGCCGTGAGTCCTGCGGGAGCAGAGGCGCTCTCGGCACGCCAGGTATGCACTCCCAAGTCGCCCTGCCTCTCCGGGGACCAGGGACCCTCTCCCGCCTTCATCACCTAGAAGCCCTGGAGTTGGAAAGAACGGGCACGAGCGAACCCACGGCTACAGCTGATCCCAATCTTGAGCCGTTGGTCCGGTGGTCTGAAGTGCCTACAACTTTTACGCAGGCGCTTTGCCCACCGCGCCCCTTCTCACCAGCCCAAATTTGGAAGCCCTCTGGGTGTGGCTGCCTGCTCGAGGTGTCCCAGGAATCAGCGCTGGAATAGAGATGATTGGGAGAACAAGCGAGGTTCCCTCCTCTCCGTGCCCGAGCTAAGACCATCAAAAAACAGCCGGAGTGCGGGGCGGAGCGGGGCGAGGGTGTGAGGAAGAGAACACCGCAGAACACGGCGAGGGAGGGGGCTGAACTACTCAATATGGTTAGGAAACCCCAAGTCCTGATGAGGGGAGAGATGTGCATGACAGAAACATGCTCCAAATTAGTTTCGTCCCTAAGATCTTGAAACTGCAGAGATCTCAAAAACAATACTTTTTTTTTTTTTCTCCCAGAGGAAGAAAAACGCTGAGGCTCACGGTCACTGAGTTAGTCAATGTGGGGACTGAAACCCATACCTCTTACTCCAGGCCCCTCCCCTACACCACTGCTAGCCTGTCCGTCCTGGAACCCCAAAACAACATTTGTCATCTTTGGTGGAATGAATTAGTTATTGATGGTGTATCATGTACTTAATGGTCAGGGTTGGGGTTTAGGGTGGAAGAGGAAGAGTTCATTTCCCTGGTCAGTTCCCAGATAAGTGACTGACTCACTGGATCCTAACTTGACTAAATTTTTAATCTTTCTCCTCACCTTTGTCCCGTTCCTCTTCCTGGTCCCTAGTATCTGCCCTGGAATGGCCACCAGAGCCATGACAAGATGCGTGCTCCCCATGGGCCCCAGTGGCTACCAAGGCTCTCCCCAAGGAAATTGAGTCTCACTAATCTGTGTGTGCACGCGCGCACGTTTGTGTATGCATGTGTGCACGTGTATGTGTGGGCACATGTATGTGTGCATGTGTGTGTCTCCACACGAGTGTGTTTGTGTATGTGTGTGCACCGGTGTGTGTTTATATGCGCACACAGGTGTGTGTGCGCGGGCACGTGTGTGTGCACGCAATGTGTGTGCATATGTATTCCTGTGTGCATGTGTGCACACCTGTATGTGTATATGTGTATTTGTGTTTGTGTGCATGTTTGCATGTGTATGTGTGTGTGCGCGTTTGTGCACTTGTGTGTATGTGTGTGCACGCATGTGTGCACGTGTGTATATGTATATGTGTGTTTGTGCATGCATGTGCATTTGCTTCCCTGTAACTTTGTGTTAGAAAGTGACTTAGTCTAAGGTCACTTAGGCATTGAGTGGCAAAGTTGAGTATGAAACTCAGGTCTGAAAACAAAACGTACTTAACACCACACATTGGCTGACATTTTAAGTATCACAGATAGGAGATTCTGCAAAGATGCTTCCTTTTATTTTCTTTCCAACTGGCCTCTCCTGGCCTCTTCCCAAGTCCTTGTCCTTTGACCTCTAGATGGCCAGTGTGGAAGGGCTTTGTGAAGGAAACAGATTTTCTGTGCTCTAGATAGACATGACCATCAGCGAAGGTGTTGAGTCCCAGAAAACACTACATTGTTTATTTTTTATTCTCAAAAAATTTCAAGTATGCAAAAAAAGTAGAGAGAAGGGTATAATGATGCCTCATAAGCTTCTCACTGAATTTCAACAGTTATTTTGCCACATGTACGTCATCTGTCCCTTTGTTTCTGTCATTGAAGTAGTTTAAAGCAAATCCTATACATCATGTCATTTCATTGCTACATATTTCAGTGTGATTTCTAAAGATTTTACATAACTATGATGCCATATTTAGACCTAAGAAAACTAAAAAAAAAATATTTGGTATCATCTAATGCCAAATAGCAGTCTATATTTAAGCATTTCCCAATTTTCCTCAAAATGTCTTTTTTTATAGTTGATCTGAGTTCTGTTGATTTGTGTAACTTGTTACATTCCTATTGTTATGTTCTTCCTTTCAAACTACTTTTCTGTCCACTATGTCATTTGATTCTTACAAGGTCCCACTAAAGAGTTAGGTGAGTATTTTCAAATTCATTTCTCAGCTGAGGAAATGGATAAACAGATAAGCTGTCCAGAGGGCACAGCTGGTGACCCAGGGAGCCAGGGTCTAACCCAGCCTCCTCATGGCTGGGCTTCGGTGGTTCTGGTTCTCCATGTTACTCGTGGACTCTCAGCTGCTCTCTGAAGAGTTCTTCTTGGCTCAGGCTTCATCCTGGGCTTATCACTTCCTATACACCTGCTGTCAGAAATCCCTGTGTAAATATTAGTAATTGGACATTTGGTGCTTGAGATAAATGAACTGCAAAATCAGGAAGCCAGGGTTTGTTTCCTAGCTCATTGCAAAACTGTAAGGGCTCAGAGCTGCCCTCTCTGAACTAGAGAGCAGTGTACTTCCTCATTATTTGACTCCAAGGTGTAAAAATAGGATGAGTGAAATGACTGTTGCTGGGATTCCTGGAAGAAACAAAGGCCCCAGAAAGAAATCTAGTAGAGGACAATCTCCCCTCTCTGAGCATCACCTGAGTACTCTGACAGCTGGTACCTTCATGCTGAAGCCCTCAAATCCTATGACAGAGAAGTAGGGGTATATAGGCTTCCCATTGAAGCCCTTAGTTTATGCATGACTTTATTCTGCATTTGACCAATGAAGATATGCAACACCTGATATGGCTTGGCTGTGTCCCCACCCAAATCTCATTGTGAATTGTAGCTGTCATAATTCCCATGTGTTGTAGGAAAGACCCGATGAAAGGTAATTGAATCATGGGGGTAGATCTTTCCCCTGAGAAGTAAATCTCGTGAGATATGGTTTTATAAATGGGAGTCCCCTGTACATGCTCTCTTGCCTGCCACCATGTAAGATGTTCCTTTGCTCTTCCTTTGTCTTCTGCCATGATTGTGAGGCCTCCCCAGCCATGTGGCATTGTGAGTCCATTAAACCTCCTCCCTTTACAAAGTACCCAGTCTCGGGTATGTCTTTATTAGCAGCATGAGAACAGACTAATACAACACCAGAGCCTTCTGCTTTTAGCATTTTCATTACTTAAGTTTATTTGCTTTTGAAATGGAGCGAAGAAGAAATTTCTCCACCTTGTTAATGAGACTCATAAGTTGGAATTCTCCTTTCTTGGCAGATCATGTGGGAAAAAGGAATCTCTTGGCACAGGACTCCTAGATGTTCTGCTGTTACGCTTGTTGCTTTGAAACAGGGAATGAACAGACCTTCCATAAAATAGCCAGTTAGAGGCAGAGAAACTGGTCAACCCGATTCCATCCAACGGGAGGAACTCCGAAGTGGCAAGACATTAACCTTAAATCACCCTGCCTTCTGACGGCCATAGATTCTTTTTCCTTAGCTAATAGGCTGTCTCCATGGAGGAAGAATTTCTAGGTGATTCCACACCAGCAGCTGCAGTTGCACAAGCATGACTGCTTCCTTCATTTTAAAGTTTGGGGAGCCTTAGGAGGTGTTTTAGTCCATTTTCTGTTGCTTATAACAGAATACCTGAAACTCGGTAGTTTATTAAACAAAAGGAATTTAGTTCTTACAGTTATGGAGACTGAGAAGTCCAAAGTCCAGGAGCTGTACCTGGTGAGGGCCTTCTTGCTGGTGGGGACTTGGCAGTATCCCAAGGTGATGCAGGACCATCGTGAGGGGGCTGAGCATGATAACATGCTAGCTCAAGTCTCTTTTCCTCTTGTAAAGCCACCAATTCCCTTCCCATGATAACCGATTCATCTATTAATTGGTGAATGGATTCATCAGTTTATGAGGGCAGAGCACTCATGATTCAACCACTTCTTAAAGGCCCCACCTCTCAAAACTGCCACATTGGGGATTAAATTTCAACATGAATTTTTTGGAGGGACACCTATTCAAACCACAGCAGGAGATATGATTTCCCATTCCCAGGGGCTGCCTGGCTTTAAAAGAGCAGCTTGTTACTGTCATCGTCCATTTCCCCCTGGAGAAAGGCTTTTGTGGTCGGTCTGCATGGCAGTCACACCCTGGGTGGTCCATGAGGCCTCAGATGAAGTGGCCCGAGGCCACTCTGCTCTAGGCCCACAGACAAGGCGGGAATAGCAGTTGCAGGCTAGAAAAGGAAGGGCCAACCAGACATTCACAGAGATGCAACCAGAGCAACACACAGCTGAGTCTCTTAAGTCTTCAGTCCTGTGTAAGTTGAAGCAAGACATCAGAAATCTCTCACCTGAGTAATTCCACACATGCACCCACTGCTGTCCAATGCAGTGCTTGCTCAGCAGGGAGCACCTCTTGGCCAAGCGTATTGGCAGCCCTTCTACCGTGACCAGCGTCAGGGACGTCTCTAGGCGCCTTTTCAGAATAGCTGGCAACATAGGGAGACCCAGTCTCTACCAAAAAAAAAAAATTAGCCAGGCATGGTATAGTCCCAGCTACTCAGGAGGCTGAGGCAGGAAGATTGCTTGAGCCCAGGAGGTCAAGGCTATAGTGCATTCCAGCCTGGGTGACAGAGTGAGACCCTGTCTCAAAAACAAAGAAAGAATAGCCACTTGGTTGATGATGATAAAGGATGCTGGGGACTGTGTAGTTCAGACTTCTGTCCAGAGTTTTAACAAATCTTTTGCACTTTCTGTGGCAGAAATACTATTACCAGGCAAGTAGTGTGTGTGGCAGATGAGAACAAGAACTAACTCAGCAGATGCTGAGGTTGTGGTTAGGAACACAGTTAGTAGGTTCTTCTTGTCCAGGGCTTTTGATCCCTTCACTTGGGATACCTTAAGTATTATATTTAATTATAGTCTTCTAAGCAAAGAGTGATGTTTTCTTTTTAGTTTTTTCATTCCTACGATCCACGTCAGACAAGCAGACACAGCTGGCCCTCTGGATGTCCTGTGGCAACAGACATATCCTCCTTGATGTGTTGCCAACAAAGTGCTGAGGGTATCTTCTGCAAAAATGATGCCACTTGCCTATAAAACATACACTTACGACAAGATAACTTATGGTGATGACTTGTGAACAACTTAATTTGCAGTTTCTTTATAATATCTTTCTGGAACTTGGATCCATGAACTTCTTTTGCCCCCAGGCTTGTCCTGATATACCACTGGGGTACCAAGGTAAACACAGTATAGCTCTTCAGAGTGCCTGCATGACTCGAAGATGTAGTGAGAAAGATACTTTTCTAAATATCTTTCTAAAACAATTACAAATATAAAATTGAGTAAAGCACATTTCTTTTTTTTTTTTTTTTTTTTTTTTTGAGACAGAGTCTTACTCTGTCACCCAGGCTGGAGTGCAGTGGTGCAATCTCAGCTCACGGCAACCTCCACCTTCCAGGTTCAAGAGATTCTCCTGCCTCAGCCTCCCGAGTAGCTGGGATTACAGGCATGCACCACTATGCCCACGGAAAAGCATATTTCTTTCTTTTTTTTTTTTTTTTTTGAGACAGAGTCTTGCTCTGTTGCCCAGGCTGGGAGTGCAGTGGCGCGATCTCGGCTCACTGCAAGCTCCGCCTCCCAAGTTCACGCCATTCTCCTGCCTCAGCCTCCTGAGTAGCTGGGACCACAGGCGCCCGCCACCATACCCAGCTAATGTTTTCTATTTTTAGTAGATACAGGGTTTCACCGTGTTAGCCAGGATGGTCTCGATCTCCTGACCTCGTGATCCACCCGCCTGGGCCTCCCAAAGTGCTGGGATTACAGGCGTGAGCCACTGTGCCTGGCCGGAAAAGCATATTTCTAAAGATGATTTCACCCACCCCAAGAATAGCATATCTAGGTAAAATCACATGATCCTAAGTATATACCCACATAGGCTTTTTGGGTTGCTTTTGTGTTTATTGTGGTAAAATATACGTAACATAAAACTCACCATCTTAACTATTTTCAAGTGTACAGTGCAGTGGCGTTAAGTGTGTTGACACTGCTGTGCTACCATCACCATCAGCCATCTCTGGTACTTTTGCATCTTCCAAAACAGAAACTCTGTACCCATTGAACACTAACTCCACTCTCCCCCTCCGACCAATCCCTGGCAGCCCCCATTCTACTTTCTGTCTCTGTGACTATGACTGAACTAGGTACTTCATATAAGTGGAATATATTATATTTGTCTTTTCGTGTCTGGCTCATTTTACTTAGCATGGCTTCCAGGTTTTTTCACGTTGTAACCTGTGTCAGAATTTCCTTCCTTGTTGAGCCTGAATAATATCCCACTGTATGGATAGACCACATTTGTTTATCTCCTCCTCCACTGGTGGACATGTGAGTTGTTTCCACCTTTTGGTGACTGGGAATAATGCTGCTGTGAACATTGGTGTACAAATGCCTGTTATGGATGAACTTTTACAAAGTGAACATGCCCTTGCTACTACATCAAGAATAGAACATTAGCAAGAATGCATGAATTTAAAGGCAAAGCAGGAGATTTCAAATACGTTTCATGCCCAAACATGGCTGCTTCAATTACACCTCAAGATCTTGGGACTGGATATTGATTTTCTCTACCATGAGGGGGTTTGGAAGAGATATTTGAAAGAACACAGTTAATAATCTGTGATTTGAAAGAGTCAGTTTATAATCACAGATTAGTTATGAGATTTAAGTAGCTCCTTTCCTTAAAACGTCTAGGGATGGGAGTACAACCTGTTGAGATTTGCAATTGTAGCTGTGTTAGGGTATCACCACTAGGATCATTCCAGGCTGCCCCTTGGCCATTGTAGGGTTCAAATCCACCTGGAGAACTCCTGCCTTTCTGGCAGCTTCTGCTGGAGCACAAGTCTAAGCCCATTCTTTGGCCGTATCCTGCCTGCCCTCCTCATTTCCTTCCTCCCTCCTTCCCTTCCCACCTGATCTCTCTCTCGTTTTTTTGTTTGTTTGTTTGTTTGTTTGTTTGTTTGTTTTTGAGACTGAGTTTTGCTCTTGTTGTCCAGGCTGTAATGCAATGGCACGATTTGGCTGACCGCAACCTCCACCTCCTGGGTTCAAGCGATTCTCTTGCCTCAGCCTCCCGAGTAGCTGGGATTACAGGCATGTGCCACCACACCCTGCTAATTTTGTATTTTTAGTAGAGACAGGGTTTCTCCATGTTGGTCAGGCTGCTCCCGAACTCCCGACCTCAGGATCCTGCCGCAGCCTCCCAAAGTGCTGGAATTACAGGTGTAAGCCACCGTGCCCAGACTTCTCTCTCTTCTTAAGTAGAACGATTTATCAGTGACTCTAAGAGTTTATGTGTGTATTTAGAAATAAGGCCAGGCACAGTGGCTCACACCTGTAATTCTAGTACTCTGGGAGGCCAAGGTTGGGGGATTGCCTGAGCTCGGGAGTTCGAGACCAGCCTGGGCAACAGGGTAAAACCCCATCTCTACTAAAATTACAAAAATTAGCCAGTCATGGTGGTGCACGCCTGTAATCCCAGCTACTCAGGAGGCTGAGGCGGAGGTTACGGTGAGCCAGGATTGTGCCACTGTGCTCCAGCCTGGGCGACAGAGTAAGACTCTGCCTCCAAAAATAATAAAATAATAATAATAAAGTCTTCAGTCAAGAGTAATATTTTGATGCCTGGCAACCACCCCCAGGCTGCCTGCATGACACTTTCAAGTGTCATCGAAGTAGATTCTTTTTTAAAAGACTTTATTGAGATATAATTTGCATATCATCCAATTCACCCATTAAAATGTACAAGTCAATGGATTTCAGTATATTCACAGATATGTGCAAATATCACCCCAGTCAACTTTAAAATGTTTTCATCAACACAAAGAGAAGTCCATATCCGTTAGCCACCACCGCCTATCCTCCCAGCCTTAAACAGCCACTAATCTAGTTTCTGTCTCTATATTGCCAATTTTGTATAATTTGTGTAAATAGAATCATATAATATGTGGTTTTTTTTTTTTTTTTTTGGTCTGGCTTTTTTCACTTCCCTTAATGGTTTTTTTGTTGTTGTTTCTTTGTTTTGTTTTGTTTTGAGACGGAATCTTGCTCTGTCACCAGGCTGGAGTGCAGTGGCGCCATCTCGGCTCACTGCAACCTCCGTCTCCCAGGTTCAAGCGATTCTCCTGCCTCATCCTCCCAAGTAGCTGGAACTACAGGCGTGCGCCACAATACCCAGCTAATTTTTGTATTTTTAGTAGAGACGGGGTTTCACCATGTTGGCCAGGATGGTCTCGATCTCTTGACCTCGTGATCCGCCCACCTTGGCCTCCCAAAGTGCTGGGATTACAGGCGGGAGCCACGGTGCTCCCCTAATGTTTTTAAGCCTCACCATGTGTCAGTATCTCGTTACTTTTTATGGCCGAATAATATTCTATTGTATGGGCATACCGTATTTTGTTAATCCATTTATAGTTGACAGACATTTGGGTTGTTTCCACCCTTTGAGTATTATGAATAATACTGCTATGAACATTCATGTAAAAGTTTTGTTTGAACACCTGTTTCAATGTGTTTCAATTTTGGGGGGGTATATACTTAGGAGGGGGGTTGCTGGGTCATATAGTAATTCTATGTTTAGCTTTTTGAGGAATCACCAAATTGTTTTTCACAGTGGCTGTAGTATTTTACATTTCCACTAGCAACGTATGAGGATTCTAATTTCTCCACATCTTTGGGGACACTTTTTATTTTCCCCTTAAGAAAATTCCAGCCACCTTTATGGGTATGAAGTGGTATCTCATGGTACTTTGTGTTTGCTTGATGACGAGTGATGTATCACACCTTTTTATGTGCTTGTAAGCCATTTGTATATCTTCTTTGGGGAAGTGTCTATTTAAGTTTTTGCCCATTTTTAATTGGGTTGGTTGTCTTTTTTTTTTTTTTTTTTTCTCTGAGACAGAGTCTCACTCTGTCACCTAGGCTATAGTGCAGTGGCACGATCTCGGCTCATTGCAACCTCCACCTCCCGAGTTCAAGCGATTCTCCTGCCTCAGCCTCCCGAGTAGCTGGGACTACAGGCACGCGCTACCGTATCTGACTAATTTTTGTATCTTTAGTAGAGACAAGGTTTCACCATGTTGGCCAGGCTGGTCTTGAACTCCTGACCTCAGGTGATCCGCCCACCTCGGCCTCCCAAAGTGCTAGGATTACAGGCATGAGCCACCGTGCCTAGCCTGGGTTTCTTGTCTTTTTATTGTTAAATTATAAACAATTTTTACATATTCTGAATTCTAGACCATTGCAGATATATGATTTACAAATATTTTCTCCCATTCTGTGGGTTATCTTTTCCCTTTCTTGACAGTGTCTGTTTTCTTTCCAGTTCAAATCACATTTATTCAACGTCTATTCTGTGTTGAGCACAGGGGATCCAGAAGTGTATAAGCTACAGATGCTTACCCTCTAGAGGGATCACCAGCTTAAAAGAGAAACAGACATGCAAATAGACAATGACAAAACAGTAGAATAAGTGCGATAAATATTTGGTCATCACCCTTTTTTCTCACCCTCACCACTGCTGCCCTGGTTCATAAAGCATCTTCAAAACATTTTTTTTTGATGTGCAGAAGTTTTTTTATTTTGATAAAGTTTAATTTACGTATATTTTCCTTTTGTTTCTTGTGCTTTTGGTGTAATGTCTAAGAAATCACTGCCAAATCCATGAAGACGTACTCTATGTTTTATTCTAAGGGTTTTACAGTTTTAGCTTTTACATTAAGGTCTTTGATCCATTTTCATTTATTTTTGTAAATGCTATGAGGTCGGGCCCCAACTTCATTCTTTTGCATGTGGCTATTCAGTTGTTCCAGCACTGTTTTTTGAAGACAATTCTTTCCCCATTGAATGGTCTTGGGACCTTGTCCAAACCAATTGACCATAGATATATGAGTTTATTTCTGGACTCTCAGTTTTATCTCATTGATCTATATGTCTCTCCGTATCCCAGTACCATACTGCCTTGACTTTTGTAGTAAGTTTTGAAAACAGGAAGTATAAGTCCTCTTACTTCGTTCTCCTTTTCAGAATTGTTTTGGCTAATCTGGGTCTCTTGCACTTCCACAGGAATTTTAGAATCAATCAGCTTGTCAATTTCTGCAAAGAAGTCAGCTGGGATTGTGATAGAAATTGTGTTGAATTCGTAGATCAATTTGAGGAGTATTCTCATCTTAACCATTTAAGTCTTCCAGTCCATGAACATGGGATGTTTTCCCATTTATTTAGATCGTCTTTAATTTCTTTTAACAATGTTTTGTAGTTTTCAGGGTATAAAGTTTATATTTCTTTTGTTAAATTTACTCCCAAGTATTTTATTATTTTTGATGCTATTGTAAATGGGATTGCTTTATTTCATTTTGAATTTTTCATTGTGACTGTATAGAAATACAGTTAATTTTTGTATGTTGATATTGTATCCTGTAACCTTGCTGAACTCATTTACTGGTTTTGATAGTTTTTTAGCAGATTCCTTAGGATGTTTTATACACACACGTGAGTCGATTCTTAAAGAGTAGGTGTTCATGAAGTGGATATGTGATGTTCTAGAACAGGAAATGGCAAGTCCAAGGGCAGGGGGGTGTAAAAGCAGTTGGAACCACATGTGCACAGGTCAGCATGGCTGAAGCTCAGGGTAGCAGGTTGAAGCTAGTTTGTGTCATGCTAAAGAGGATGGAGACATCCTGTCACTGGTAGTGGGAGCCATGCCAGTCTGGAGATGGAGTAAGACTATTAGAATCATTCTTTAAAAAGAGGCCCAGAAGAGGCATGTGATCAGCACCAATGAAACTGATCAGCTTCACAAGTAGCTGACAAGGTCTGTCTCCCTCAGTAAAAGCGAGGACCTGCAGGTCTCTCTCTATATGCCACTACCCTGTGGATGACATTACCTTGATGAATGGTCCCTGGTGACCCAGCACCAGCTGGCATTGTAGCAGCCAAGCCCGGCCAGCTTCAGTGATGTGACACTTGATGCCTGCTGCTATTGCTCCTTAGGCTTCTGGACAGGATCCAGATCATGGGCTCTTAGTGAACTTCAGACCAGCACTCCTACCTGACTGCCTTATGGAGCCAGAAATTTCCAGACAAGCTGAAAATGTGGCTGTGGTCTCTGTGCCAGCTGCCCCTGCCATCACTGGGTTCTCTGGGTTTGGCTGTCATAGGACAAGCACAGGCCTAAAGGATTGATTATTAGCCCAGGTTGCATTGCTTGGATGACAGCTTGGCCTGGCAGCTTCTGGAGATGCGAAAGGTATACAGAGCCAAGGGCGAGGTCTGCTGTCATGAGCCTCACATGAGGCATGTGACAAGCTAAGCAGGAAGGGCATAGGGAGGATGTCACTTGGGGACTGAGCTCAGAAGGTGCCTCTCTGGCCACTTTTGATGGGTCATCTCAGAAAAACTGGTTTTGTACTCCCTCCAGCCCAGGATTCCCACCATCTTTCACCCAGTACACTCATCTTATTTCCAACCACCCAAACCCCTCCTGACCTCAGTGTCTGTGCCTAGGCCAAATCTCAGCACTCCCCCTCCAGGAATTTTCATGCCACGGGCCCCATCCCTATAATCCCTGGACTTGCTTGCAGTGATTTCATTTCCTACCAAGCTTGCATGCCATTTTGGATTTGGCTTCTGTTCACCTTCCCCTTGCCTGCCTTTTGTGGACTTCAATATCGCCTTGAAAGTGGCACAGAAACTCAGACCGATTTGGCCATAGATTATTAGCTCTGAGAAACAGTGTGTCTGAGAGAGTGTGTGTGTAGTGGGGGAGGATGATTAAAGCCTGTTACCCAAGAGTGCTTGATGGGAATGATGATACGCCTCCTGGATTTTGTCCAGATTGTTGCTGATTTTATAATTGTGGTGACTGAGCCAGTCACTATACTGGGCACTTTAACTTCTGATGTAGCCCGTGAAGAACCTAAAACTCTTCCCCATTTGCAGAAGCCAGATTTGAATCTGAGACCACTCTCAGATGCTGGCCATGTTTTTCCAATTGTTATGTGTTATCTTATAGTCAAACCATGTCTCTTGTTTTGTTGTTGTTTGTTTGTTAAGGTTGTAGGGATCGGGTAATATGAACCCAACAGGCATTGATATGATTTGGCTGTATCCGCACCCAAATCTTATCTTAAATTGTAGCTCCCATAATTCCCACATGTTGTGGAAGGGACCCAGTGGGAGATAATTGAATCATGGGGCAACTTCCCTCATACTGTTCTTGTGGTAGTGAATAAGTCTCACAAGAGCTGATGGTTTTATAAGGAGAGACCCCTTTCGCTTGGCTCTCATATTCTCTCATGTCTGCTGCCATGTAAGACGTGCCTTTCACCTTTCACCTTTCACCTTTCACCTTCCACCATGATTGTGAGGCCTCCCCAGCCTCATGGAACTGTCAGTCCATTACACCTCTTTTTCTTTATAAATTACCCCATCTCAGGTATGTCTTTATCAGTAGTGTGAAAACAGACTAATAAGGCATCCTTGTCTCTATCACTTTCTGAATTGCCTTTAAGCAAAATCACCAATTTTGGATTTTCCCTGCCCCTTTATGAGCTGCAGAGAAGAGATGTGTCTTATAGACTAATGTATTTGGCTTTTGCACTCTGATCCGATCTGAGAGTCTCTGGTAGGCACATTTTAAAGTCTTTGAAACTGTACCTTCAGCCTTCCCAGGAAACAGCCTGGTCAGAATGAGATTCCACCCAGAGCCAGCGGTGGGCTGCGGGGAACCCCCATTGGTCACAACAAATTATGCCAACAAAGACCTCTTTTTGGAGGCTGGGGGAAAAAATGCAGTTTTGTATGCTTACCTTCTCACCATCTCACTGTGCCCTGAACATTCCCACTTTGTGGCCAGAAATAGACGAGACTGAAGTAGACTCTTTGGCCAGGGGCCAAGTGGATCAGACAGCCCGGACCAAGCCTGGTGTTAAAGTCTCCATTCTTGTCTAAGGTGGTTCTAAAGGGTCCCATGGCCCCCGAGCCACTTCCCTCATTCTCTGAGCAAACCCCATTCAGCCAAGACAGCCTGTTTCCACAAAGGAATGTGTTCCCCGTGGGGCCAGAAGCAGCCCCAGACCACAGCTGAGATCGCCACTCCACAGTGTGCTCTGGGCCATGAATGAGGACCATTCATCTCTCCTGTTGGTCCAAGCAGGAATCCCAGGCAGGGAGGGTCTGATGGAGGAGAGAGACCCCACCCTAGCCCCTGACCCCAAATGTGAATGCAGGCATCTGGCAGAAATGTCAAGCGGAACATTCTGTCTGGAAGGAAGAAATTCAGCCGAGCTCTGGGCCACACTGTTGCAAGCAAGTGTCCTTGGCAGGGTAGGGCACTGTTCCTGGCTGAGAACTGCCAGGTTGTTTATGAGATGCTTCAAATCCGGGGCAGGCAGGACTGTTGCTGGGAGCTCCAGGGCACAAGATGTGGAGCCAGTGCTGGGAGGAATGAATCACTTCCCTATTTACTGGGGGCCTGCCGGAGGCCAGGCAAGCAAAGTGGGGTCCCATTGAAGCCTGCTTTGTGAGAGTCCTATGCCCCACATACTCATATTAGGGAAGGGGACAGTTATGAGCATCACATCAGGATCAGGTTGTGTCAGGGCACTTGAAAATCTAAAAGCATGATGTCCAAACACTGTATAATTTTTACAATGTGTTTTCCCCTTTATCTGTGCATGACTAGGAATTTTTATTGCTATTGGCAATAAAAACAATTGTTGCTATTGACTAGGAATCAGTTAGTCACATGGGGCATTATTCGACTGCGTGCCACAAGGTCAAGTGTCATTGATCAGAGGTCATGTTCTGGGTTTCTCCTGTGTTTAAGAATGAACTAGGAAGCCAATTGTCCTTGATTTTCCAGAAGGTACCATTAAGCAGGTGAATTCTATAACACAGAATGCCTTTTTAGGTGGATGATGAAATGATTCAAAACGGATTGCTTTTGGAGGAAGAAAAAAATTTCAGTAGCTTCAATAAAAATCTTGATACTGGAGAGTTTTTTGGAGTAGGCCTTTCACATTCCTTCCTAGGCAGACTGACTCAGCTATCAAGGTAGTAGCCTAAGAAAAGGACACTAAGAAAAGGACCCTAGAAAGGCCAGTTTTACATTTTCTTCTTTTCCTCTGTTAGCTCTGCTGGGTCAAAATTAAGTGAGGCTTCATGAAGGATTTTCAAACACTCATCCATTATCAGGACAATACTACTACTGGGATAAGAAAAATCAGGGATTCTGGAGTGTAGCAGAAAGTTCTTAGGGTGACAGGTGCTTCAAGGGCTAACAATGTCTTCCAATGAATGATGCTTGTTGGACAATTGTAACAGTACTGCTTATGACCAACTCAGAACCTTGAGTAAGTTCAAGGTTCTGAACCTCTTTCTCTCCCTCCAACCCAGCCCTCTTCCCCAGCTCTCAGCAAGATCAGCAAGCACTGGCTGATACAAGCCCTGCTTAAAAGTCTTTTTTTCCCCTACCCTCCTTAAAAGCTTTACTTGCAGACTTGGCACAATTTTGCACATACCTAATGTATACAGTATATGAGAAGACACCTTTTTATTTAGATAATTAAGCTTTTTGCTAATATTGTATATTCTTTGGAGTAAATGTACATTTCTAGTGTGTGTGTGTGTGTGTGTGTGTGTGTGTGTGTGTGTGTGTGTGTGAGTATATTTTTTGCTTTTTGTTTTTGTTTTTCTTGGAGACAAGTCCCAGCTCTGTCGCCCAGGCTGGACTGGAGTGCAGTGGCACAGTCACTGCTCACTGCAGCCTCAACCTCCTGGGCTCAAGTGATCCTCTTGCCTCAGCCTCCCAAGTAGCTGGAACAATAGGCATTTGCTACCATGCCCAGCCAATTAAAAAAAAAAATTTTTTTGTAGAGACAGGATCTCCCTATGTTGCTCAAGCTGGTCTCAAACCCCTGAGCTGAAGCAATCATCCCACCTTGGCCTCCCAAAGTGCCAGGATTACAGGCATGAGCACCCAGCCCATTTCTAAATTTTAAGTTGTTGCAAGGTGCGGGATCCAGAAGGAACTACCTAGGCTCAGCCTTGGCAGCTCACAGTTCCCCAAATAACACCTGGGGAAGCTGAAGATCAAAATTAAATGTAAGCAACTGCATTATGCAGCTTAGTATCACTCAGAACTGTAGTTGGTGCCTGAATAACCTGACTCGAATCTAGCAGGCAGCACCTGTTTGAACCAAGATATATTAGCTGCTATTTTTATTGGCCACCTGCTATGGTCTAGGAACTTAAGAAGCATGATCTTTGATTTTTACAACAGGCCTGAAAAGATGTTTCATATTTTTCCTTAAAAAAGTTTTTTTGTTTGTTTGTTTGAGACAGAGTCTCGCTCTTGTCGCCCGGGCTGGAGTGCAATGGCGTGATCTCGGCTCACTGAACCTCTGCCTTCCGGGTTCAAGTGATTCTCCTGCCTCAGTCTCCCAAGTAGCTGGGATTACAGGTGCCCACCACTATGCCCAGCTAATTTTTGTATTTTTGGTAGAGATAGGGTTTCACCATGTTGGCCAGGCTGGTCTCGAACTCCTGACCTCCAGTGATCCACCTGCCTCAGCCTCCCAAAGTGCTGGGATTACAGGCATGAGCCACCGTGCCTGGCCTAAAAAGTTGTTTTTAAGTACATATTGTTTCCATTTGGTAGATGAAATCCTGAGACTTAGAAAAATCTAAGTGGGCCTAGGTCACAGAGCTAATAAGCTAAGAAATAAGATTTGAACCAAATTCTGCATGACTAAGCCGCTAGTCCATGCCGTTTATGGTCAGTAAAGAGGTGGCAGAGCATCCCGCCTGTTTTTCCTGGAAGGGTGTGCTGTGGGCTGTCTGAGTGGGCCCCTGCATTGGGAGGTGCCCGAGACCCTGGGGAGGGTAAGCTGATCCCACCTGATGTTTATAAGGAATACCTCGATCCCCGAGTCCCTCTAATGTGAAGGAATTCTTTCCTGATCTCTCTCTGATACCCCCCGAGGACACAGTGCCTCTTGTTGGCAAAGCTTATACTAGAATCATCTGTGTGAATGTTGTAACCTTGAATGGACTGCATTGAATGTAAGAGGGTTCTCAGCCGTGCAGTCAAAAGCCCAGTGAGACCATATTGGGGGATAATTTCTCCCTTTCTGAAGAGCCAGGCACAACCAACTTTTCCTGGCAGTCTCTGGCTTTTATTTGTGTCAGTCAGAGACTTCAGTCCTTCGGCACCTTGCCTTGTCCCTTTAATTACGACCCACTCCTGGGCTCAACTGTGTGAATAATTAAGGCCATCTGCCACGGCAGCTCCCAGACCTCACTCAAACTAGGTTTGAACAGGATACTCTCCAAGGTGGGCCTCTCACCTTGACTTATGCCTGCAATCCCAGCACCTTGGGAGGCCTTCCCCTTGCGGACCCTTGCGTGCCTGTGAAAGCCGCATTTATTTGGAGCGTGTGGAGGGAGCTACGGAGATCCTTGGCCTGATTCTCCCATGTTCTGCTGACCCAGTTGGCAGATGCTCTCTGCTTGCATTCAGCGTAGAGGAGGGTCCTGGAATTTCCATGATGTGGACTGAGGTGACTTCACTGGAGCAGATGCTTCTTAGACTGTCAATGTTGAGACACCCTTGGAGGTCTTCCAAGGTGAATGCTGAGAATAGATCTGCCTGTTTTCTAAAAACTCTCCCCACTGTGGTATCTCCACCAGGCTTTTTTATTTCTTTTGTGAAATTAAGATCTCTGAGCAAGGACTAATAGAACAGGTATGGAGAAGAGAAATGTGTCTGCCATATTAGTCTAGATGTCCTCAAATGTCTGGAAGGGTAGATGGAGAACTTACATATTTGTTTATTCTAAGACATCGTAAGAGACACAGAGCACTTATATTTTGTTCTCTTTCTTTCTTTTTTGGAGAGGGAGTCTTGCTCTGTCGCCCAGGCTGTAGTGCAGTGGCATGAGCTCAGCTCACTGCAACCTCCACATTCAGGGTTCAAGCAAGTCTCCTGCCTCAGCCTCCTGAGCAGCTGGGATTACAGGTGTGTGCTACCACGCCCGGCTAATTTTTGTATTTTTTAGTAGAGATGGGATTTCACCATGTTAGCCAGGCTGGTCTCGAACTCCTGACCTCAACAATTAGTGAATAAGGGTGTCTGCTCTGGTATCTGGCTGGCCTGGTTACAAATTCCAGCTTGATCACTTTTTAGCAGTGTGACTATAGGAAAATCATGTAGCCTTTCTGTCTCTCGGTTTTTCCTTAGGAAAATAGGGATGCTGATAATACCTTGCTCAGGGGGTTGTCCAAAGCTGTGTTGTGCAGTATGGCAGCCACCACCATATGGGGCCACCAAACACTTGCAATGTGCTGCTTGGAATTGAGATGCGCTGCAAACGCAAAGTACGTGCTGGATTTCAAAGACTTAGTACAAAAAGAAAAAAGAACGCAAAACATCTCATTAATAATTTTTGTATTGATTCCATATTGAAATATATTGCATCAAATAAAATATATCTTTAACATTGATTTCATCTATTTTATTCTACTTTTGGAAAGTGGCTACGAGGGAATTTAAAATTTCATATGTGGCTCTCATTACGTTTCTGTTGGGCAGTGCTCATCCAGACGAGAGGATGAAATACCTGTCTTAGCACTTCTCACATGCTGATTGATACTGATCAAAATCAGATTGATACTGATTAATGATTAATAAATATAAGTTCTGTTTTACTTTTAAACATCCAACTTTGGCTGGGTGTAGTGGCTCATGCCTGTAATCCCAGCACTTTGGGAGGCTGAGCCGGGCGGATCACTTAAGGTCAGGAGTTCAAGACCAGTCTAGCCAACATGGTGAAACCCCTTCTCTACTGAAAATACCAAAAAAAAAAAAAAAAATTAGCTGGGTGTGGTGGTGTGTGCCTGTAATCCCAGCTACTTGGGAGGCTGAGGCAGGAGAATTGCTTGAACCTGGGACGCAGAGGTTGCAGTAGGCCGAGATCACACCACTGCACTCCAGCCTGGGCAACAGGAGTGAAAAGCTCTGTCTCAAAAAAAAAAAAAAAAAGAAAAAAAATCCAACTTTCTCTTCCACAGAAGCCCACCTTCAACACCAGCCCATGTGGTGTCCAGGTTGCTGTATAAAAGTAGAGGTGATCCTGTTCGAACAGGACGGGGGCGCAGGGAGTGGTAAATAAATACATAAAACAGGCAGAGAATAGGAAAGTCTTTATATCCATAGTTGAAGGAAACTGCTGTGGAATTGCTCCCTCCAGTCTTTGCACGATAAAATTACCAGAACCCCAAAGGTTACAGCAAATTGCCTCTTTGCACCTTCTAATTCACTAATTCACTGTCCATGTTGAATGCTGGGAAAGCTGGAGGCTTTTTGTTTGTTTGTTTTCTTGAGACGGAGTTTCACTCCGTCTGGAATACAATGGTGTAATCTCGGCTCACTGCAACCTCTGCCTCCTGGGTTCCAGCGATTCTCCTGCCTCAGCCTCCCAAGTAGCTGGGATTACAGGCACCTGCCACCATGCCCGGCTAATTTTTGTATTTTTAGTAGCAATGGGGTTTCACCACATTGGCCAGGCTGGTCTTGAACTCCTGACTTCAGGTGATCCGCCCGCCTCGGCCTTCAAAGGGCTGAGATTACAGGCATGAACTACCACGCCCGGCCGCTGGAGCCTTTTAAGTTACTCCCTCCTTCTGCCTTCCTGAGACATCTATTTGGAAATGGACTCAGATAGGGAATGAAGTCTGTCCAACTCCTCGAGCCTCCTGAACCAGCTGCAGGTACTGTTGGAAGTAAGCTGAGTGGACTTCTAGGAGGAGGTGAGACTTGAGGAATTGCCGTTCCCTGTTGGTTCTGCTGAAGTAACTGCAGGTAGCCTGTTCTCCCCTCTGTGTCAGCAACGCTCACTGCCTCAGGCCTTGACAGCCCCTCTGGAGCACCCATGTCCAGCATGTGTTTAGAGGCTCATTTCCTTCAGGGCAAGCAGGTGTGTGCAGCTGAGCTGGCACGTTGCCTTGGAAGTCAGCTGTGCTTCGCTGGGATCATGCCTTGCTCTGCACCTCCTTGGTCCAACCTTATAACCCATAATTCCTGTCTAGACATAAGCCTTGATTATCTGCTAGGGTGAGATTTTCTGATCCCAGATCTTCGTATCCCATAAATTACCTCGACATTTGCCTACTGCCTTTACTATACAAGTGAATTTCAGAGGCAAACAGGTATGTAGGCGAGCTGTTTTGAAGGGCACGGGTCAGGTCCAACTACTCATGAAAAATCCTAACGTTCTTACTTCTAGCCTTGCACAATAGGTAAAATTCATATCTAGAAATTCACATCGGGCCGGGCACGGTGGCTCACGCCTGTAATCCCAGCACTTTGGGAGGCCGAGGCGGGTGGATCACGAGGTCAGCAGATCGAGACCATCCTGGCTAACACGGTGAAACCCCGTCTCTACTAAAAATACAAAAAATTAGCCGGGCGTGGTGGCGGGCGCCTGTAGTCCCAGCTACTCGGGAGGCTGAGGCAGGAGAATGGCGTGAACCCGGGAGGCAGAGCTTGCAGTGAGCCGAGATTGCGCCACTGCACTCCAGCCTGGACGACAGAGCAAGACTCTGTCTCAAAAAAAAAAAAAAAAAAAAACAAAAAAAAAACGTAAAAGTGCCCTCTTAGAAATAACTAATCTATTCCTTAAGCCTTAAATGTCTTAATATGAAAAATGACAAGGAATGAATTTGTTAGCTTGCATTCCAATGTAATTAGGTCAGAGGGAAAGGTAGTATTGATAGGATGTGAATATTGGAATAGAAATTTATATTTATTCACTCGGCCAATATTTACTAAGTATGAAGCACAGAGCTCCACAATCAGGTTCTAGGTTCAAAGGAAGGAAAGAAGCAAATTAACATGACTGATTCGATGCTGTGTGCTAGGGATCTTCACATTATTTCATTTAACCATCATACACACACACACACCCATAAGGTAATTTCTATATTTGGAAGAAGAAATTGAGGCTCTTAATATAGCTAGGAAGTGGGGCAGGCAGGATTCAGACAGCGTGTTCTGATTCCAAGACACCCAACATCACCTCTCTAGGGAAGCCCTGGCGCCAGTAAGTTCCTCAAGGAGGAGGGTTGTGGAGAGGCAAGAGGGCCCACACGATGGAAGACGGGAAGGCCACAGGTCCCACTCTACTAGCCCTTTGACCTAGGCTTATAGGGTCGAGTTTGTTTAAAACCGCTACGGAGAGGCATGTTAGGTACCAGAGGACCACCAGGTCAGATCAGCTGGGTGTGGGTGGAGCAGCCCTGGAGAAGTCAGGGCCCAGAGTAAACACACATGGAATTGAGGGTGGGAGCAGGTGTTTGGGGTGGGTTCAGCCATGCTAATCGGGTACAGTCACCTCCAACAGATGCAGCACGTAGAGAGAATGGTCCACCCCAGAGAAGAGCATCATCAGACAGTCTTGAAAGATCCAGGCAGGAAGCATTACGGAGTTCTAGCAGCAGAATCAGGACCAGGACCACTGATGTTGGAGCAGGGTTTCCAGAGAGAGGGATTCAGGTCCTAGACAGACTGACCAGAGCAGGGCAGAAAGACACAGTTTAGCCCATAATAATAGTCTTGTTCACCTAGGACTTTTAGGACTTCAGTGGTTCTATAAAGGCCCAGAATAGGGCTCCCACCTCCTGGGAAAAAGTGAGGATAAAGTCAGAAAGTTTCTCCTCTGCTTTGCCACTGTGTTCATTCGCTGATTGCACTTTTTTTTTTTTTTTTTTTTGAGATGGAGTCTCGCTCTGTCACCCAGGCTGGAGTACAGTGGCACGATCTTGGCTGACTGCAAGCTTTGCCTCCCGGGTTCAAGCGATTCTCCTGCCTCAAGCCTCCTGAGTAACTGGGACTACAGGCATGTGCCACCATGCCCGGATAATTTTTGTAATTTTAGTAGAGGTGGGGTTTCACCATGTTGGTCAGGCTGGTCTTGAACTCCTGACGTCGTGATCTGCCCGCCTCAGCCTCCCAAAGTGCTGGGATTACAGGTGTGAGCCACTGTGCCTGGCCGCTGATTGCATTTTATCACAGGTCAGAATGTGTCTACTTCACAGAGATAAAAACTGAAAAAGGGGACATGGTTTTCTGGGTGTAATGGAGCCCACTCATTATGGCAACCGAACTATAATTTCAGAACTTCTGCCTGTGCTCATTCCAGCTCCTTTGTGAGCTCTCAGTTGTTTATAAATGACACTGTGGCTGTCTCCAGCATCATCAGCAAGGCTGTGGTTTGCCTGGTCCCCTCTGCTGTCTTTCCCAGAATGAGGGGTCTACTCCGAGCCATGCATCTCCTGTTATTATCCAACCCATTTTGATTAAGCAGCTAACGTGCACCAGGCACTGTGTTAGGCTTGGGGGCCCAGTCAGGTGCCCATTCACCTATAACACCCAGTTACGTGTGAGCAATGTAAGCAGAGAGAGGGGACAACATTGGTGCCCATGGAGCCTGGCATGGCCTCGCCGTCCCCATCCTGACCTGCAGGAGGCAGCGCGGTCACCCAGAAAGCCTGGCAGTGTTTCCTCCCTGAGGTTGGAAGGATACCAATGTGAAAAATGAATCTTACAAAGCAACAAGGGAAAAGCTCAGTAGAAAAAGGGGTATAAGGCAGGGAGACATAATCTCCAAAAAAGAAATACAGGTGGCCAGTAAGCACGGGGCAAGGGAGAGAAAAAGCTCCACCTCCTTAGTAATAAAAAGAATGCTTGTTAAAACAAAATACCCTTTTTTGCTTATCAGATGGAGGAAAGTTTGAAAACATGGTCATAGCCAGAGTTTTTGAGGTTTGGGGGAAACCTACATACTGCTGGTGGAGGTTTCAATTGGCACAGTCTTTCTGGAAGGTGGTTCATATAGTTTTGCAAAAGTGTTGATTTTGTACAAACCCTTTGGCCCAGCAATTTCACTTTTAGGAATTTATACCAAGATTGTGCCAAGTTTCAGCTACAACAATGTTTACAGCAGTAAGAAATTTAGAAACTTGATTATTATGTATCCATAAGATTGAATACTATGTTATAAAAATCTTATGAAAGAATGTTCCATAAAGCATAATGTTTGCAATATGCTGTTCAATGTGAAAAGCAGTTTACAAAGCAATACGTAGAAAATGATTCCAATTTTTAAAAGGAAATGTGTACAAAAAAAAAAAAGACTGGAGAGGTTTACAACACAGTTTTGATCATGGTTACCCGCCCCCCAGTGGTATTACAAGTTATTTTCTTCCTTTTGTTTTATTTTTCTGAGACAGAGTCTCTCTCTGTTTGGAGTACAGTATCACAATCTCGGCTCACTGCAACCTCCGCCTCCCAGGTTCAAGCAATTATTTTGCCTCAGCCTCCCTAGTAGCTGGGATTACAGGCGCTTGCCACCATGCCCAGATAATTTTTGTATTTTTAGTAGAGACAGGGTTTTGTCATGTTGTCCAGGCTGGTCTTTAACTCCTGACCTCAAGCGATTGGCCACCTTAGCCTCCCAAAATGCTGGGATTACAGGCTTGAACCACTGTGCCCAGCCCTTATTTTCTTCCTTTCACTTGTTTGTGTTTTCCAGATTTTTTTTCACCAGCTTGTGTAACTTTCACTATAAAGAACAACAACAACAAAAAAAAACTTTAAGAGTAATTTTTAAAAGAAGAGAAAAGCAGCTGGGTTTAATATGTTACAATCCCCCAGAGGAGGGAGTAGGAGAGGGCCCTACAAAAGAGGCAAAAAATTCAGGAGCGCTGTTCTAGAAAAGATTTAGGAGTTGAACACTAAAGCATTCCCACAGATTGGATAATCCAGGAAAATGGGTAGAGCAGTTTACAGATATACAAATCCACAGATTAAGATGTCTTTTTTTTTTTTTTTTTTTTGAGACGGAGTCTCGCTCTGTCACGAGGCTGGAGTGCAGTGGCATGATCTCACCTCACTGCAACCTCCGCCTCCTGGGTTCAAGCAATTCTCCTGCCTCAGCCTCCTGAGTAGCTGGGACTATAGGCACACGCCACCATGCCCAGCTAATTTTTGTATTTTTAGTAGAGATGGAGTTTCACCATGTTGGCCAGGATGGTCTCGATCTCTTGACCTCGTGATCCGCCTGCCTTGTCCTCCCAAAGTGCTGGGATTACAGGCGTAAGCCAGCACGCCTGGCCTAAGATGTCTTTTAAAACGTTGCGAGGGGGCAATTCCAAGATGGCCAAATAGGAACAGCTTCAGTCTACGTCTGCCAGCGTGAGCAACGCAGAAGATGGGTGATTTCTGCATTTCCAACTGAGGTACTTGGTTCATCTCACTGGGGCTCGTAGGACAGTGGGGTCAGGACAGTGGGTGCAGCCCGCAGAGTGTGAGCCGAAGCAAGGCGAGGCATCCCCTCACCCAGGAAGCGCAAGGGTTCAGGGAATTCCCTTTCCTAGTAAAGGGAAGGGCTGACAGATGGCACCTGGAAAATCATGTCACTCCCACCCTAATACTGCACTTTTCCAATGGTCTTAGCAAACAGCACACCAGCAGATTATATCCCATGCCTGGCTCGGGGGGTCCCACGCCCACGGAGCCTCACTCATTGCTAGCACAGCAGTCTGAGATCGAACTGCAAGGAGGCAGCAAGGCGGCTGGGGGAGGGGCGCCCGCCATTGCTGAGGCTTGAGTAGGTAAACAAAGGGACTGGGAAGCTCGAACTGGGTGCAGCCCACCGCAGCTCAAGGAAGCCTGCCTGCCTCTGTAGACTCCACCTCTGGGGGCAGGGCATGGCCGAACAAAAGGCAGCAGAAACCTCAGCAGACATAAATGTCCCTGTCTGACAGCTTTGAAGAGAGTAGTGGTTCTCCCAGCATGGAGTTTGAGATCTGAGAACAGGAAGACTGCCTCCTCAAGTGGGTCCCTGACCCCCGAGTAGCCTAACTGGGAGGCACCCCCCAGTAGGGGCAGATTGACACCTCACACGGCTGGGTACCCCTCTGAGACGAAGCTTCCAGAGGAACAATCAGGCAGGAACATTTGCTGTTCAGCAATATTCGCTGTTCTGCAGCCTCTGCTGCTGATACCCAGGCAAACAGGGTCTGGAGTGGACCTCCAGCAAACTCCAACAGACCTGCAGCTGAGGGTCCTGACTGTTAGAAGGAAAACTAACAAACATAAAAGTCAACCACACCACAAAACCCCATCTGTATGTCACCATCATCAAGGACCGAAGGTAGATAAAACCACAAAGATGGGGAAAAAACAGAGCAGAAAAGCTGAAAATTCTAAAAACCAGAGCACCTCTCCCCCTCCAAAGGAACACAGCTCCTCGCCAGCAATGGAACAAAGCTGGACAGAGAATGACTGACAAGTTGAGAGAAGAAGGCTTCAGACGATCAAACTACTCCAAGCTAAAGGAGGAATTTCAAACCCAACATAAGCTAAAAACCTTGAAAAAAGATTAGATGAATGGCTAACTAGAATAACCAGTGTAGAGAAGTCCTTAAATGACCTGATGGAGCTGAAAACCATGGCACGAGAACTACGTGACGAATGCACAAGCTTCAGTAGCCGTTTCGATCAACCAGAAGAAAGGGTATCAGTGATTGAAGATCAAATGAATGAAATGAAGCGAGAAGAGAAGTTTAGAGAAAAAAGAGTAAAAAGAAACGAACAAAGCCTCCAAGAAATATGGGACTATGTGAAAAGACCAAAGCTACATCTGATTGGTGTACCTGAAAGTGACGGGGAGAATGGAACCAAGTTGGAAAACACTCTGCAGGATATTATCCAGGAGAACTTCCCCAACCTAGCAGGGCAGGCCAACGTTCAAATTCGGGAAATACAGAGAATGCCACAAAGATACTCCTGGAGAAGAGCAACTCCAAGACACATAATTGTCAGATTCACCAAAGTTGAAATGAAGGAAAAAATGTTAAGGACAGCCAGAGAGAAAGGTCAGGTTACCCACAAAAGGAAACCCATCAGACTAGCAGCAGATCTCTCAGCAGAAACTCTACAAACCAGAAGAGAGTGGGGGCCAATATTCAACATTCTTAAAGAAAAGAATTTTCAACCCAGAATTTCATATCCAGCCAAACTAAGCTTCATAAGTGAAGGAGAAATAAAATCCTTTACAGACAAGCAAATGCTGAGAGATTGTGTCACCACCAGGCCTGCCCTACAAGAGCTCCTGAAGGAAGCACTAAACATGGAAAGGAACAACCAGTACCAGCCACTTCAAAAACATGCCAAATTGTAAAGACCATTGATGCTAGGAAGAAACTACATCAACTAATGAGCAAAATAACCAGCTAACATTATAATGACAGGATCAAATTTACACGTAACAATATTAACCTTAAATGTAAATGGGCTAAATGCTCCAATTAAAAGACACAGACTGGCAAATTGGATAAAGAGTCAAGACCCATCAGTGTGCTGTATTCAGGAGACCCATCTCACGTGCAGAGACACACATAGGCTCACAATAAAGGGATGGAGGAAAATCTACCAAGCAAATGGAAAACAAAAAAAGGCAGGGGTTGCAATCCTAGTCTCTGATAAAACAGACTTTAAACCAACAAAGATCAAAAGAGATAAAGAAGGCCATTACATAATGGTAAAGGGATCAATTCAACAAGAAGAGCTAACTATCTTAAATGTATATGCACCCAATGCAGGAGCACCCAGATTCATAAAGCAAGTCCTTAAAGATCTACAAAGAGACTTAGACTCCCACACAATAATAATGGGAGACTTTAACACCCCACTGTCAACATTAGACAGATCAGTGAGACAGAAAGTTAACAAGGATATCCAGGATTGAACTCAGCTCTGCACCAAGCGGACCTAATAGACATCTACAGAACTCTCCATCCCAAATCAACAGAATATACATTCTTCTCAGCACCACATCGCACTTATTCCAAAATTGACCACATAGTTGGAAGTAAAGCACTCCTCAGTGAATGTGAAAGAACAGAAATTATAACAAACTGTCTCTCAGACCACAGTGCAATCAAACTAGAACTCAGGATTAAGAAACCCACTCAAAACTGCTCAACTACATGGAAACTGAACAACCTGCTCCTGAATGACTACTGGGTACATAACAAAATGAAGGCAGAAATAAAGATGTTCTTTGAAACCAATGAGAACAAAGACACAACATACCAGAATCTCTGGTACACATTTAAAGCAGTGTGTAGAGGGAAATTTATAGCACTAAATGCCCACAAGAGAAAGCAGGAAAGATCTAAAATTGACACCCTAACATCACAATTAAAAGAACTAGAGAAGCAAGAGGAAACACATTCAAAAGCTAGCAGAAGGCAAGAAATAACTAAGATCAGAGCAGAACTGAAGGAGATAGAGACACAAAAAACCCTTCAAAAAATCAATGAATCCAGGAGCTGGTTTTTTGAAAAGATCAACAAAATTGATAGACTGCTAGCAAGACTAATAAAGAAGAAAAGAGAGAAGAATCAAACAAATGCAATAAAAAATGATAAAGGGGATATCGCCACTGATCCCACAGAAATACAAACAACCATCAGAGAATACTATAAACACCTCTATGCAAATAAACTAGAAAATCTAGAAGAAATGGATAAATTCCTGGACACATACACTCTCCCAAGACTAAACCAGGAAGAAGTTGAATCCCTGAATAGACCAATAACAGGCTCTGAAATTGAGGCAATAATTAATAGCCTACCAACCAAAAAAAGGCCAGGACCAGACAGATTCGCAGCCGAATTCTACCAGAGGTACAAGGAGGAGCTGGTACCATTCCTTCTGAAACTATTCCAATCAATAGAAAAAGAGGGAATCCTCCCTAACTCATTTTATGAGGCCAGCATCATCCTGATACCAAAGCCTGGCAGAGACACAACAAAAAAAGAGAATTTTAGACCAATATCCCTGATGAATATCGATGCAAAAATCCTCAATAAAATACTGACAAACTGAACCCAGCAGCACATCAAAAAGCTTATCCACCATGATCAAGTGGGCTTCATCCCTGGGATGCAAGGCTGGTTCAACATATGCAAATCAGTAAACGTAATCCAGCATCTAAACAGAACCAAAGACAAAAACCACATGATTATCTCAATAGAAGCAGAAAAGGCCTTTGACAAAATTCAACAGCCCTTCATGCTAAAAATTCTCAATAAATTAGGTATCGATTAGACGTATCTTAAAATAATAAGAGCTATTCATGACAAACCCACAGCCCATATCATATTGAATGGGCAAAAACTGGAAGCATTCCCTTTGAAAACTGGCACAAGACAGGGATGCCCTCTCTCACCACTCCTATTCAACATAGTGTTGGAAGTTCTGGCCAGGGCAATCAGGCAGGAGAAAAAAATAAAGGGTATTCAATTAGGAAAAAAGGAAGTCAAATTATCCCTGTTTGCAGGTGACATGATTTTATATTTAGAAAACCCCATCGTCTCAGCCCAAAATCTCCTTAAGCTGATAAGCAACTTCAGCAAAGTCTCAGGATACAAAATCAGTGTGCAAATATCACAAGCATTCTTACACACCAATAACAGAGAGCCAAATCATGAGTGAACTCCCATTCACAATTGCTTCAAAGAGAATAAAATACCTAGTAATCCATCTTGCAAGGGATGTAAAGGACCTCTTCAAGGAGAACTACAAACCACTGCTCAAGGAAATAAAAGAGGATACAAACAAATGGAAGAACATTCCATGCTCATGGATAGGAAGAATCAATAACGTGAAAATGGCCATACTGCCCAAGGTAATTTATAGATTCAATGCCATCCCCATCAAGCTACCAATGACTTTCTTCACAGAATTGGAAAAAACTACTTTAAAGTTCATATGGAACCAAAAAAGAGCCTGCATTGCCAAGTCAATCCTAAGCCAAAAGAACAAAGCTGGAGGCATCAAGCTACCTGACTTCAAACTATACTACAAGGCTACAGTAACCAAAACAGCATGGTACTGGTACCAAAACAGAGATATAGACCAGTGGAACAGAACAGAGCCCTCAGAAATAATACCATACATCTACAACCATCCGATCTTTAACAAACCTGACAAAAACAAGAAATGGGGAAAGGATTCCCTATTTAATAAATGGTGCTGGGAAAACTGGCTAGCCATATGTAGAAAGCTGAAACTGGATCCCTTCGTTACACCTTATACAAAAATTAATTCAAGATGGATTAAAGACTTAAATGTTAGACCTAAAACCATAAAAACCCTAGAAGAAAACCTAGGCAGTACCATTCAGGACACAGGCATGAGCAAGGACTTCATGTCTAAAACTCCAAAAGCAATGGCAACAAAAGCCAAAATTAACAAATGGGATCTAATTAAACTAAAGAGCTTCTGCACAGCAAAAGAAACTACCATCAGAGTGAACAGGCAACCTACAAAATGGGAGAAAATTTTTGCAATCTACTCATCTGACAAAGGGCTAATATCCAGAATCTACAAAGAACTCAAATTTACAAGAAAATAAAAACAATCCCATCAAAAAGTAGGTGAAGGATATGAACAGACACTTCTCAAAAGAAGACATTTATGCAGCCAACAGACACATGAATAAATGCTCATCATTACTGGCCATCAGAGAAATGCAAATCAAAACCACAATGAGATACCATCTCACACCAGTTAGAATGGCAATCATTCAAAAGTCAGGAAACAACAGGTGCTGGAGAGGATGTGGAGAGATAGGAACACTTTTACACTGTTGGTGGGACTGTAAACTAGTTCAACCATTGTGGAAGACAGTGTGGCGATTCCTCAAGGATCTAGAACTAGAAATACCATTTGACCCAGCCATCCCATTACTGGGTATATACCCAAAGGATTATAAATCAGGCTGCTGTAAAGGCGCATGCACACATATGTTTATTGCGGCACTATTCACAATAGCAAAGACTTGGAACCAACCCAAATGTTCATCAAAGATAGACTGGATTAAGAAAATGTGGCACATATACACCATGGAATACTATGCAGCCATAAAAAAGGATGAGTTCATGTCCTTTTTAGGGACATGGATGAAGCTGGAAACCATCATTCTCAGCAAACTATTGCAAGAACAAAAAACCAAACACCACATGTTGTCACTCATAGGTGGGAATTGAACAATGAGAACACTTGGACACAGGAAGGGGAACATCACACACCGGGGCCTGTTGTGGGGTGGGGGGAGGGGGGAGGGAAAGCATTAGGAGATATACCCAATGTAAATGACGAGTAAACGGGTGCAGCACACCAACATGGCACATGTATACATATGTAACAAACCTGCATGTTGTGCACATGTACCCTAGAACTTACAGTATAAAAAAAGAAATGTTGCAAGACCACATATTTTTTTCATTTCTTTCTGGGACAGGATTAGAGGATCTGGAAGTCTCTGAAGCCCTTGGGGGATGGGGGTGGGAAAGTCAGGGGAGGGAGAGAGACAGTGCCAGGCTGGGGGTAGTAGAGCTTCGCGGTGGGGGACAGAGCCCAGGTCAGCCTGCCACCACCTTCAGATCCTGGCTTGCATTTACCGTCTGCGCAACTTTAGGCAAGTTATCAAACTTCTCTGTCCCTCAGTTTCCTCCCAAGGATAATAACAGTGCCTACCACATCAAGTGAATTAAAACACTAGAGCGTTGAGAACAGTGCCTGCACATGGGGGTGCTCTATTAATGTTAGCTGCTTGCCAAGCACTCTGTGTGACCTTTGGCAATTCATTGGCTTTCTGTCTTTAATTTCCACAAGATGGATACATTTAAAAATTAAAAAGCAACCCAAAAACTTAGCTAGGCATGGTGGCTCTTGCCTGTAGTTCCAGCTACACGGGCAGCTGAGTAGGAGGATCTCTTGGGCTCAAGAGTTCGAGGCTGCGGTGAGCTATGATCACGCCACTGCACTTCAGCCTGGGTGACACGGCAAGACCCTGCCAGGCAGTGTAGAAGAGGAAAACCTTCCTGAATTCAAAGTTAGGCCCCCCCTCCGCTGGCTCAGGTAGTTCAGACCATGAACAATCATTGATACCTTGTAGGCGAACTCCAGCTAGGCAGTCAGCTCCATGGGAAAGAAGACCTCTACTCCCAGCAGGGCCTGAGGTATAGTAGGAGCTCAATGAATTCTTGTTGAATGAATAAATCAATTTAGTACTGTGAGCTGGATGGAGATGCATGATAATAGATTTCCTCATCCAACATTCCCAAATATTTGGGGATTTTCTACTTGTTCTTTTATTAATGGTTTATAGCTGAATTCTGTTGTAGTCAAACAACATATTCTGCATAATATCATTGTATCTTAATATCTTAATATGTTTGTATCATTATATGTTCCATGTGTCCCTGGAGCATAGCTGCCTTCTGCAGTTGCTGAGTACAGTTTATAGAAACTTGTGAATTAGGTTAAGTTTGTTAATTATGTCATTCACATCTTCAACCCCAGGATTTTTCTGTGTCTTCTATCCGTTACTGACAGAGGTGTGTAAAAATCTCCCACTCTGATTATGAATTTGTCTATTTTTTCCTTTTAGTTCTATCAATATTTCTTTTATATATATTGAAGCTATGCACGTACGTTTAGAAGAGTTACATTATCCTGGTGGATTGACTTTCATTATCGTAAACTGTCCCTTTTTGTCTCTGGTAATGTTTCTTGTGTTAAGGTCAGCTTGATCGTACAAGTTTCCCTCTGGTTAATGTACGCATGGTATATCTGTTTCCATCCTTTTACATTAAGCCTCTGTGTCTCTTCTAAGAAATATAAAGCTGGATTGGGCTGGGCGTGGTGGCTCACACCTGTAATCCCAGCACTTTGGGAGGCTGAGGCGGATGGATCACTTGAGGTCAGGGGTTTGAGACCAGCCTGGCCAACATGGTGAAACCCCATCTCTACTCAAAATACAAAAATTGGCCAGGCGTGGTGGTACATGCCTGGAATCCCAGCTACTCGAGGGGCTAAGGCAGGAGAATCGCTTGAACCCAGGAGGCAGTGGTTGCAGTGAGCTGAGATCGCGCCACTGCACACTCCAGCCTGGGCAACAGAGCAAGACTCCATCTCAAAAAAAAAAAAGAAAAAGAAATGTAAAGCTGAATTGTTTTGTTATATTCGTTCTGATGATCTTTGTCTTTTAATTGGAGTATTTATTTTATCTAATGTAATTACTGATATATTGGAGTTTAAACCCACCATCTAATATTTTTTCTATTTGTAACAATTGTTTTATGTTACTTTTTATTTGTTTTATTGCTTCAATTTTGGATTAATCAAGTATTTTTTAATTCTACCATTTCTCCCCCAAACCCCCTTATTAACCTGTTAGTTGTACTTTTCTTTCAGTATATGGTTCTTACAATGATTCCTATAAAGATTACAACATGCATTTATTAGACTTGCTAAAGTCTAATAGACAATAGTACTTTTACCACTTCCCAGACAACACAAGAACCTCAAACCACTTGAGCTCCATTTAATGCCTTCCTGCCTTTCGTGCTGCGCTTGCCATGCATTTTTTTTTTTTTTTTTTTTTTTTTTTTTTTTTTGAGACAGACTCTCACTCTTTCGCCCAGGCTGGAGTGCAGTGGCGTGACCTCGGCTCACTGCAACCTCCACCTCCTGGGTTCACGCCATTCTCCTGCCTCAGCCTCCCGAGTAGCTGGGACTACAGGTGCCCGCCACCATGCCCGGCTAATTTTTTGTATTTTTAGTAGAGACGGGGTTTCACCGTGTTAGCCGGGATGGGCTTGATCTCCTGACCTTGTGATCCGCCCGCCTCAGCCTCCCAAAGTGCTGGGATTACAGGCGTGAGCCACTGCACCCAGCCAGTTGCCATGCATTTTAATCATACATGTATTTTAAACCCCACAGGACATTCTTCCTGTTTTACACACTCGATCTTCATTGAGATTTACCTACATCATTTCCTACTTCATACTCTTCATTCCTTCCTACGCCTCCTTACTGACATCTGGGATGATTTTTCCTTTTGCCTGAAGAATTCCCTGTAGTATTTCCGTCTTGTGGGTATTCTGGTGACAGACTCGCTCCTCTTTTGTTTATCTGGGATGTCCTTATTTTACCTTCGTTCTCTTCACTGGGCACAGATTCTAGGCAGACTTATTTTTTTCCGCCCTTTGAAAATGTTGCGCTGTTGAAGTCTTGTCTCCTTATTTGTGTTGAGGGGACCAGCTGTTAGTCTTTCTGCTGCTCTTTCTAAGGTAACTCAGCTCCTCTACCCTGTGTTTAAGATTTTTCTTTCTATCTTGTCTTCTCTGCAGTTGGATTTCGATGTGCCCAGATGTGGTTTTCCTTGTAAACTATACTGTGTGGGCTTGATGTCTTTTGTCATTCTGGAAAATTCTAGGCCATTATTTCTTCCATTATTTCCTCTGCACATCCTTTCTCTCCTCTTCTTTGGGATTCCATTTATGGGAATGTCAGACCTTCCTATGCCCTGGCTTCTAGAGTGCAGCTCTTCAGGAATGCATCTGAGAGCCTGGAGCTGTTTAACAGGTCCCTTTGTCCTTGGCAGGTTCTGAACTCCCGGTCTCCCCAGTCCCTGGAGGCTGCCTGCAGCTTTGCTTAGCTTCTCAGCCTGTTGATCACTGCCGTGGAATTGGCGAGTATCTTCCGGGGGAAAGCAGAGACAAAAGTGAGCCTCACCTCAATGCCCTTCCCATCTCTCTGGATTCTTGGTTCCTTCAGTCCTTGGTGCCTCGGTAGCTTTCTCGTGTCTTCGAACATATGTTTTTAATATTTTACCTTCCTTTTCTAGTTGTTCTTGGCAGGTAGCTTTATCTACTGCAAGGTAGCCTGATACATCCAGAGGCAGATGTGTTGCTGAGCAGAAATGACAAAGAGGTGGTTTCTGTCCCTTGGGCCTGAGGGTCCGGTGGCAGAGCCAGACATGACAACAATGTAAAGCACCAGCAAAATGTGATGTCAAAGGGAAGCAGAAATACATTCAATCTGATAGGAGGACCTAGGAAGGTCTCTGTGAAGAACAGGAAGGATTGCACCAGGTGCCATTTGGAGGGGAGGGGAGGGGATGGAGGCGCGTTGTTCTAGGTGTCAAAAGCTGAAGCTGGTATAGGCTGATATGATGGGATGTGTGCCATGGGCAGGGCTGGGGTGAGAGAAGGGAGACACCGTCGTGGGAACCGAAGCAGGGAAGGTAGGCACGTGCCACACATAAAGGCTTTTGTATCCAAGCTGAACCAGGACTTTTTATATGGGATGGCACATTGGGAGTGACCCATTCTGGCTTTGCTTGCAGTAACTGTGCAACTCTGGCAAAATCTCTAACCCTCTCTGGTTCTTGATTTTGTTGTAAAATAAGAATCCTAATAATACCTGCCTCTTCTACTCCCCAAGGTTCTTGTGAGGCATAGGTAAGCTTGAGGATGCAGATGTGCTTTGATGGGAATGATGAGTGGCCAGGACCCTGATTCCCTTCAGAGCCACACTACTAGGGGGTCAGGCTGTGCGTTGGTCCGTTGGTCAGGAGCTATCACAGGAACCCTCCATCACTTTCTGGCCTTGTTTGTTAGTCACAGGATGAGCATGGCTGGCTCTCCGGTGACATCAGAAAGCTTTCCAAAATCCTCAGTTCTGACTGTCCCCCAGGCTCTAACATCTCCACCCCAGCATCCTCTTCGGGGCACTGAGCACTGCTGGTCACCCAACAGACATGGAACTGCCTCACTCCAAGGCAGATCATCCCTCCATGGGCAGCTCTGGACAGCTCTGACTACAGGAAAGTTAGCCAGTCCTTCCTCAAAGGTAGTGTGCCATGACCAGAAGAATATGATTAGCCTACTCCTCTGCATAGGGTTAAAATAAAATACCTTATGCCCCCACCTAAGCTTCCACCTGCTCATCCTGGTTTGGGGCCCTGCATGTTTCTCCACAAGACACACGTGTGCTCCTTTTAAAATCGTCTCCTCTTTTCTCTGAATTACGGGAGGACCAAGATACACGAGGTCTCTTGCTACATGATTTCACTCGGGAATTCTTAGAGGTAGGCTCCACCAGATACGATGACCAGGACCTTGAGGATTTTAAAACTCATTTAGCATTGCAGCCCTCAAAGCTGACGGGAAAATTATAATTCATCTAGCAAATGTTCCTGTAGTGTTTTGGGGTGCCATTCATTTAATGGAGGGTGGGTGTGTTGAACATCCTGCCCTCACCCCTTCAGACCCGCTCCTTCTCCACCGGCCCCCATGTTCCAGGAGGCTGTCCCACACGGGCTCCCTCAATGGGCTCAGCTCCCTTGCCAGTGGCTTCGAGTTGAAGGGGGCTGGGTTTGCCTAATAGGAGGCACCAGAATGATTCAAAGACGGGAGGAAAGGGAGTCAGGTATTTATTCTCCCTCCCATGTCCCCGCCGTTGCCATGGGTTGGCTCTGAGACCCTCCAGTGAGGGCCACAGCTCCTAAGAGACAGCTCCCTCTGCCAGTCTCCAGTTCTCACCCCCGCAGGCTCCCTTCAAGCCTAGGGTGGTCACAGCCCCCTCTGAGTCGCCAGCCCTAGGGTGTGACACCGGCCTTTGTTAGTTCTGCAGAACTCTGCCGGCATGTCCGTAGTCTTAAAAAACTCTCCTTAAATTAAGTTGGAGTGTGTTCTGTTCCCTGCCAGGAACTCTACTGGAAAAAGCATTCTAGAGAGATGACAAGGCAGTAGGTAAAGGAGGTGGGACCTCCCAGCCCTGCATGGTGGAAATGTAGGAGTGGGGCTGGATTGGCGTCGAGAATGGACGAGCTTTCCATATTAAGCCAAGGGGTATGAAATCGCTGGTTCTCTATGTAGGTCTCCGTAGCCCCACGTTCCCATCCTAACGCATCTCTCCTCTCTTCCAGAAAGCTCCTGCTGCTTCTGTACCCCGCCTGTCCCTCCCAGCTGCGCAGGGCCCCTTCGTGGGATCATCAGCCCGAAGACAGGGATGGAGAGGCCTCTGTGCTCCCACCTCTGCAGCTGCCTGGCTATGCTGGCCCTCCTGTCCCCCCTGAGCCTGGCACAGTATGACAGCTGGCCCCATTACCCCGAGTACTTCCAGCAACCGGCTCCTGAGTATCACCAGCCCCAGGCCCCCGCCAACGTGGCCAAGATTCAGCTGCGCCTGGCTGGGCAGAAGAGGAAGCACAGCGAGGGCCGGGTGGAGGTGTACTATGATGGCCAGTGGGGCACCGTGTGCGATGACGACTTCTCCATCCACGCTGCCCACGTCGTCTGCCGGGAGCTGGGCTACGTGGAGGCCAAGTCCTGGACTGCCAGCTCCTCCTACGGCAAGGGAGAAGGTAAACGCTCTGTGCTTTGGATCTGAGTGCTGTCACCTGGCAAGGCCCGGAGTGGCCTTCCCTGAGGTCAGCCTGGGAGAGGAGGCTGCACGCACTGCGAAGTGTAAATTCTTGGTGATGCCCATCCAGGGACTGGCATCCTTCTGTGCCCACTCAGGCTGCACCCTGCAGGAAGGCGGGGTCGGGGGGCTTGAGGAGGGGCACAGTAAGTGACCAACCATACTGATTTGCCCAAGACTTTCCTGGCTTTAGCACAGAAAGTCTCACATCCTGGGAAAACCTCAGGAAAACCAGGACAGTTGGTGACCCCAGGTAGGGGGTGAAATCGGCCTGTGCTCCTCTCTCCGCCCCATATGCCCTGCCTGGGGGCTGCGTCAGCCCAGAGGAAGTTGCGCTTTACTCCAAATCGTTCCCTGTTAGGAAAGCCTCTTGCTCTTCCTCACAATGGCTCCCACATGCTGGAGCTCCCTGACGCCCCCCACCTTCCTGGCATGTGGAGTTCATCGTTTTCACACTAACCTGCTATTGTGGGCTTGGTCACAATAGGCACACAGATGCTTTGGGTTTTTCACCGTTGGTTAGCCTATTCTTTCCTCCCTTGTGAGGTTCAAATTTATTAGTTTATTTTTAAAAATTGTTTTAAGAGCTGGCCAGGCGCAGTGGCTCATACCTGTAATCCCAGCACTTTGGGAGACGGAGGCGGGATGATCACTTGAGGTCAGGAGTTCGAGACCAGCCTGGCCAACATGGGGAAACCCCATCTCTACTAAAAATACAAAAATTAGCCGGGCATGGTGGCGAGTGTCTGTAGTCCCAGCTACTCAGGAGGCTAAGGCACAAAAATCGCTTGAACCCGGGAGGCGGAGGCTGCAGTGAGCCGTGATCGCGCCACTGCACTCCAGCCTGGGTGACAGAGCGAGACTCCATCTCAAAAAAACAAAAAACAAAACAAAAACCCAAAAAATTGCTTTAACAGCTTTGAGGCAGGACAAAGTTTGAAGCCCTGAACCTAGAGCTCAGTCTGTACTGACCTCTGACACCACACTTTGTAGGAAGACGCATGTCCTCTCCAGCCTCATTTTCCCCATCTGGAAGTTGGGCTAAGAACCCCTGAAACCCTGACAGTGTATGTTCCCAAATAGGAAAGAGATAAGGGTGGAGGGAATTGTTTCTTTTTAAACATTTTTCCAGGAGCTAAGAGTTTCCTATCTCTGGGTCAGCCAGGCAAAGGAAGCTCCCACACCCTCCCGCCCGGCTGAGCTGCAGCCCAGACCTCAGCACAAGTCTGGCTACTGGACTAAAGCAGAGCTGCCTATACTCCTGTCCTGGACTAAAGGGCTAATGCCATGCTGACTGCGTAAGAATCGCCCAAGGGAGCTTAAAAGTACAGAATAGCGCAGACCTCAACCCACCATAATCTAGTTTAAAAGGTCTGGGCTGGAGCCCAGGACTCTGTCTCTTTTGGAAGTCTGCAAAGTGACAGGTTTGGGAGTCATTGAAATTGATAACTGTTATCCTCCCTTCCAACTTTTCTGTTATTCTAGAAATTATAGGAGAAAGGAAGTCCCATCTCATACACATCTCACCTCCATGCAATTGAAAATTTCCTTTTGGGGTAACTGGATCAGGAGACAGCACAGAGTCAAATGTTCTCTGCAGCTTGCTCTGGGCGATGAGAGCCACAGCAGTGAAGTTAGCAAATGCTGGGCTTTAGAACCCACTTCCTGTCTTCTTTAAACAAACGTCCGATACTTCCACATCTCTGTTTATCCGGCTGGCTGAGCGATCCAGGGGTAACCTCAGATTCATGTTTTCCATTCCAGGCTTTCCAACGCTCATTATTTTATAACAAATGCTTTCCAGTGACTGGGTATTTTTCCAGTGACAACTTAATTTTATTTCAACCTCAATTTAAAACACCTGTTGTCAGACAAGGGGGTTGTGGTTTTTCCCTATCAGGAGCAGGCACGGGGTAGTAGGAGACAGGTTTTTACCCAGGTGGGACTTTGCCATCCAAGCGTGGTGAAGAGTGAAAAGTTCCAAGGAGTGGAGGGAATATGAAAGGGAAGGATTAAACTCATGGTCCAAGGAGACTGTGCTGGGTAAGGAGGGTTGTAATAAGTGGAGAAGTTGAAGGATTGTGCATAGCTGCTGTGATCACTGGATTGCGAGTCTCTGTTCAGATGGAGATACAAGAAGTTTACTAAAAGATGAAGGGAGCTGTGTGTGGGTGCAGAGCAGGAAAGGTGAAATGGAGATTGAAGGGTGGGTGCAATCTCTGGTAATGAGAGACCTGAGCTATGACCATGGGACAGCGGCTGGAGCAGGATGGAGGACAGTCTCTGAGAGAGGAGGTGTATTAACGAAGAGACCAGGAGTACTGGAAAGGTCATCTTTGTGGACATGGAAATCATCAAGGTTTATAAAAGGAATAACATCAAAGAGAGGAGAAAGAAACAGATGCTTGAAAAAAAAAAAACTCTGTCTTGTGTTCACGGCTTTACGAGTTAAGCTGCTTACGTGAAGTGGTGCTTCGTTTATGACATGAGAGACCTTTTTACATCTAAATTTATTTGAATTTCACCAGCATCAGTCCAGATCTTTATCACTGGGTACATGGTGGGCACTCAGTGAATATTAGCTAATTGATTCATTTTGATTTGGCAGAATAGGAAAAAGAGTTGGCAAAAGAGTTCTGGGTATAGTGAGCACAGAAAGTGGCCAGCGCCCAGGGCTTGCTCCGGTGGGGCTTAGGGGCTTAACGTGCCGGTCAGACCGTGGATAAGACTGCCCCTCCAGGACCCCTCAAGCTCCTCTGAACTTCAGGCTGGAGCAGTGAAACCAGGGAGGGCACCAGGGACGTTCTGGGTTTTCTAGCCTGGCCTGTTCACAGACTGTTCTCCCAAAGCATCTCTGAGCTCAGGTAAACCACAGGCCCTTTTAGGGAGTTCTGGAGGGAGCAGCTGTCCTGATTCTCAACCCCTGTTCGAGGTTATAGCAGCTGAAGCTAAGGTGGTTGCTCTCCTTCACCTGTCTTCAGAATCAGGAGGCTAAGCCTATTCCCAGTCACATCCCTCATTCTTTAGACCACAGCGACGAAGCCAGCGATAACCACATTGTTGTAACCCCACAGATTTTTTTCTTTCCTTTTCTTTGAGACAGAGTCTTGCTTTATCACCCAGGCTGGAGTGCAGTGGTGGGATCTAGGCTCACTGCAACCTTCGCCTCCCGAATTCAAGTGATCCTCCCATCTCAGCCCCCCGAGTAGCTGGGATTACAGGTGTGCGCCACTAGGCCCAGCTGATTTTTTTAATTCTATTTTTAGTAGAGACGGGGTTTTCCCACGTTGGCCAGGCTGATCTCAAACTCCTGGCCTCAAGTGATCTGCCCACCTTGGCCTCCCACAGTGCTAGGATTACAGGCGTGACCCACTGCACCCATTTGTGACCCCACACAGTCTAACTTGAATAATATCCATTGTCCTGGGCTCTGGCATTCCAACTGAATTTCATTTATGATTTTCACCTTCCTAATGATCTGTTAACTTGTATATATATATTTATCTCTTCTTTCATCAGGAGAGGCATTGGAAGCAAAGAGTAACATAAAATTTGGCTTCTGATTGAATGGCTTTCTTGTGTCCAAAGTTTGACTGTCATCTTGTGTCCCAAGGACACGGCTTTCCTGGCAGCTCTGAGGAGGCATCTACTGGATTGTACCTAGAACCGCCCTGCTTTTCAGCAGGCAGACCCAGAAGCTGGTTGCATTGGAATCGGAGTAGTCTAGTTAATAAGCACTAAGCCTGTAGAGGGAAAAAAAAGGGCCCTTTGCAGTGGCTCATGCCTGTAATCCCAGCCCTTTGGGAGGCTGAGGCAGGCAGATCACCTGAGGTCAGGTGTTCGAGACCAGCCTGGCCAACATGGTGAAATCCTATCTCTACCAAAAAATACAAAAATTAGCTGGGCATGGTGGCATGCGCCTTTGGTCCCAGCTACTTGGGAGGCTGAGGTGGGAGAATTGCTTGAACCTGGGAAGCGGAAGTTGCAGTGAGCTATGATTGCACCACTGCACTCCAGCCTGAGTGACAGAGTGAGACACTGTCTCAAAAAACAAAAAAAATTTTGTTATGAAATCAGGCCAAACGAGTATACCATGCATGGTGATGCTGTCTTGGGCTAAGTACAGATTCACATATCTGCCATCTAAGTAGAAATTGACCAAGCATATGTGGAAGGGGTCCATGGAAGATTATTGGGGGTCCATGGAAGTTTCATAAGAGAGCAGCTCTTTGGGGCAGGCTCCTTAGGGTCTCTGGTTTGCAGCTGTTCTCAGTTCCTTTGATGATGCACTGGTCGACTTCCAGGTCCTTAGCGAGGGGGGTTTCTCTCACTGCAGATGGAATAGGGTGCCACTGCTTTTCACCATCTCTGTCACTTTGGCAGCTTTGCGACAGAACATTCCGCTTAGAACATGGAGGGTCTTCCCTGTTGCTAGTAACTTAGCAAGACAAACATTGGTTTGTTGTTGAGACAGCAATCGATTAGGGAGTGTATGTTTCAGTGGAGCTTGACTGCTTGGAAACCGGGCCAAAATGAGAAGCCAGTTGGAAAACCTCAGCCCAGATGTTTTCAATTAGCTCTTTGTTCTCCACAATGGATCCAAGGTGCTGTCGTTTGAGCCCTGACCAGCAGCCGTGAGAACAGACACGTTTCAGCAGGGCCTGGACGTCAGGAGACTGGCCCCGGGGTGCTTATCGACCTTGAAGAGCCTCCGTTTCTTTCCTTGGTTTTCTAATCTCTCCAATGGGAATGTTTTTATTTGCTTTTCTCTTACATCGTGGAAGCAGTAGAATGCATTGCTTTTCTGAAGGACTGGAAGAAGGAAAGGGAAAGGGAGGTTGAAAGCGTACCAGGCACATACATTACCTCATTGAGTCTCCATGGCAACCTGTTTGCTCAGCATCATTATTTTGCCTTTAGAAATGAGAAGCAGGTGTGGTGAGGTAGTCGACCACATCACACAGTGCCCCAGTGTGTGGCAGATGGAACTTGAACCCAGGTTTGTTTGACTATGTCTGCTGCTCTAGACTCCTAAAAGGAGCGGTGAGAAAAATGAGAGGTTTAGATTTGTTTTCTTTCATTTTGCAGTGGCACTTATAAAAATCACTATTTGAAAATCCTCTAGCACTTTATAATTAAAAAAAAATTATGGCCAAATGTACATCACATAAAATTTACCACCTTAACTTTTTGGATTTTTTTTCTGGAGACAGGGTCTCCCTGTCACCCAGGCTGGAATGCAATGGCACAATCACAGCTCACTGCAGCCTCAACCTTCTGGGCTCAAGCAATTCTCCCACCTTGGCCTCCTGAATAGCTGGGACTACAGGCGTGCGCCACCATGCCCAGCTAAATGTTTTGATTTTTAGTAGAGATGAGGCCTCGCTATATTGCCCAGGCTGGTCTCGAACTCCTGAGCTTGAATGATCCTCCCGCCTTGGCCTCCCGAAGTGTTGAGATTACAGGCATGAACTGTGCCCAGCCCAGCCTTAAACATTTTTAAGTGTCCAGTTCAGTAGTGTTAAGTATATTCACATTGTTGTGCAACCATCATCAGCAGAACTTTTCCATTTTGCAAAACTGAAACTGCACCGATTAAACAACCACCTCCATTTCTTTCTCATCCCAGGCCCTGGCAGCCACCACTCTACTTTCTGTTTCAATGAATTTGACTCCTCTAGATACCCCATACAATATTTGTCTTTTGGGATGGGCTTATTTCACTTAGCATAGTGTCTTTATTGCAGCAGGTTTCAGAGTTTCCTCCCTTCTGAAGGCTGACTAATATTCCATCGTATGGATAGACCACATTTTGTTAATGGAGACTTGGGTTGCTTCCACCTCTTGGCTATTGCGAATAATACTGTTATGAACACAGGTGTGTAGATATCTCTTAGAGACACTGTTTTCAATTCTTTTGCTGGATCATATGGTAATGTTATTTTTAATTTTTTAAGGAAACACCGTACTGTTTTCTATAGTAGCTGCACCATTTTGTGTTCCCATCAACAGTGCACAAGGGTTCCAGTTTCCATACCCTTGCCAGCACTGTCATTTTCTGTTTTTTTTGTTTGTTTTGTTTTGTTTTGTTTTGTTTTTGAGACGGAGTCTTGCTCTGTCACCAGGCTGGAGTGCAGTGGTGTGATCTCAGCTCACTGCAACCTCTGTCTCCCGGGTTCAAGCGATTCTCTGCCTCAGCCTCCCGAGTAGCTGGGATTACAGGCACGTGCCACCACGCCTGTCTAATTTTTTGTATTTTAGTAGAGACGGGGTTTCACCATGTTGGCCAGGATGGTCTCGATCTCCTGATCTTGTGATCCACCTGCCTTGGCCTCCAAAAGTGCTGGGATTACAGGCGTGAGCCACTGCCTGGCCCATTTTCTGTTTTTTTGATAGTAGCCATCCTAAGGGTGTGAGGTGGTGTTTCACTGTGGTTCACCCTCTAACACTTTGCACGCTGAATTCTCTACTTAGTGCAAGTGAGGCAAAAAAACAGGAGGTAAGCAGAGTCCCTTGGCGGCCTTCTGAAACATGATGAGGTGGCTCCGTGGGCCAGTCTGGCTGGGCTGTCTCTGAGCCA
The DNA here is from genome assembly GCF_000001405.40 of Homo sapiens. NCBI lineage: Eukaryota > Metazoa > Chordata > Mammalia > Primates > Hominidae > Homo > Homo sapiens. The sequence continues at coordinate 23,361,357 of NC_000008.11, read as the reverse complement.
GCGATGGGAAATATTGGGAAGTAAGAGGAGCTGAATAGGAAGTCAAGGCCCAGGCTTCTGGGTTCAAGGGGTGGTGGGATAATCATGCCACTTCGTCCTCTTGCTATGGGAAAACCAAGGAGATACTACATGTGAAAATGCCTTAAAAACCTCAAACCAGGCCGGGCGCAGTGCCTCACGCCTGTAATCCCAGCACTTTGTGAGGCTGAGGCAGGCAGATCACGAGGTCAGGAAATCAAGACCATCCTGGCCAACATGGTGACACTCCATCTCTACTAAAATACAAAAAATTAGCCAGGGGTGGTGGCATGCGCCTGTCGTCCCAGCTACTTGGGAGGCTGAGGCAGGGGAATCACTTGAACCTGGGAGGCGGAGGTTGAAGTGAGCCAAGATCACGCCACTGCACTCCAGCCTGGCGACAGAGCAAGACTCTGTCTAAAAAAAAAACAAAAAACAAAAAAAACCCCACAAACCTCAAACCTTCAGTGGCAGGAGAGTTTACTTTTTCCCTGAAGGGTCAAAGTTCAGCCTCTGCTATGGATGGAAGGTGAGACTGGCTTATGCCATAATCAGTGTCACTAAAACATCATCATCATCGTCATCATTATCATCATCATCACTATTTTTAGTAACTGTGACCAGCAATGAACTAGGCACAGGCTTCGTAGTATCTCTAATCTGCACACAGCTGTGCAGCTGAAGTGTCATTGTTAGCCCCACTTTACTGATAAGAAAAAGGGCCCTTGACCAAGGTTATACAGCTAAGTGGCTGAACGAGAACTCAAACCCAGCTTGGTACCCAAAGCCCCGCTCTTTCCACTATCCCATGCAACTTCTGGGCTTAAATCTAACTTCTATCCTAATCATGTTAAATCTACTACATTCCCAGATCACATCAGGTGCTTACTGTGGTCCAGGAATCCCCATGGTTTAGAGTTATGTGCAATATCTTAATATAATAAAAATGGATGGCCACACACAGCTGCCAAAATTAGAGAAAAATTCTCTTTCCATGTGAGACACTGGTGCCCCGCAAAGACTCAGACCTGCATTGACGCAGCACTTGGTTTCTCTCCTCTCTGCCTCCTTCAGGGCCCATCTGGTTAGACAATCTCCACTGTACTGGCAACGAGGCGACCCTTGCAGCATGCACCTCCAATGGCTGGGGCGTCACTGACTGCAAGCACACGGAGGATGTCGGTGTGGTGTGCAGCGACAAAAGGATTCCTGGGTTCAAATTTGACAATTCGTTGATCAACCAGATAGAGGCAAGTCATGTGCTCTTGATGTTTCCTTCATGCAAACATTTTTCCTCTTCCATGCAACTCGCTTTTTGCGTATTGATTTCAAGAAGTGTGTGTGAGCAGGAAGGAGGGTACCTCACCCAATGGGATTAGATACAAGGGCAGTTTAGGGAAGGATTTCTGGAGAAGGGAATCCCATCCATGGGGAAAGGGCATTCCAGGCACAAGGAACAGCATGGGCAGAGGCACAGAGGTGTGAAGGTTGGGCTGGGGTAAGCAGAGCGTGATCTCAGGGAGAGTGCATCTGGGAGTAGGGTTAACTGAAGCTGGAAAGATGGGCATGAAACACCTCCGGTGCCATGCTCAGGAGCTTGCCCTTTGGGTGGGAAAATGTATTAGTTATCAATTGCTGCGTAACAAATTGCCCCCAGGTTTTGCAGCTGAAAAGAGTGAATCTTTATTATCTTGCACAGTTTGTGAGAGTCAGGAATTGAGGAAGGGCTTAGCTACTTGATTCTCCTCAGCGTCTCTCATGGAGTTGCACTCAGGCTGTCAATGGGGGCTGGAAGGTCCCCTCCCACGCAGGCTCTTATGGTTGTTGGCAGGCTGTGGTTCCTTGCTAGCTGTAGACTGCAGCCCTCTGTTCTTCTCTATGTGGCCTCTTCGTAGGCTGCCTGAGTGGCCTCAGGACATGGTGGTTGTCTTCCCTCAGAGTGAGTGAGGCAAAGGAGAGTGAGAGAAAGAACACAGGATGGAAGTCATGTTTCATAACTTAATCTTGGAAGTGATAGGCCATCATTTCTGCTGTATTCTATGGATCACACAGACTAACTCTGGTAGAGAGTGGGAGGAGATTACACAAATGTGTGACACCAGGTAGGGTTGCTGGGGCCATCTTGGAAGCTGGCTACCACTGGCCAATGTAGCTGAGGGTTGGAATCACTTTAAAAATGCAGGTACTGGGTCGGGCGCGGGGGCTTATGCCTGTAATCCCAGCACTTTGGGAGGCCGAGGCGGGCAGATCACGAGGTCAGGAGATCGAGACCATCCTGGCTAACACGGTGAAACCCCGTCTCTACTAAAAATACAAAAAAAAGAAAAAAAAATAGCCAGACGTTGTTGTGGGTGCCTGTAGTCCCAGCTACTCAGGAGGCTGAAGCAGGAGAATGGCGTGAACCCAGGAGGCGGAGCTTGCACTGAGCTGAGATCGCACCACTGCACTCCAGCCTGGGTGACAGAGCGAGACTGTCTGAAAAAAAAAAAAAAAATGCAGGTACTGGGGCCTCCCCACTGACCCGCTGACTCAAAATATCCTGCTATGGGACTAGGTTATTTTTCTTTAAGCAGCCCCAGATTGATTCTGATGTTGCCAGACTGATAATTTCAGCATTTGAAAATCCACATTTATGGCTAAATTTCAGGGTTAGCTTTCCAGCAAATTCTTTATCCAAACAGTTAACACACACTTATTACATTACTCTTATGTGCAACATATGTGGGGCTTAGGACAGGAGGAATTGGCAGCTAACACTCCTGTCCTCAAGGAACATGTCAGATGCCACCCCCAAGGGATTATGGGATCTGCCCCAAATCCAGACCAAGGAACCTTCGCTGTGCTTCAGCCTCCAGCTGAACCCAGCACTAATGCAGAAGAAAGGTGACTTGAAATTGCCCTACTTGGGTTCCAGAGGAAGTTCTCCCAAGACTGTGGCCTTTACTGTCATGGCTCACACAGTCCTTCTCTCTCCATATATGTTCCCAAGCGTGCTGGGAATTTGCCCAACCCTGCTGTATAGCATAGGAAAGGATTTCCAGGCTTCTCTCAGCTGTGGAGGAGACTGCTTATGGTTGACACCTGTCAAATGCTGCTATTTTATTGAAGATAACTAGAGAGATTGTGATGGAGTTGATATACTTTCGTCAGTCTTCAGTCACTGATGACAGCTTTGCTTTCTTTACCATGAAGTTTATGATCTGACGGATGGGCTTGTCCAACCCAGTTTCACAAAATTTTCCATCTTCATTCCTTATAACCTCATGAGCAATAATTAGCCCCCACTTATGTGGATCTTATCTCTCCCATGAGATTGGAAGCTCCCAGAGGGCAGGGGCTATATCTTATGTATCATTGTATGCAATAGATAAATTCTAGGTACCTAATGGGAACAACATCTCCAACTCCCAAATTCTCTTCTCCCCAGAAATGTGAGCCAGAAATTATTATCCCCTTAGGTGGAGAATCTCCCAGGATAAAATATTAAGCTAAACAGCAATGAGAAGCACATGGAAGCAAATAATTTCTTCACAGCTTGTTCTGCCTAATAGGACCATGAGCTGATTTGTAACATCTTAGATGGGCCTCTGTTCAACCTGAACCTCAGGATAATCTACTTGGAGTGTCCAGTGAAGACCCAGCCTTCTTGGCATAAGAAAGTCATTGATCATTGATGGCTTGAAAAAAAAAAAATAAGACAGGCCAAAACATCAGTGAGCTTTGTGTTGAGAAAATGATGAGAAGGCTCATCTGCCATTAGGAAAAAAAAAATGATTTTGGAAAAAGGACTCTGAGTGGCACTTCATTAGATTAGATTAGATTACCCAAACAATTAAATTAACACACACTGTTTGTGGAATACCTACTAAGTGCCAGTTCCAATGCTTAATAATTCCAGGGCGAAATAAGATGGGTCATTTCAAAAGCAGAATTTTCATGGGGTGGAATAAACACAGAAAAGACTGAAAAAGGCCGGGCGCAGTGGCTCATGCCCGTAATTCCCAGCACTTGGGAGGCCAAGGTGGGTGGATCACCTGAGGTCAGGAGTTCAAGACCAGCCTGGCCAAGATGGTGAAATCTCATCTCTACTAAAAATACAGAAATTAGCCAGGCATGGTGGTGGGTGCCTGTAATTTCAGCTACTCAGGAGGCTGAGGCAGGAGAATTGCTGGAACCTGGGAGGCGGAGGTTGCAGTGAGCCGAGATCCTGCCATTGCGCTCCAGCCTGAGCCAACAACAGCGAGACTCCGTCTAAAAAAAAAAAAAGAAGACTGAAAAAAAATATGTTGGAGACGACTTTCTTACTGTGGAAGGGCTGAGATTCCATGATGGGAAAGCTTAGCCCCACCTTTATTCTGGGCATTTGTTGGGTACCTGCTGGTTTGGGATACCAGCAGGGAAAGAAAACATGGCCCTTGTCCTCCAGCCCTTACAACCTGCAAGACAAGATGTACGCCTTGGAGAAAGCTGGAGATCCTTCCAAGGCAAGGAGCATGGGCCCTCACAAATCTCCAGAAACCCAGAGAGGGCAACCTATGGAGATGTCTGGCTTAAAGGGCCAGGTGACATCCACAGCCTTACACACTCTGCATTTTCCTAGAAGGCCTCCCTCTGGCTGTCAGACAGATCAGGCTGGTGACCACGAGCCAGGGGGACGCTTTCTGGCCCAACCACAGAGACTTAGGGAACTTTCATTGATGATCAGTCCCCTGCAACTTCTTCCCTTTGGTAGCCGCTGAAAGTAGGTCATGAAAGGGCCTAGACCTCAGGATGTCTGGGGAGAACCTCCTTGAGTTGCCAGAAGATTCTTGCATCCAGGGCTTTGTGGCTAAGGCTCATGCTTACTGGCAGTGCTGGCCTGATGGGTAGAGAACCGCCTGGACCACCTACGTGGGATATTTATGGGATGCTGAGACGTTTCTCCAAAATACCTTCTGGAATGGCCTGTATCAGTAGCTGAAGTCATAGGATCATTCCTCCCAGCTAAAGAAATGCCTGCTATTAAATTTTTGTGGATAAGAGGAAGAGACATAGCTTGTGGACGTGCAGTTGGGTGAAGTCATGAACATACTGACTAATGATACCCAGGGTGAACTGCTGACTAATTTGTGTAAACAGAGTGGATGGTCTCTGATGGTGAGCCCTAGGGCTCTGTTCCGGCCTCCCCATCATGTATCAGGAATGTTCATGGAAATTAAAAGGTATACTGATAAAATCTATGGGAGATACAAAACTAGGAGAGATTGCTGGAGTATAAAATTATGGAATGAACTTTCAGAAAAACTGCTGTAGGTTGAAATAATGGGCCCAAGCTGTAACATATTAGGGATGAATAGAAGGTCCTATATCAAAGTTCATGGGGAAAAAAACAGTCACAGAGTGCAGACTTTAGGGAGAGTAACTGAAAAACTATTGATCTTTTTTTTTAAAAGGCCTGTTGGGTTGGCTCACATCTGTAATCCCAGCACTTTGGGTGGCAGAGGTGGGCAGATTGCTTGAGCCCAGGAGTTTGAGACCAGCCTGGGCAATATGGCAAGACCGTGTCTCTACCAAATTAAAAAAATTAACGTGGCATGGTGGCATGTGCCTGTGGTCCCAGCTACCTGGGAGGCTGAGGTGGAAGGATTGATTGACCGTAGGAAGTGGAGGCTGCAGTGAGCCATGATGGTGCCACTGCATTCCAGCCTGGGTGACAACAGGGCGAGACCCTGTCTCAAAAAAAAAAAAAAAGAACAAATCTTTGAAGCGGCAGTGGTTGACTAAAAGCTCAGTATCAGCCAAGAGTATGATAGGGCTGCTAAAAAAAAAAAAAAAAAAAAAAAAAAAAGTGAATGTCAACTGCTTTACAGATAGAAGAATTATTTCCTTAAGCTCCTTGCCTTTTGGACCAGTCGCTGACTGCAGGGTTCAGTTCTGGATCCAGATCTTAACCAGGTCACCAGAGGAAAGGCCAACAGGATGGAGACAAATCTGGAAACCATATCATGAGGAAATGAAGTTTTTTGTCAAGAAAAGAGATATGGGGGGAGATGGTTCTCTTCAAATACTTGAACTACTACCATGCAGAAGAATGTTTAGAATGTATCCCAACTCCCGGCCGGATGCGGTGGCTCACGCTTGTAATCCCAGCACTTTGGGAGGCCGAGGCAGACAAATCATGTGAGGTCAGGAGTTTGAGACCAGCCTGGCCAAGATGGTGAAACCCCGTCTCTACTAAAAATACAAATTAGCTGGGCATGGTGGCAGACGCCTGTAATCCCAGCTACTTGGGAGGTTGAGGTTGAACCCGGGAGAGGGAGGTTGCAGTGAGCCGAGATGGTGCCATTGCACTCCAGCCTGGGCAACAAGAGCAAAACTGTCTCAAAAAAAAAAAAAAAAAAAAAAAAAAAATATATATATATATATATTCCAACTCCCAGAGCCAAGGCGGAGAGGAGCGTGATGGAAGATAGATCTCAGGCTCAGTGGAAGCCCCACAGTAGATAGCTCTACCCTAAGTTAGTGGTGAGCTCCTTGTCAGTGGAGGAATTCAAGCACGAACTGGACAACATCCTGCCAGGAGTATTGTGGTCAGATGCCTACATGGGGAGGGAAGTGGGATTAAGTGATTGCCAAGTTTCAAGACCCTTGTTATTCAGTGTCTGGGAAAATGCACTCATCCCACATAGTGTGTGCCCAGCTGGATATTGACATCGCGCACCATGTGTAAACTGGCATCACATGTGTGTGAGAACACACACACACACACACAGAGAAGGGATGCCAACCAGCATGTGTATTGTGTGCTTGGGTTCTCTCTTTGCCTTTTCTCCAGCCCCTGATGGCCTTGACTTTGAAACCAGGTGCAGACTTTTCACTCTTCATATCAAAGTGTGAGAGTTAAAGCCCTCCCTCGACTTTCCCCAGTTTGGAAGGGGCAGATTCAAAAGCGGCCAGGAATGAAACGTCAGTGAATGATTTCTCTGTGTCTTGTGACCCTGGTCGTAGACCACTGGGCTAATGAATGTGATGAGGGCACCCGCGTCCCTTCCCATGCCTACTCTGTCTGCAAGGTTGTGGGCTGGGTTCTGTAACATTCACCCTCATTAACCCCTGGAGATTGGGGACAGGTCACAGATCATTACAGATGACTCTCACAACCCATGCTTCCTCCAGAGTGCACTGGAATTCCCAAAGCAGAGAATGGAAGAAAACTGCATCAGTCTAGACCAAATTCATCCTACTCTGGAATGCCAGAGGCATGAGTCACTAAGCCCTGGAGCCTGGCTGATGGAATTTCACTTAATGAGCTAACTGTGCTTCCCTGGACTCCTACAGCTGCTTGGAGCATCCTTGGGGGCTCCTGATAGTTTGTAAATTCCCCTCTAGAGGAGGAAAAAAAATCACACCTTCTTCATATAAGTGACCCCACCAAGGTTTGTACCCTAACCTGCCTTTTGACCAGCATCCAGAACAACTGGGCAAGTGTCGAGTGAGTTGAATTCAATCCCTTCCAGCTGTGACGGCCTGTAGTTCAGTGGCAATGGTTTCTTCATCAGAATGACATAGTGTGCATTCATCATTTACAAGGTAGTTTTAAATATTCTGTAGGGGAAAAAAATCAGATGATTTCTCTAAAAGTGCTTTGCAGACTTCGAAGTGCTGCCCTGGGTTAGTCCTACCACTGAATCACTCACTAGGCTTGGTTTATTTCATCCAGGAAATTAACCAGGCAGGTTCTCAGTTTTCCCCTTTTCTGATACAGGCTGTGCCATCATATCTTATTGTATATTCTCAGTTTCGGACTCCAGAATTGAAGGCAGAACCCCCGGGTTCCAGTCCCAGTGGAGACTGGAGCTCACAGCTGTTATGTCCAGTCACTGACCCTTCTTGGGCCTCTGGACACTGTCCTATAAAACAGAAGTTTGTCTGGATATAAAGAAAATCAGTTTTAGGTCAATCCTCAAAACTTTCTTAAAAGGAGGTAAGTAGGAGCAAATAAGCAAATGTGAAACACTCTTGGCTCCAAACGAACAGATCTCTTTTAAACCTGGCAAACAGAGCCCCAACCAAACCTCCCAGGATTTCAGAGCCTCTTAAATTGAGAGGCTTTGTTTCCTGCCTGTGGCGGGTAGACCAGTTGGAAAAAGCATTAGATAAGGAAAGATGACAAATCCAGATGCCCTACTCAGTAAACCTCTGCTCCCCGGCTGCTCCGCACGTTGCCCAGTCATGTGCTCACAGGAAGCCTTGTGGCTGGGCTGTGTGTCGTTAGATCAGGGAAGGTTTTCATCTTTTCTCTTTTCTTCACCCCATCCCTCCCCACCTCACCCCACCCCACTCCACCCCTCCCCACCCCACCCCACCTCCTTCCTTACCTATCCTTTAAAGGCTCTTTTGCAAAAAGCAATTCCATTGCCGGAACTGATTGGAAAATCCCCAGGCTGTGAGATTTAGGTGCTGCCTATCCCCTGAGTGACCTCCAAGCCTCAGTTTCCCGTTTGTGAAAGTGGGCAGCCCAGGAGGTCTTGAGGGGCCAACAGAGGGACGATGAGGACAGAACGAGGAGAAAGCCATTTCTTTCCACCCAAGGGGAGAACCTGGTCCCCCATTCTCTGCTCTCTCGCGTTCTTCTGGAAGGACGCTGAGACCTGAAAAAGCCCTTTCTTCTCATCTTAACCACAGAGACTGAGGCTGCTGTGAATTTTTTAAATGCCTTGGGTCCAGGTTTTTATTAGTCACAGTTAGCTGCCAAATGTTTCAGCATTGCCCTCCCAGCAGCAGCTCTGTCTGTCTGGGGGCGGCAGAGGGTGGAGGGCTTCAGCCTAAAAGGGAAAGGTCTCTAGAAGGACTTCTGAAAAGTCTGAACCCTTCCCAGCCAGGAATCTCATCCTTCTCCTGACTCCCACCAGAGAGGTTGCACTGGGTGGTTTGGGGAAAAAAGGGGGCCTATTTTCACCTCTGTGCAGTTTAGAAGATAGTGGTCCCCCCATGCCTAAATAGAGGCCCCATTCCCAGATGGTCACGGGGTAGCTGGATGGCCTCTCTCTGTAGGAGGAAGAGAAATGGTAGCCAGGGGGTAGTTTGTGCCGGACTTTTCAGCAAGGGCACAAGGACCCATGGTGGAGGCCCACAGCCTCTGAACTCTCAGTTTTGCTCAACTGTCTGGCTGGACAATTAGATGTAGCTCTCCTGGGTTTTGTCTCTCGCCCTTCTTGGGCAAGAGGATGTATAACATCCTGTCCAGGGCTGGGCACGGTGGCTCACGCCTGTATTCCCAGTACTTTGGGAGGCCAAGGTGGGGGGGATCACTTGAGGTCAGGAGTTCGAGACCAGCCTGGCCAACGTGACGAGACCCCCATCTCTACTAAAAATACAAAAAATTAGTTGGGCATGGTGGTGTACACCTGTAGTCCCAGCTACTCGAGAATCGCTTGAACCCAGGAGGTAGAGGTTGCAGCCACTGCACTCCAGCCTGGGCAACAGAGCGAGACTCCATCTCAAAAAGAGAGAAAAAGATCCTGTCTAGCCCTCACATTCCGCGATTCTATTTACTAAGAGTCTATATGTAGCCAGGGCTTGCCAGCTACCAAAAGGGACACACAAAGCAAGTAGTTCTAAGGTGACCTATTTTCCCAACTGAAAATCTGAAATGCAAAAGGGTGTGTATGTGGATAACAGATGGGAACCTGGTTTCTGGCCCAGGTGTTGCAGATACAATGCTTTGAAAAGTATAAATACCATTATAACTCTGTGAGATGAAATAAACCAATACATAACATTCTATTTATTTGTTAGATTGCACACATGAATAAGGAGGCTTATAATTTGTTTTAGATGAAATAAATAAATGAACAGGATGTACTCAAACTTTGAAGAATGTGATTGGGTGCTTAATGGCATGGCAGTTTGGAGAAGAGAGAGGTGAATGAGGAAACCTGTGGGACAGTTGCTATCTGGAGGAAGTGGGGGCTTGAGCTGGGCTGGAGGAAGCCTCTCCCTGCCCTAGATGGGCAGGTCCGCTCTGCAGGGAGGTCTGGTGATGTGACTAGGGCAGAGTGGGCAGCGGTCAGCCTGGTTCTGCAATGAGCCTAAGTGGCTTATTTGAGTCACCTCAGCCATGCTGGGTGTCAGTGCCAAGGAATCCCCCGACCCCATCCCCAGGAGTCCGTTGCTAAGGATCTGTTTATTCATTCACTCAATACATTTTGATTCAGCACCAGACCCTACACTAGACATGAGGATAAAGGGAGTGATGGAACGGACCGTCTTGCCCATCCTGAGCTTACCATCCAGCAGTGGAGAAACAGTCTCATGCCTCATGACTGTGTTACCATGGTGATGATGGCTGTGAAGAGAACTACCAGATTCACCATGAGGTTGTGTGGTGGGTGGTCAGGCCTGACCAGGACAGGAGGAACTGCTGGGTCACAGGGGCTGGTTGTTGGAGCAGGTGTCCCGCCGACTTCCTGCTGACAGCAGGGCTTGCCCGTTCTCCAAAAAAGCAGCCTCTGTTACCTACCCAAGTGGCTGCCTGCTTGGAAAATGAAACACAGAGCATTCAGTTTTCCAGCAGTGTTACAAAGCTTTTGATTTATAGGAGGAAGACCCCAACAGACTACCGGCTCTTTCCTTTGGGGGTGTCAGCATGACCTCAGCTCTCCAGGCCTCCACTGGCCTCTATTGCCTAGAGCTGAGGAACAGAAATTGTTGAAATGCCTTTCCTCTGTCACTTTCTTCCATCAAGAAGTCACAGGCTAAAGAATGTTACCAGCAGCTTATTTTTTGTTGAGATGGAGTTTCGCTCTTGTTGCCCAGGCTGGAGTGCAATGGCGTGACCTCAGCTCACTGCAACCTCCGCCTCCTGGGTTCAAGTGATTCTCCTGCCTCAGCCTCCTGAGTAGCTGGGATTACAGGTGCGTGCCACCACGCCCAGCTAATTTTTGTATTTTTAGTAGAGCCCCATGTTGGCCAGGCTGGTCTCAAACTCCTGACCTCAGGTGAACTGCCCGCCTCGGCCTCCCAAAGTGTTGAGATTACAGGTGCGTGCCACTGTGCCCAGTCCCCCAGCAGCCTCTTAAACTAAGAGTTTCTGATTGGATCATCAAAAGGGGATAATTACAACATAGCCAGACTCCTGGAGTACAGCATGCCTCATACTGTGTGCAGATAATACACACTTAGCCAAGCCATCTAACTGCGTGCTGAGGATCAGACGGCTTTTAATTCAGTTCAGTAACTATGTGTTGGTGTCAGATCTCAAGGGAAAAGGGGAGAGGGTGTTAGGGAGCTCAGGTGACAAAAGGATGCCTGGACAAAGCACAGATGTTCTCCTGTCTATCCATAAGTCACACAAGTCGTGCTTATGTTAGGAAGAGAGATGAGGACTGCATAACTTTATTTTGCATTAAACAAAGAATAAAAAGAGTCTTTATTAAAATGTTGGACTTGGGCACTCAGCATGTCTAGCTAAGCTAAACTCCTGTTGTTGGATTTTGAAAAAATCATTACTGGTTCCTTCCAAATATGTTTGGGGACCCACTCTGTGTCTGGCTATAGTGGGTCCTCAAACATGGTTGGAAGGAACCAGTAATAATTTCTTACTGTGTGGGTAATACAAAAATGAATAAGGCACAGTTTTGCCCTTAGGGGATTCACAGTCCAATTGAGTGGCAAAAGGATGTGGAAAAGTAAACCCTAGTGCAAGATAGTCAGTATAAGCCAAGAACTCAATGAGTCACCAGAATGCCAGTGCTGGAGGAATAAAGAAGAAATCAAACGTGTGGACGTCCTATTTGGGGGCAGGGGAGGGGGCTTCACAGAGATGCTGGTGCTGCCTCTCCTCCTCTAGATTAGGGACCACATGACAGCGAGGACCATGCCTATCTGTCCTTTTAGGGTCTCACACAGCACTTGGGACATGGTGGCACTGGACAAATATTTTTGAATGGATGAATAACATTTTCCCTGAGGATTGGCAGGATTCTGATAGATAGAAAGAAGGGACAGAGAATGGCAGGGTATGGGCCTAACGCGGAGGCACCACCAGGAAGATCTGAGCGAGACCCTTGAATGCACTGTGGTCAAAGAGGATGAACGGATGGGAGAAGAAACCAGAGGCGAGGAGACAGCACAGGCCTAGGTGAGATGACGACATTATCACGCCCTTCTTATGTTCCCATGATTCTCCTTGCACAGCTGACTGGGAATTGGGAGTGGGAATGGCAAGCTGATAGAAGGGCAAAGAAGGTCTGGCTAGGGCTTAATGGGCGCATGAGTGAAGAAGAGAGAGGGTCACGAAGGTCTGCAAAGCTAGAGGCAGGAGCATCCCTCAATGACTCGATGAAAAGAGGAAGAGTTGAGGGCATCTTGGATGTGTTTGGTCTCAGGTGCTGAGGAAGGTGTCAAGCTGGCAGTTGGGACATGGGTCTGTATCTGGGAGGCCACTGTTGTTGTTTTTTTGTTTGTTTGTTTTGTTTTTTTTGAGACGGAGTCTTGCTCTGTCGCCCAGGCTGGGGTGCAGTGTCGTGATCTCAGCTCACTGCAAGCTCCGCCTCCCGGGTTCATGCCATTCTCCTGCCTCAGCCTCCTGAGTAGCTGGGACTACAGGTGCCCGCCACCATGCCCAGCTAAATTTTTGTATTTTTAGTAGAGACGGGGTTTCACCGTGGTAGCAGGGATGGTCTCGATCTCCTGGCCTCGTGATCCACCCGCCTCGGCCTCCCAAAGTGCTAGGATTACAGGCGTGAGCCACCGCACCCGGCCGAGGCCACTGTTTTGTTTTGTTTTGTTTCTTAGAAGATCTCGCTCTGTCACCCAGGCTGGAGTACAGTGGCACAATCCTAGTTCACTGCAGCCTCAAACTCCTGGGCTCAAGTGATTCTCCCACCTCAGCCTCCTGGGAGCTAGGACTATGGGCAGGTGCCACCGTGCCCAGCTAATTTTTTTTTTTGTTATTATACTTTAAGTTCTAGGGTACGTGTGCACAATGTGCAGGCCCGTTACATAGGTATACATGTGCCATGCTGGCCCGCTGCACCCATCAACCCATCATTTACATTAGGTATTTCTCCCAGTGCTATCCCTCCCCCCTCCCCCCACCCCACGACAGGCCCCGGTGTGTGATGTTCCCCTCCCTGTGTCCAACTGTTCTCATTGTTCAATTCCCACCTACGCGTGAGAACATGCGGTGTTTGGTTTTCTGTCCTTGTGATAGTTTGCTCAGAATGATGGTTTCCAGCTTCATCCATGTCCCTGCAAAGGACATGAACTCATCCTTTTTTACGGCTGCACAGTATTCCATGGTGTATATGTGCCACCTTTTCTTTCTTTTTTTTAATTATACTTTAAGTTCTAGGGTATATGTGCCACATTTTCTTAATCCAGTCTATCATTGAAGGACATTTGGGTTGGTTCCAAGTCTTTGCTATTGTGAATAGTGCTGCAGTAAACATACATGTGCAAGTGTCTTTATAGTAGCATGATTTATAATCCTTTGGGTATATACCCAGTAATGGGATCGCTGGTGCCCAGCTAATTTTTTAACTTTTTTTTTTTAGAAATGAGGTCTCATTCTGTTGCCTAGGCTGGTCTTGGACTCCTGGCCTCAAGCTATCCTCCTGCTTCAGTTTCTCAAAGCACGAGGATTATAGATGTGAGCCACCACACCCAGCCTGTTTTGTTTTTATTATTTATTTATTTATATTTTTTTGAAACGGAGTCTCAGTCTTTCGCCCAGGCTGGAGTGCAGTGGTGCAATCTTTGCTCACTGCAAACTCCGCCTCCTGGGTTCAAGCGATTTTCCTGCCTCAGCCTCCCAAGTAGCTGGGATTACAGATGTCTGGCTAATTTTTTTTTGTATTTTTAGTAGAGACGAGGTTTCACCATGTTAGTCAGGCTGGTCTCGAACTCCTGAGCTCAAATAATCTGCCCACCTTGGCCTCCCAAAGTGCTGGGTTCACAGGCATGAGCCACCGTGCCCCACCTATTTATTTATTTATTTTTGAGATAGAGTCTTGCTCTGTCACCTCAGCTGGAGTGTAGTGGCGCAATCTCGGCTCACTGCAACCCCCACCTCCCAGATTCAAGTGATTCTCTTGCCTCAGCCTCCTGAGTCGCTGGGATTACAGGCATGCACCACCATACCCAGCTAGTGTGTGTGTGTGTGTGTGTGTGTGTGTGTGTGTGTGTGTTTGTGTGTGTTTAGTAGAGATAGGGTCTCACCATGTTGGCCAGGCTGGTCTTGAACTCCTGACCTCAAGTGATCTGCTCACCTCAGCCTCCCAAAGTGCTGGGATTAGAGGCGTGAGTCACCATGCCCTGCCCTGTTTTGTTTTTAAATAGCCAAAGTAAGAAAGCTGCAGGCTCTGAGAGGAAGATGCAGGAACTTGCTGGTGGTTGTGGGAGGCTGCATGCGAGGTGAGCAGAGGCTGGCTAGAGTTGACACTCATGCATTCTCGTTGAGATGTTGGCATGATGTTATGTCTTCCCAGCATTGTCCTGCCACCCCTCCTCACCCTCAGGATGACTTCTCAGGTCAGAAAGCCTGGGCTGATATTAAATTATGACTTCTAGAACAGGGGGAAGGAGAACAACCACTGAGCTAAGACAACGTGCCTGGTGCTGAGAGTTTAGAGCGACTGTGATGTGGATTCATGTAGGCTGGCTTGCTTGACTTGCTTCTCCTTGTACCTTTCCCTGATGCAACTTCCAGCTAGACTTTCAAAATGGGTGATTTTTCCTCATTGGCGACAGCCCCAGACTATCGCATTCTGGAATTTGCAAGTCATGGACAGATGCTGCAAATATGAAATGTCATTTAGGCATAAACCTGAGAGTCAGAGCTCAGAGCTCCCTTCCTCTCCGGCTGACGTGACAAGTCCCTTGCATGGTCGTGCCTTGGTTTTCCCTTCTAGGAACGGGTGCAAATCACTCCCAGAGTCTCAGGCCCTGCCAGAGGATGTGATGAGCTCTGAGGACCACACATCCTGGAGTTTCTGTGTCTTTCTTGGAGGGAAGCTTTCTGGAGTCCTGGGTGCACTGTTGTCTCTGGCAAGAGGGATAGCATCAGGTTTTAGCTTGAATTTTAATATGTGCAGGGTGCTTGACCAGCTTCTGGCATTTGGGGCTGAATTTTATTTTATTTTATTTTATTTATTTTATTTTATTTTATTTTATTATTTTATTTATTTTATTTTATTTTTTATTTTATTTTATTTATTTTATTTTATTTTATTTTATTTTAATTTTATTTTATTTTATTTTATTTTATTTTATTATTTTATTTTATTTTTGAGACGGAGTCTCGCTCTGTCGCCCAGGCTAGAGTGCAGTAGTGTGGTCTGAGCTCACTGCAACCTCCGCCTCCCAGGTTCACACCATTATCCTGCCTCAGCCTCCCGAGTAGCTGGGACTACAGGCGCCCGCCACCATGCCTGGCTAATTTTTTGTATTTTTAGTAGAGACAGGGTTTCACCGTGTTAGCCAGGATGGTCCCAATCTCCTGACCTCGTGATCCGCCTGCCTCGGCCTCCCAAAGTGCTGGGATTACAGGCGTGAGCCACTGAGCCCGGCTGGGGCTGAATTTTAAACTAGCAAGTCTAGACTGCCTTTCATTTAAAAAAGAAAAAAAAGTGTGTGTATATTTTAATATTTCACACTTTCTTTTCACTTTTGGGGCTGAACTCCTGGGGCAAAATGTATCCTAACACTTGTGGTTATGGAAGGGATTCCACAGCAGTGAAGTAAAGAGAGAGGTTATGTGTGTGGGCGTGTTTTCTAAGAGGTCTAACTCAGTCTCCATGAGCTGGTTAGCTAGTGTGAGCACCGAATGTGTGCCCCAGAGGGCTTCCCTGCCTCCTCCCGCTGGCCTGAAGACAAGAATGCTGGGAGCCCAGCTCTCCCCTCACGTACACAATCCAGTCTGACTCACTGCCCCTCGACATGGGGTGCTGGGCTTCCAATGTGCACAGCACCAGCACCCTTCAGCTGGTTGAAGGGGACACCCAGAATTCTGAGCTCCAGGCCCTGCCCTGGGTGAGTCACCCTCAGTACCAGGCAATGTATTGGACACAGGCATGAGATGAGGACTGCTCAGAGACCAGTGGTCATTATGAGCCTGGAGCACGGGTTTGGGGGTCAGAACTCAATTTGCATACTTGTTTACCTACTTACTGGCTGTGTGAACTTGGATAACTTCCAAAAGCTTGCCAAGATTTATCATGTTTTTACCTCTAAACAGGTGGACCATGAGCCATCTTGAAAGCTGCCATGGGGATTGAATAATGGAGTGGATGTAAAGTTTTCTGTATGGAACCTAGCCTGCAATTAATTGGTGTTTGATAAATGATGCCCATAGCTGTCATTATTCAAAGCTGACACAGGGCGCTGTGGTTGGGGTGTAAGGAGGAAGCCCAGCAAGGCCCAAGGAGGGCAGAGACTGCATTTTGTTAAATGAATGCATACGGTAGATTTGAGCCTTAAAGACTGGAAAGGCTTTGGTTCTTTGGAGGGAGAAGAAGAGAAGACGGTCCAGTTTGAAGGAATGAGTGCGAATGGTGTCCTGACTGTTTTCCTAAGGCCTTGCAAGGAACACGATCCTTTCAGAATTTCCTCCACCACAAGACACATAAACAGATGCACACTTTATACATACAGAGACCCATGTGACATAGACACATACAGGGAGAGTGCACAGAGATCCACATGACACACCGGCACACACACACAACCCTGTCATGCATACATCATCATGCACACAGACACACAATCCCAGAGACACACAATCCCAGAGACACACACACAGAGACATATACAGGGGCTCATATGACACATGGACATGCAGACACTCAGAAACACACCATCATGCATATACCCCCGTGCACACACAGAGACACAGAGATACACACCACACACAGACCATCAAGCACACACCACCATGCACACACACAGACACAGAGATACACACCACACACACACAGACCATCAAGCACACACCACCATGCACATACACAGAGATGCATAAACACGTATGCAGTGAGTCGGTGGAAGAATGAGGATAATGACCCCCGGTGCTAGCCCTTTCTCTTCTCCAGGCTGCATTGCCTTCATCGTGGAGCCCCCGGGGCTCTCCCCACCAGCCCTATTCAGCGGAGGAAACTGTCCCGCATCATCGCAGGAACGAGAGCAAGCTCCCTTGGCGTTTGGGTTGGTGTGTGCTGGCCTCAGGCCCGCGTAGCTCTTTCCAGCGGGGTCTGCTGAGCTCCTCCAGCCAGGCCTTCTTCCTCCTCCTGTGGTGGCCAGGTGCTGGGGGTCACACCTTCCCTGCAGCGAGCCTGCACTGCTGCCCAACGCAGGGGAAAGGATCTGTGAACTGAAGGTCAGCCCGGGCCGCCTGCCCTGTGAAGTGCAGTCTTGATGCTAGGCAGTAACTTTCCTTCTGGGCATGACAGTTACACACTGGAATTCCAGCCCAGCCTCCCGAGGTGGGAAGAGACAGAAGAGGGCCGGCTTGTGGGCTGGGTTTAGACCTCAGGCCCTTTCTTGGCTCACCCCTGTCCACGTGTCTTGGTGGCACGGGTCCTGCGGCCTGAATGAGGGCTGTAAAGGATCCAGGATCCAGGCTGGAAGGCATAATCCTGCCCCTGGCAGCATTCCTTCTGCTGTGGTGGAAAGGAAACGGAGCCAAGTGCCATCACTCCAGGCCCACATACTTTCCACCGCCTTGCAGGACCTGAGAGTAGGGCCTGGCTGTGGACCCTGAAGCCCATGGCGAGGAGACGTGAATCCCTGGGCACCCAAAGAATGGTTCTGTTCAAACTCGTGGTTCATTTGCATCTCAGTTGGACAGGGCTGGGGCAGTCGGGGTGCTGGGTTCCTCCTGCCTTCCAGCCCGGCTTGGACCAGCCCCACCTCCCAGTCCCTGGCCCGCCCACAGTGTGTGTGTCTTCCACTGCACCTCGGGGTGGCCCTAGGGAGGGAACTGGAGTCAGCTGGTATTCTCATCTGTAAGGTGGGGATGGCAGTAGCTATCAACCACCTCATTACAGCGTGCGAGGGTTAAGTAGGAGAATGCAAGGAAGACACTTGACATAGGGCTGGGTACCTGGTGCATGCTTTGCGGTAGCTGTTGCTATTATATACTGCAATTCATGGTGTTTGTGGATCCATGTGAAGCTGGGGACAGTGAGGGGGCTGGAGGCATAAGTGGAATCAGTCCTGAATGGCCGAGAGCATCTTGCTCAATATTAGGGTATTACATAGACAAAGAGGAGCTAGTCAAGGGACAAGGTTAGATCTGTGTTTTAGAAAGAGCCAGCTGCAGTGCCTCATACCTGTAATTCCAGCACTTTGGGAGGCTGAGGTGGGAGGATGCCTTGAGGCCAGGAGTTCGAAACCAGCTTAGGCAACATAGTGAGACCTCGTCTCTGAAATATATTTTAAAATTAGCTGGGCGTGGTGATGTACACCTCTACTTCCAACTACTTGGGAGACTGAAACAGGAGGATCGGTTGAGCCCAGGATATGGAGACTGCAGTGAGCCCTGATCACACCACTGCACTCCAGCCTGGGCAACAGAGTGAGACCCTGCCTCAAAAAAGAATAAAAATTAATTAATTAAAAGAAAAAAAAGGCCGGGCACGGTGGCTCATGCCTGTAATCCCAGCACTTTGTGAGGCCAAGGCGGGCTGATCATGAGGTCAGGAAATCGAGACCATCCTGGCTAACATGGTGAAACCCTGTCTCTACTAAAAATACAAACAATTGGCCGGGTGTGGTGGCGTGCGCCTGTAGTCCCAGCTACTTGGGAGGCTGAGGCAGGAGAATGGCGTGAACCCGGGAGGCGGAGCTTGCAGTGAGCCGAGATCGCGCCACTGTACTCCAGCCTGGGCGACAGAGCGAGACTCCGTCTCAAAAAAAAAAAAAAAAGAAAAAGAAAAAAGAGGCTCTTTGGTGGCTGGCCCTGTGGCAGACAGACGGAGGCAGGAACTCAGTCAGGGACTGTCGCAAGAGCTGGTGATGGCTGGCCATGAGTGATTTAGGGGGGAGCTTCCATAGAGTTTGGAGCCTGTTATGGCATGTCTTGGAAAGGCATTAAAAAGTGCCACTGTAACTCCAGGGAACCTCTTCTCCTCTCATTCAGCTTGGCCTCTTGAGGCCCCCTCTCCTGCCCGATCCCTGGGACTCAGGTCTAGGTGGTACAGGGATATTTCAGCTCCACGTCGAGGGAGGGGGAACACCCACGTGGCAGGGAGGCAGGCGCCTTCCTCTCGCCCATGCCCCTCCAGCCCTCCTCCACTTCCTCCCAAAGGGCCCTGCCAATGAATCTTTCCAACCCTGACCCCAGCCTCTGTCCTTTACTCCACAGATAGATGGGTGGGGTGGGTGTGGGAAGGGAACCCTCTAAGGGGCTCAAAGTGTCTCCTTTCCTTGCTGTGTCTCCTTTCCTTGCTGCAGCCAAATAGTTGTCCCCAACCCTACCTCCCTGATCCCTGCCAGGCAGGTGTGAGTCTCTGCACACAGCACGCTCAACACCAGGAATATCTGCTTCGTTTCTCTCTAAGCCCTGCTTCTTCTCTCAGGCCTCTCTAAGGATTTTTGAAGAGAGGAATGCCCACCCCTGGGGTATGAGGTAGTCTGCAGGGTGGCACCACCAGCTTCAGGACATCTGGGGGTCCTCTATCTGAAACTCAAGTTTTACTGAAAGATGAATCAGGGAGACACACACAGACACACTCACAGGCACATACACACATACTTTGGAGTGAAATGCAAAATCCGCATTCAAAGAACACTTTCTCTCCTGTGCATTTATTTCGAGGCCTGTGCAGGAGGAGGCTGCTGCCCTTTGCTCTCCAAGATCTTAGGTTCGGATGTAGGAGAAGCCCATGGGGTCTCTGAGTCTTTTCTGACTGTTCCAGGTCACCCCACTCCCTGTTGGGTCCTTTCAGCCTCACTATCTCCCATGCATAGCGCTTTCTAACTGCAGCTTGGGCCGTGTGCCCCTCGGGGTTGCCCAGAGCTCACTGCAGGGCCTGAGGGCACAGGCAGGCCCGCGGCAGGCCTGGCCCATAGTCGCTAAAGAAGTACTGGTTGCCTGGTGTCTCTGCAGCCAGGCCAGTAGGGTAACCCTCTCCTTCCACGCCTCTTTCTTCCCAGAACCTGAATATCCAGGTGGAGGACATTCGGATTCGAGCCATCCTCTCAACCTACCGCAAGCGCACCCCAGTGATGGAGGGCTACGTGGAGGTGAAGGAGGGCAAGACCTGGAAGCAGATCTGTGACAAGCACTGGACGGCCAAGAATTCCCGCGTGGTCTGCGGCATGTTTGGCTTCCCTGGGGAGAGGACATACAATACCAAAGTGTACAAGTAAGAGGACTGCACCAAAGGGGTGGCTTTGAGGGTATCCGCCCTGCCTAAAAGAGTTAAAAGTGTCCGCCCTGGTGGTGGCCTTTCCTTGGCCAGGCATGGCCAGGCAAGCTGGTGTCCCTGCAGGCAGCCTGCACAGAGCCCCTGGGCCGGGCCAGGCGCCAAGTTCAAGGGTGCCCCGTGGCATCCTTACCCTTAAGGAACTCACACATCTACAGGAGATAGACCCTAATCCCTAGAGTAGCTTGTGGGAAGGCGTATTGCAGAAGTGAGATGCAAGCTGCCCCCAGCCCAGAGAACCCCAGCTCAGGGTGCTGCCGGCCAGCTCAGGGACTGCACGAGCTAGGCTAGGGCAATACCCTGGCCAGGCTGGGCACAGACAACACCAACTTAAGAAGAAATATTTACTTGCTCTTGGCAAATGATTCTTCTGAGAAATCTGGAAGTTGCAGCAGGTAATTGAGACACTGGTCCGTGCAGTTCACTTCATCCAATCCCAGTTAAATCTGACAATACTGTGATGATCGCTAAGGTTAATATTTCCCAGTAGGGGAAAGAAGTAGACAGGGACAGAACCTGGAGTCATTTTGACTTAAGGGGTGTCCAGTGGAAGGATTCCAGCACCCCAACAAGCTGATGGCTGGCGTATACTTGGGGTATACTTGGTTGGTCATGGGGTGTTCCTCCCTCCTCTTAATAATGATAGGAATACTGGCTTGGCTTTACCAAAGACTTATAATGTGCCAGGCACTATTCTCAGTCATTTAATCCTCGCACCACCACTGGGAAATAGGAGTCTGTTTTAGAGTTGAGTAAACTGGAGAAAGGTGATAGAACCAGGAAGGGGCAGATCCAGGCCTCACGCACACCCTGGCCTCTGGAGGTCCCCTGTGTCCAGCTATAGGGTCCACACTCTTAGAGGGTGCAGACTCACAGCACTGTCTCTTTCCTTCCAAATCAGAGGAAGAAAAGATGTGGCTTCCATGTCAGGAGACCTGGCTTGAAGCCCCAGCTGTACCCACCAGCTCCCTGGGGTGCCGGGCAGACCACATATCCCTCCCTGATCCTGGCCCAGCCCTGCCTGGACGGGGTGGGCCATAATTTTGTCCCAGCCCCCAGCCCCTCACATGGGTGGGTCAGTGCAGCTGCAGAGCTGCCCATTTGGGTGAGCACACAACACCCCAGGCTGGCCATGATGGTGATTCCAGTCCCCAGACATGGCCCAGACCTTCCTGTTGGCACCAGGAGTCGCCGTCCTCTGAATACTTTGGAGAACTCCCACCCGACTCCTTCCTTGGTGATACCTTCTCAGCTTTTCTTACCAGTCGGAGCCAAGAAAAGCAAACCCCCTCCCTGGCAGGCTTCCTACCTGGCTGGCCCTACCAGTGCCCCCAGCCTGGCTGCTGTTCTAAGCTGGACAGCACGCGCCTTGTTCAGATGGCGTTTGGAAGCCATCTCCCAACCGTGGCCAGTCCAGAGTCCTTCTCGGCTTTTGAGGAGTTGATCTCAGGCCAGTTTCGGCAGCTGGGCCCTGGGTAATCCTGTCACGTGCTGGATTGGAACCCCCATCCTGCCCCTCCCACCCTCTCGTCTGTGGCTTTGCCTTTTCAAGGACGGGGAGGATAAGGCTTCCAAGGCTGAGAGCGATCCAAGGAGGGGGTGGTGGGTGGTGCTGTCTGCAGGATGGGTGATGAAGAACAGAAGCTGCTGGAAACCAGCCCCTCCTGCAGCCTTCTAGCTGGAGAGGTGGGGCTGCCTTCCTAGCAGAGGAGTGGGAAGGGAAGCACGACCTTCTCAGCTTGGCCCTGTCATTTTGTGTTCGTCTCTGGGACTCAGTTGACAGTTAGGCCTACATGTGTCCCAAAGAGAAAGGTGCTGGGAAGGCTTTCTGTGCCTCGGTGGGCTGTCGGGGCTGAGCTGCCAGCAAAGGGCTAGGACTCCTAGGGAATGATAAGGCTCAGAGACCACTGGCCTAAGCCCTGGGTCTGCCTGGAAGAGAACATGGAAGAGGCCTGAAGGGCAGTGGACTCAGGGTGTCACAGCCCACACCCAGCAGAGCCTGCAGGACAGCCCAGGTCTGCTTCAGGGAGAGCACCACCCAGCAGTCTCCACCTGCTGGCCCTGCTGCAGCTCCTCTTCTCCCGGGGGTAGGGCCAGCTCAGAAGCTCTGGCCAGTCTGAGGGTTGTGGCAGGACTGGCCTGGGACTAGGGATATCCATGGGCGCTGCTCAGAAGCTGAGGACTGCAGAGGTCTGGAAGGCAGACTGAGGACCACCACCCTGCCCGGCCCTTGAAGCAGTGGCTTGCAGTTGCATCTTTCCCATGTCCCTTTCCCTCTTCCTACAGCCTGTGGCTGCTGTTGCTGGCAGCACACCTCTGAGGCCCAAGAAGGGACCCCCTTCCCTCCCGCCATGCAGCACTGCCCACTCTGCAGGAAATTATTTTCAAAGTAATTCCCAGTCTGGGGTGGAGTTAGTAATCTCCATGTATCCACCAAGGCCCGTGAAGGACCTTATAGCCTCGGAAGCTCACCTGCTTAACCCCCGAGGGCCCCCCACCTTGGGCCCCCCCACCCCGCTGCTGCCTTACTGGACTGGCTCCCTCTGTGAACCTGCTGGGCTGGTGGCCACTCGGAAGCCTGAGAGCTGCCCCCTGGCCACCAACTGCAGCTCTTCCTCAGCACCTCTGCTTCCCCTAGTGATACGGTTTGGCTGTGTCCCCACCCAAATCTCATCTTGAATTGTGGCTCCCATAACCCCACATGTCGTGGGAGGGACCCAGTGGGAGGTAACTGAATCATGGGTGTGGGTTTTTCCCATGCTGTTCTCATGATAGTGAATAAGTCTCATGAGACCTGATGGTTTTATAAAGGCCAGTTCCCCTGCACACGCTCTCTTGCCTGCTGTCATGTAAGACGTGCCTTTGTTCCTCCTTCACCTTCTGCCATGATGGTGAGGCTTCCCCAGTCACGTGAAACTGTTGAGCTTATTGAACCTCTTTCCTTTATAAATTACCCAGGCTCGGGTATGTCTTTATTAGCAGCATGAGAATGGACTAATACCCTCCAGTTACCTGCACATACCCCAGAGGTCTCTGCAGCCACAGGCTTGCCAAAAGTAGAGTCAGGGGCTCCTCACCAAGGCCTGCTCTCTGATTGGTGTGGCCGTGGCACTGACTTCCACACCGGGCTGGGGTGCAATGCATGTACCTTAAAGCTAATGAAGCTTAAACTTCAGGCCCCCATTCCTGGTGCCAAGAGGGAGCATTTTGTAGTCATAATTTTGTTCTCCCAAAAGTAGGATCCCAATACTGACATCATTTAATTGAAATGAGCTCTCTAAGCAGAGATTCTGCATTTAATGTTGCAGCTGAGGAAGTTAGAAAGGCCTCCAGCGGTTTGCCTGGTTGGTTGGCTGAAATGTGGACCAAAGTGTGGCCCACAGTGAGTGAGTAGAAATGCTGACCCTGCCTCTGTTGTGTGTAGAGGACAGAATTCAAAAGCTTAGGGAGGTTGGATGTTAGAGTGGATCTTACCTTTAAGACCTCCTCACCCACGCTGGGAAGCTCCTGAAGACATGCCTTTCACCTTGATGGTGAGAAGTAAATATATGAAAGGAGCTCCAGCCTCCTTGAGGAGCTGTGATCACTCTTCTCTGAAGGCCAGACCTCACAGCAGGAACAGCAGCCACTGAACCAGTAACCTGAATGCGACCGGAGTAATTGGCTCCAGGGTGGCGGGGGCCCCGTGGCTGTAGTACTACCAAAGGCAAGGTGGACGTGCTGACCCTATTGGACAGTGGAGTCAAAGCAGAAATCAGTCTGACTGCTGCAGACCTGTGGTGTTGGCTGGTTGATCATGATGTTCCTCGAAGTGAAATAGACAGGAAGCCTACTAAGTTCGTACTTAATCTGTATAAGCAGAAAACTTCTAGGTCAAGCAAACAAAAGTCTATCCCAAATCATAAAAGCAGAGTAGAGTCATGACCCCTCAATCCATTCCCGTACTTGAGCCAGTTTTATCAGACTGGAAGCTCTTGAATGAGGGAAAGGCTGGGTACCCTCAAGGAAGCACCCTCGTAGCCTGCCAGAAATCTATACTGTATTCTTTCTCCCAGTTCTCCAAAGACACCTTTCACCAGGATGAGCGTGCATTGGAGAAAAGGAAATAATCAGATCTTTTGGACTACTGGCCACTGGTTCTGAGCTGACAGTAATTCTAGGAGACCCAGAACATCAAAGTGGGGGCTTATGGGTTTTTAGCTTACGTCCATCTGAAACCCATTCTGTGCTATTTCCCCACTTCCGGAAAGCATCATGGAAATAGATGTACTCAGCAGCTGGCAGAATCCCACGGCATCTGCCTTCACTCTTGGCAAGGGGAGCACCGGTCGGTAGGACTCTTGGTTGAATCAGTCCAGCTCCGTGTTCTTCCTACAGTCCAGCTATTGGCCTAGCTGCCTCTTTCACAGGCAGGCTTCCCGCTCCACTCCACTCAAGGCTGCCTCACTCACTCCAGTCACTCCTCCAGTCTCCAGGTCTGGAGCGGGGTGGGCTGTCTTCCACCCTCCGTGGGCCTCCGTCTGCAGCTCAGAGGCCTGTCCCCAGTGAAACACTGGGATGGAGGAGGGGAGGGGAGGGTATCCCCTGGGAGGCCTGAACGTGCTAGAGGGTCTGCAGCACATTCCTGGGGGCTGATGTCAGAGGGATCCGGGCTGCTGGGGACAGTTGTTTGCTGTGGGCTCTGCACTCTTCATTTAGAACGCAGGACATCTGTTCCTGGAGAGGGTGGCGCTCACTGACGGCTGGAAGCAGAGGGGTTTTCCTGAGCCAAGGCAGGCGGTGAGGTCTGACCAATCCTCGAGCAGCTGGTGTTCCCCCGAGTATCTTCTCCCGCCCCTGTGTGGGCGTCATGGAACATGCTGTAAGCTTCCAAGTGCAGGGGCCTTGCAGGAAGTGTGTCTGGAGGGCAGTGGTTCCTGGAATTATTAATAGCCCTCCTGAGCAGTTCTCTGCCCTGGGCTGCCGCTGTGGTGAGCACGCACCCTGAATTTGCCAGGATAGTCCTCAGCAAGATTCCGTGTCATTGTGTTCACAAGCACACTAGAATTGTAACAAGTCTCAGATTTGGGTTAAGGAGAGATGATAACTGTGTCTGTAGGATTTGCCCTTCCTCTGTCTTCACACCCCATTCACTCTGAGACAAAGGAGGTACTTCCAGGGCTGCTGGACCAGCAGGGATGGGACCTCGCCTCTGCCCTGTCTTGGGGTCAGCCTGCCCAGCGAGTACCCTCTGCTGGCTCCTTCTGGCATCTTACTGGGTCCTGCCGTGCAGGGACAAGCACACGGGCCCTGAAAAGCTGGGTCGACATGAGCAGGTAGCAGGGCCTTCCTGGACCTCCTTTGTTTCAGATCCCACCATCATTCAGGGCCCAATTTAAAGGCTTCTCTTCCGTAAAGTCTCCCATCACTCCAACCATGGAATCCCTCCCTCCTGTCACTCTTCTTTTTTTTTCTTTAACAAATACAGTTTTATTTATTTACTTATTTATTTCACAAACTCTTATGTAGCTCTTCCTATCTCTGGGCACTGTTTTAAGTGACAAGTATTAACTCATTTAAACTGTCACAACAGGCCAGGCACTGACGCATGCCTATAATCCCAGCACTTTGGGAGGCAGAGGTGGCCAGATCACCAGAGGTCAGGACTTCGAGACCACCCTGGTCCCAGGAGACCTCAACTTCTCCAGAGTTCTAGCCTCTTCTTAAAGGGCCAGAGTCATGGGAACCCAGATGGGGTGAGGGGGTCTCCTGCCACGGCCTCCTTACAATGATATGACTTGGCATAAATTTGGATACTACCTCCAAATACAGATTTATGGTCTGGCGTGATAGCTCATCCCTGTAATCCCAACGCTTTGGGAGGCCGAGGGAGGCAGATTACCTGAGGTCAGGAGTTCGAGAGCAGCCTGGCAACACGGTGAAACACTGTCTCTACTAAAAATACAAAATTAGCCGGATGTGGTGGCAGGTACCTGTAATCCCAGCTACACGGGAGGCTGAAGCAGGAGAATTCCTTGAACCTGGGAGGTGGAGGTTGCAGTGAGTTAAGATCGCGCCAAAGCACTCCAGCCTGGGCAACAGAGTGAGACTCCATCTCAAAAAAAAAAAAACAACAACAAATAAATAAACTGTCACAATAATCTAGTGAAGCAGATACTACTTCTGATTTTGGACATGAGAAACTGAGGTACAGTATCCTTTTTGGTAGCCAATCTATTACTTATCAGTTGGTTACTGTTTTAGAAAAAAAAAAACTGAATTACCTGCATCTATATTCTGCCTTTAAAAAAAAACATACAAAGGAACACTTTGCACATGTTAACAATACAGGCTAAGGGCTTCCTTAGGATATGGTACAGAGACAAGCTCAACCTCACTGATCTTCCTGGGTGCAGGAAGCAGTAGTTGCATTACCATTATAATTTCTATTGCTAGGCAGATTGTACTTTGATTCAGCAGATGGAGTAATTTAAGACTGTTTTCATTGTTTCTCATTGGAAATACAAATTTAATCTTGTATATCGTTGGGAGAGTTTAGCAATCAGCTTGTACTGCTCATTGACAAAGAAAAATAAAGCTAAAGAATGACAACAGGCTGGGCACAGTGGCCCATGCCTATAATCCCAGCACTTTGGGAGGCCGAGGCAGGCAGATCATTTGAGATCAGGAGTTTGAGACCATCCTGGCCAACATGGCGAAACCCCGTCTCTACTAAAAATACAAAAATTAGCTGGGCGTGGTGGCAGGTACCTGTAGTCCCAGCTACTCAGGAGGCTGAGGCTGCAGAATTGCTTGAATCTGGGAGGCAGAGGTTGCAGTGATTGCACCACTGCACTTCTGCCTGGGGGAATAGAGTGAGACTCTGTCTCAGAAAAAAAAAAGAATGACAACAAATTTTGTTGGAATTATCTGAAGAGTTAGGGTAAACATGGTTTACCTTCGACTGTGAGGGGTTTTCTAGGACCAGGGATCTCACCTGTTTTAAATACCTTTGTGCATTCTGTGTTCCTGGGCTTTATTATTATTATTTCACCACATTGAGTGAGTCCTTTCTTTCCTAGAATGGAAGCTGCCTGAGGGCAGGAGGCCTTGTCCACCCTCTGCGTCCTGTCCCCCAGTGCCTAGTGTGGTGCAGGCATTAGCAGGTGCTCAGTGAATGCTGGCAGAATGGACTGAGCTGGGACCCTCTGTGAAGCAGGGCTGAGCTCCAGGAGCAGGGCCCAGTCTCTCATGTTCTGCCTCGTTGCAGAAGGAATCGGGGTAGGCGTCATGATGCCCTGGTCCCCTGTCCCCTCCCATCGTCTGCAGAATGTTTGCCTCACGGAGGAAGCAGCGCTACTGGCCATTCTCCATGGACTGCACCGGCACAGAGGCCCACATCTCCAGCTGCAAGCTGGGCCCCCAGGTGTCACTGGACCCCATGAAGAATGTCACCTGCGAGAATGGGCTACCGGCCGTGGTGAGTTGTGTGCCTGGGCAGGTCTTCAGCCCTGACGGACCCTCAAGATTCCGGAAAGCGTACAAGCCAGAGGTGAGGACGGGGCACGAGGTGTGGCCACTTGGCACCTGGAGGGGATGGGAGGGTGTTGAGGGAGTAGGCAGGATCCCCCAGGAGAGTGAGGAAGGGTGGCCTCAGCGGAGATCACCATTGTGGCTGCTTTACTCTGAGACCTGAGCGCCCTCTGCAGAGAAGGACCACCTGGGGGAGAAGAATACCCCAGCATCAGTTGTCACAGGCTGTTGGTGCGCTGTCCGCTTACCCAGCAGGAGCAGACGATGAAGGGTTGTGCGACAGGGACCTTGTGTCCCTGCACAGTTCCCAAAGGACAGCTGGAAATGTGACCCAACTCTGAAAAGCACATGCAGTCAGCGACACATTTGCAAGCATGTTTGGTTTATTTTGCAACAGAAAGGGTAACAATTTTAAAAAGCTTCCACCAAGGTAGAAAACCTGCCATTATCCTAAGTCATCTATACATTAGTCACATTATACTTATGTGAAACACCCCCCCTCTGTGGGGGGGGTGTATGTGTATGGGGGTGTGTGTATGAGTCTGTGCGTGTGTATGAGTGTGTGTGTATGTGTGCGGGGGTGAGTGTGTGGGTGTGTATGAGTGGGGGTGTATGAGTGTGGGTATGAGTGTGGGGGGGTGTATGAGTGTGTATGAGTGGGGGTGTGTATGAGTTTATGGGGGTGTATGAGTGTGTGTGTATGAGTGCATGTGTATGAGTGTGTGGGGGGTGTATGAGTGTGTGTATGAGTGTGGGGGGGTGTATGAGCGTGTGAGTGTGGGTGTGTATGAGTGGGTGTGTTGGGTGTGTATGATTGTGAGGGGTGTCTGGGGGGGATGTGTGCGTGGGTGTGTGTGTATGAGTGTGGGTGTGTGGGGGTGTATGAGTGGGGGTGTGTGTAGGGATGTGTATGTGTGTGTATGAGTGGGGGGGTATGGGAGTGTGTGGGGGGTATGTGTGTGGGTGTGTCTGTAGGAGTGTGTGGGGTGTGTTTGTGGGTGTGTGGCGGTGTGTGTATGAGTGTGTGTGTATGAGTGTGTATGTGGGGTGTGTGTGGGTGTGTATGAGTGTGGGGGTGTATGTGGGGGTTGTGTATGTGTGTAGGGGGTGTGTATGAGTGTGTGTGGGGGTCTGTGTGGGTTGTGTGTATGTGTGGGTGGTGTGTATAAGTGTGTGGGGGTGTGAGTGTGTAGGGGGTGTGTGGGGTGGGTGTGGGTGTGTGTGGGGTGTGTGTGTGTGTGTGAGAGAGTGTGAGTGTGTGTGTGAGTGTATTCCTGAAATGCAGATGAACATCTTCCCATATAAAGTAACAGCCCCATTTCAATGGGCCGATTTCTTTTTTCTTTTCTTTTCTTTTCTTCTTCTTCTTCTTTTTTTTTTTTTTGAGACAGAGTTTCACTCTTGTTGCCAGGCTGGAGTGCAATGGCATGATCTTGGTTCACTGCAACCTCCGGCTCCTGGGTTCACGCGATTCTCCTGCCTCGGCCTCCCAAGTAGCTGAGATGACAGGCACCCGCCACCACGCCTCGCTAATTTTTGTATTTTTAGTAGAGATGGGGTTTCACCATGTTGGCCAGGCTAGTCTTGAACTCCTGACCTCAGATGGCCCACCCGCCTCAGCCTCCCAAAGTGCTGGGATTACAGATGTGAGCCCACTGGCCGATTTCCTAGAACAAGTAAAGTAGTCCAACCACAGCAGGCTTGACCCAGCCTCTGACAAAGAGCAAATGCCCTATCTGTCTCTTCTTGATTCGCTTTTCTTTCTCCTCCTCTTCCTTTTTCCTGTATCCATCAAAGGGTCTCTGTGATTTCTGTGTTCAGGAAACAGCGAATATCTTGTGAGTGGGTGGGAATAGCAACTGGGAAGAGGAGAGGGAGGGATAGGAGAAGTGACCGATCATTTCTCAGGGGCTGATGCCCTGTGCCAGGTAAAACCTCAGTACTTAGTGCACTGTTTGCTGACGCGGCATGAGTAGATGAGACAGCATCTGATTAGCGTGATGATCGTAGTAATCATCACCTTGGCAGGGGTGAGTTCCAGGTGGGCTGTCACCAAGTCAGGGATAAGAGAGAGCCAGAGGAGGGAGAAGGGCTCTGGGGTGGGGGCAGAGAGTGTGTCAGCCAGGTCCAGGCAGCCAGGCAGGAGCAGCAGAGGCTGAGCCAACCAGCTTTCCCCCAGCCATGCCCTTTTGGCTCCTCTCCTGTCCCCTCCCTCTTTCCCCTCTCCCCTCCCCGGTCTCCCCTCTTTGTTGAGACCTGCTGTGGAAAGGAGGTTATTACACTCCTCCAATATAAAAGGGACACCGTGACAAGAGCCGGATAAACCACACTGGGTGCCCCCATCCCAGGCTTGGTGGAGATTTGAACAAAAGACTGAGCCTTCAGTGAGAGGAGTGAAATGCATGCTGGGAGCCCAGCCCTCCTCAACCAGAGGGAGTGGGAACTATCAGGAGTGACTTCCTGGCAATTTCAGGAGGCCCTGCCTCCTCAGTCCCCTCAAGAGCCTCTGAAGAGCACAGAGGGGACCACACCATCATATGTGTGCCTCCAGGACACGCCTGGACAGCGCCATGTCCCTCTCCTCCGACAATCAGTCCACCACCCCCCAAACCCCCACCACACCCTGCTTGCCCCCTGTGTATGATTTGATGGCCACATCCTTTCCACAGCCTCAGCCTGAGCCTCTGAGCTTTCCTTGTGTGTCATCCAGAATACCAGATCCTACTGTTTTGGAATTCCTCTACTGTGCGGTTTAAAGCAAAGGAATCAAGTTCATACCAAACCAATTAAAACAGAGCGAGCGTGCCTTACATCATATTTTCCCTTGGTTTCTTTCTTTCCTCTGGGGCCAGCTGACTGCTTGGCCATAGCTGGGCTGGGGCGAGGTTATTTGACCTCTGCCTCCATTAAGCTTAGGTCATGGATGGTCCATTCTGTGGGAAGACAGCTTGGGAAGGGAGGTCAGGGAAGCAGGAGGCCACCATTCTACAGAAAACAGAGGTTGCAGCCAGCCAGTAGTTATGCGTGTTTTGTTCTGTTTGGATTTTTTTTGTTTTATTTTGTTTTGTTTTGTTTTGTTTTGTTTTGAGACGGAGTCTCGCTCTTTCGCCCAGGCCAGAATGCAGTGGCGCAATCTCGGCTCACTGCAAGCTCCGCCTCCCGGGTTCACGCCATTCTCCTGCCTCAGCCTCCCGAGTAGCTGGGACTACAGGCACCCGCCACCGCACCTGGCTAATTTTTTGTATTTTTTTGTTTTTTAGTAGAGACGGGGTTTCACCATGTTAGCCAGGATGGTCTCAATCTCCTGACCTCGTGATCCACCCGCCTTGGCCTCCCAAAGTGCTGGGATTACAGGCGTGAGCCACCGCACCTGGCCCTGTTTGGGTTTTTTTTTAAAGCTAGGGTAAAAGATCCTGCAGTCACTGGCTGTTTTCCCCTTTTTTCTTCTCCCCATACTGCGGGGGTCAGAGCAGTCCCTGAGGTCTGTAAATCTGGGTGCTGTCCCAGCACCCCACCATGCCATGGCCAGCCCCAAGGTACAATTGGTAGAGAGGCAGGTTCTTGTATGATGCCATCCCGCTGAAGGTAGCTGGTGGACATGAATGCTTGAAAAGGTCATCTCCACCCAGGCCTGCCTCGCCGTGGCCATCAGTGGTAGGGTGAAGGCAGTTCTGGGCTAAGGACAACATAGGCTAGGGCAGGCAATGACTCTGGTCTGATATGACACACCTAGAATGGCTACACAGTCTTCCTCACTCCCTCTGTGGAGTTGAATGAGCATCAGCAGTAGCTGAGAGCCTCATAGGCTTCTGAGCCTCCTCCAAAACACACACACGCATACATGCAGCATGCATGCAGGTGAGCTTACACACACACGTGCCACACATGCAGAGAAACAGATGCAAACCTGGGTATGTGGACAGCTGGAGTCAAATGACCCAGCTCCCATCTTGTAAGACATGATGCACTGTGGCCAAGACGTAGAGAGTCTTACTCCTGTCTAACTCAGTAAAGCCCACAAGGAGATTAAAGCTTCCAGACTGTCAGTGAACACTGGGGGTGTTTAAACTCTAATTCTCCACCCTCTCTGCATAGCTGATTGGGCTGCATCTTCTGGAGTCAGGCCAATTTGGACTTGGAGTCAAATTGAGGGAGGCTGGGCATGCCCCCAGCCCTGGGACAAATCAGTATGAGGCTCCCCATCCATTCTCTGAGTCATGGCTGTATGAAGGTTGGCTTTCCAGCTGCCTGTCTTCCCGTTCTGCTCCCTCCTGCCTCTAGCTGGTGTGCACAGCAGAATCGTTCCAGTGCCTGCCTAGTACTTTGGAGTCTCTGCAGGCCTAGACTGTAGCACTGTGTTATAAGCAAGGTTGATCCAAACTTGCTTAGAAGCAACCTTGTTACAAGAAAGAATTATTATCCATTTGGAATCTGCAGACTTTGGAGGGTAGGCGCTTCTTTCTGTAGCTCTGAAGCATGAGGCTCTGGAGTTGGTGGGGGACGTGCTGATGGAAGGATCCTTGTGCCACGCAAAGGTTGGGGTGATGAGTGATCGACGGTCCCCAATGGGCTCCCCAGGGGACCAGGACAGAAGCTCCACGCGAGGGCTGCAAAGGGAGCTTGCACCAGAGCTGACTCTATAGAGGAAGCTCCCACACCCCAACACACCCACGACACACACACACACACACACACACACACACACACACATCCATACATCAAGCATAGTTGCAGCTCCCAGACTGAGTGCCTGGCCTGGGAACAGGGTGGCAGGGAAGGGAGGGGGCGGGGACA
Organism: Homo sapiens; assembly: GCF_000001405.40. Taxonomy (NCBI): domain Eukaryota; kingdom Metazoa; phylum Chordata; class Mammalia; order Primates; family Hominidae; genus Homo; species Homo sapiens. The sequence continues at coordinate 23,328,625 of NC_000008.11, read as the reverse complement.
GTGGTCACCCGCTGAACGTGCATCAGCGTCTGTACTCAGCAGGACCGTGTGTCTCTTCAGCAACCCCTGGTGCGACTGAGAGGCGGTGCCTACATCGGGGAGGGCCGCGTGGAGGTGCTCAAAAATGGAGAATGGGGGACCGTCTGCGACGACAAGTGGGACCTGGTGTCGGCCAGTGTGGTCTGCAGAGAGCTGGGCTTTGGGAGTGCCAAAGAGGCAGTCACTGGCTCCCGACTGGGGCAAGGTAAGGAATGGGGAGGCTAGAGGGGGCCTCTCTTCCTGGGAGCATGGTGCCGTGAGCCCAGCCTGGCTGCTGGCCGTGAGCTCTCGGGAAATCCTCACTTTCCCTCCTCCCTTTAGTGGCTGCCTGGGAGAGAATCCCAGGCCTCTCCCTAGACAGAGTTGAAAGGGGCCTTAGAGAACACTGAGACCCTATTTTATAGATTTGGAAGCAGAGGCCCAAAAGACGGAGTAAACATCCAAGGTGAGATAACATATTAGCAGCCAATGAATACTCCCCCGTAGGTCTCCCAGCTCCTAACCCAGTGCTCTCTGCTGTCTTACCAAAAAACGCCAGGGTTCTCAGGCCCCTCCTGCAGGAGAGGGCCTCCGAGTTCACCAGACTGAACCACTCTGTACAACAAAAGGACCAAATGCCATCTTACTTTTCCTCCCTGGAGCAGCCCTGCACACACTCCCTCCCTGACAGCAGAGAAAGGGAACAAGAAGCCGCCCTCCGGATGTCCTCAGACTAATTGAGAAAGGGCCTGCTTTTTATTAACTGTCCTGAACAAATCTTTCATGTGAGCAAAAAAACGGAAGGGAGGCTTTCAAGTGGGTCCGTTGGTGGAAAGTGATGTTGCAGCTAGAAGACGACACAGAAGAGGTCATTTCTCCTCCCCAGGAAGCCCCACGACCACCATTTATCCTTGCGAGCCTTGGTCATTCAACAGGGGGAGATTTTACCCCGAACAGACTGTGCGGTCTAGGAGTGCCCAGTCTTCCCCGAGACAACTGTGACTTGAGTGAGGGAAGTCATGGTCATTTCCTGGAATCTTTTCAGCCTTGACCAGCAGGGAGGCCGCTGCAGACCGTCGGCTGCTATGGCTGGGAAGGGATAGGTAGGAAGCAGAATAGGCTACAGACAAGCGGTGGGGTGGCCTGTCCAGTGGGGAGGGGATATTTCCATAGTGTCAGATGTTGGGCCATCACCCCACAGAAAGGAATGTGGTGAGGTCACTGATCACAGCCTGGAAGAAATGATAGCCCTCACTAGCCCAGGGCCTCACACCACATCCAGTGGTTTTCTGTGTGAGACTGTAGAATCCTGCATTGAACTTAACCTCCAGCTGAGTCAAAGACCGTAGAGCTTTCCTCCTTCTAGAAGTGGAGCTCATCTGTCTAGTGCCATTGGTTGGTTCTTTCTACGGCCTACCCATGCCCTAGCCTGCAGTGGGTCAGCTCTTACAGGGTGCCCTGACGTTGGAAGGAAGCCCGCATTCCAGTGGCCTCGAGAGAGTCCTGAAATGATGGACAGTACTGCTGGAGAGACCTCAGGTCCTCTAGTCCAAGAGTTGAGGAGAACAAGTCTGAGGTCACCCCATTCATTGCTGGCAGAGAAAGACTGAAAGCCAAGTCTTCTAACTCTCAGACAAGGGCTTCTTCCTTATGCCCACCTTGGCCCAGTCCTGTTCACATTCAGAATGTCTCTCTGCCTCTGTTCTCCAGTCTGTGCAAGCTTCCAGGTGTGCACTGAAGTTTGGAGGTCTGGGGTGCACTCTGAGTCACATCATGCCACCTGGCAGCTTCCATTGGGCCATATAACAGTGCTCCTTCCCTGGGCATGGTGAGCTCCACAGGATCCCCTGGATCTTTTTTGGAGACAGAGTCTCACTCAGTCACCCAGCACAGTGGCGCGATCTCGGCTCACTGCAACCTCTGCCTCCCCGGTTCAAGCAATTATCCTGCCTCAGCCTCCCAGGTAGCTTGGATTATGGGTGTGCACCACCACACCCAGCTAATTTTTGTATTTTTAGTAAAGACGGGGTTTCACCATGTTGGCCAGGCTGGTCTTGAACTCCTGACCTCAAGTGATCCACCCACCTCGGTCTCCCAAAGTGCTGGGATTATAGACACGAGCCACTGCACCTGGCCTCCCTGGATCTTGACTATCCCTGCAGTCATTTACTGATTGGCCGATGTGTGGGTTTGTGCTCTCCAAGGGCCTACAGGACAAAGACCACTCATTCTGAGGAATAAACAGGCCCTCGATGACATAAACATTCCATTTATCATGGGTGTGTGCTATGTGACCTAATCATTTCACTGCCCAGAGCAGCCAGAGGTTTCCAGGGGCCTGCAGAACTCTGGGAGAAAGAGGCATTTGGCATTTTGGATGCTGTCCTTGTAAGAAGCAGTGGATGATTGATATCTCCTGTCATGCTGGGCAGGGTCAACTCTAGTAGGCAGAAAGGGAAAAGTACCACATTTAATGTCAAGTCACAGAGCAGACAGGGTCAGCCCCTCAGCCCTGGCTCTAGCTGATGGACTCAGTGACCACACCCACAGCCACGAGGCATGAAAGGGCAATGACTGTGAGTCGGGCAATCTGAGTCCTCCTCCCTGCCCAGCCACCTGCTTGCTTGGTGACCTTGAGCAACCTTCTGGGCCTCAGATTCTTCACTGTGAAACAAGGTGGCTGGACGCACAGCACCTGCAGCTCTGACTGGCTCCAGCCTCACCAGCATAGACATGAGGTCCTGGTCAGGCTCTCTGCTCTGTGCCTTAGGACCCCTGCCCGCATCGGGACCCCAACTGCCTGTTGGTGCCTCCATGTCCCTGCAAGGCTGCATGCCACATGAGGGGAGCACCTGTGTCTTTATCTCTGTGTCCTTAGTGCCGAGTCCGCCAGCATGCAGCGCTCCAGTGCTATTCAGTTGTAAGGAATGAATGAATGTGTTCCAGTTGAATCAGTAGGATCAGTAGAACAAATACTTGGTGAAGAAGTTCCAACACTAGACCGGTGCTGTCTGATAGAAACAGAACAGGACTCACGCCTGTAATCCCAGGACTTTGGGAAGCAGAGGCAGGAGGATCACTTGAGCCTGGGAGTTCAAGACGAGCCTGGGCAACATAGTGAGACCCCCTCTCTACAAAATTTTTTTAAAAATTAGCCAGACATGGTGGTACACACCTGTGGTCCCAGCTACTCAGAAGGCTGAGGTGGGAGGATCACTTGAGCCCTCGAGGTAGGCTGCAGTGAACCATGATCATGTCACTGCACTCCAGCTTGAGTGACATAGCGAGACTCTGTCTCTCAAAAAGAAAACAAATAGAACCGGAACCACGCATGTAACTTTGCATTTTCTAGTAGCCACAATTTTAAAAAGATGACGTTAGCTTTAATAATGTATTTTCTTTAAACCAGTGTATCCAAAATATTATTTCAACATGTAATCAATATGAATGCTATTAATGAGATCATTTGCATATTTGGTGCTAAGTCTTTGAAATCCAGTATGTATTTTACACTTAACAGACCTCTCAGTTTGTCTGCATTTCTGAGTAGACAAACTGGCTGGCTACATTTCAAGTGCTCAATAGCCACATGCAGCTGGTGGCTCCTGTACTGGAGGGGGCAGCTCCCCAGTTTTACAGCAGTGGCTTGAAAACCCTTTTGCATGCAGTCCCCAAGAAGGAATGCATGTGACATGTAAAACTCCAGCAAAGGTTTTCTAAACAAGAGCTTAGCTTTACAATATGCAGAACCCGTGACATGTCCTATTCTGTTCTCTTGTGCTTCCTACAATCTGAATGTAACCAGCTTAGTTGACAGTTCAGCCCACTCATTGGCCTGGACCCATGGAAGCCGTAACACTGCTCTATGATGTTAGACGCGGCTTTTCCACTGTGCCCTAATTCTGCCTCACGCCTTGTGGTCACCTAGGCCAGGGTTTGTATGTGGAGAAGAACAGAGCCAAGGTGGAGACGGGGAAGGCACCATGAGGAGGAGCAATTCAGGGGTGCTCCAGAACACAGGAGTAGGTGACAGCTGCAGGTCAAGGATGCAGAATGCCAAGCCCAGGTCAGCAGAAGGAACCAGAAGTCCACAGACACCCAGACGCTGAAGCCAGACACCCAGTCCAGTGTCCTTCGGAGCCTCTTCCACCCTGCCCAACCCCCCACGGAACTCAGTGGGGCAGGAAGAGAGTGAGCCACACTGGGCCTCTTTCTCTGTGCCCTTCCTTGGACGCACCATGGGTATGTGTGCTTCAGGAGGGAGGCCCTGCCCCCCGGAGCCTTGTCCCCAGATGTCTGAGACAGCCACGCAAGTTTACATAGACGTTCAGCCACAAGGAGACTGACCCCAGATGGCTGAGACAGCCACGCAAGTTTACACAGAAGTTCAGCCAGAAGGAGACCAACCAGTTGAGTCTGAAGCATGCTAGGCTCTTAAGTTGGCTTTACCTGTCCTGTCCAGTCTTGAGCTGTAGTCTTAGCAATCCACAAACACTGTTTGAGTGCTTTTCAGCCTGGATCCTGGAATGAAGAATTCATTTATTCCACAAATGCTCCGCTCTCCAGGAGTTCATGTCAAGTGGCAGAAATAAGAAATAACCTTAATCAGGCCAGGCATGGTGGCTTGCATCTGTAATCCCAGCACTTTGGGAGGCCGAGGCGGGCAGATCACAAGGTCAAGAGATCGAGACCATCCTGGCCAACATGGTGAAACCCCATGTCTACTAAAAACACAAAAATTAGCTGGGCATGGTGGCATGTGCCTGTATTTCCAGCTACTCAGGAGGCCAAGGCAGAAGAATCGCTTGAACCTGGGAGGTGGAGGTTGCAGTGAGCCGAGATGGCGTCACTGCACTCCAGCCTGGGCAACAGAGCAAGAGTTCGTCCCACCCCCACCCCCCCAAAAAAAAAATCCCGATCTGGCAAAACACATATTATAATTAATTGGCCTTTTACAAATGAGGAAGGTAGAGCTAAAGCTTTTATCACTCCAAGGATTCAACCTAATCTTCAGCCTCAAGCTGAATTCAATCTCAGGCTGCCTGCCCAGCTCACTGCCGCTTGAGCAAGATGTGTAAAAAGCAAAAGTTCAGACAAGTGGGAGGTCTTTCAAGCTGCACCATGGAGGAAGCTGGAGGTTTTTCTTCAAGGCAGGCTTCTCCTTAGGTGGAGGCAGAAAGAGGACAGTGCAGGAGGCAGGAGACAGCGAGGGCTTCCCTAGAGGGAGGAGAGCGTGGGCGTTTGGACCAGATCAGCCCAGCTGTTTCCCAGACAGAACCTTCTGCTCTTTCCTAACATAGGGTTTTCTCTCCTGACTGTCTCTGTGCCCATGAGCTGTGGGCCTTGCTTGCTTCCTGGGCTCTGATTAGGATCGGTGCCTTGTCACAGCCTTTCCATGCTAGTCCTTCGATGCTTCCAGCCACCATCACCGATGCATTTTTATGCATTTTATAAAATTCCAAAGAATTGGAAGCATCATCATTTATGAGTTTCCAAGGAAATAGAAACTTGGCTCCTGCCTGATAATATTGGTTGATCTAGAAGTTGGTTTTTGGCCTCAGTAAGCCTGGATACCAGCTGTCTCCAGAACTCTCCGGCAGAGTCGAGGGCCCTCCTTTAAGCCCCAGAGCACCTGTTGTGACCTTCATCTTTGTTACTGACCATGTCATATCACAAGCATTTGTGTAAGTTCTGCCTCCCCCAGGAACTGGGAGCTCTTCGGGGCAGGGGCCTGCCTTACCCATCTTTGAATCCTCAGCCCCTAGCAGGGAGGCAGAGGGTAACGGGCGTGGTATCTATGCCTGTGTCACTAGCTCCTGAGTACTGGACTGTGCTCTGTGATTTCCCTTCACTCCATCCATACCTTTATTTTTAAAATCCCTTTTTCTAACTCAATCCAATTTGTACATGCCATCTGTTTCCTGCAGGGACCCTTGACAGATACAGCAATAGTTGTACCTTTGAGATTCATAAATGCATGGAATATTAAAGTCGGGAAGGAAACTTATACAACTTCTAGTCCAATTCCTTTGGACTAGAAAAAGGATGAGAGAAAACTGGTATTCAGAGAGGCTGAGTGATCGGCCAAGGTCACACAGCAAATCAGTAGCAAACTTTATTTGCTCTTGGGGGATAAGTGAATCCCAAGAGAATTAGCACTGTTCTCTCTGGGGAGAAGAGGCTTGGGTCATTGAGCTGATTACAAGAGGCAGTGGGGAGAGTTCTGAGGATGGGAGAGGCATGTTCTTATTGTCCAGGGCTTTCTTGCCACTCCAGAAAGTTTCCTTCCAAAGCTTTCATAGAGCATGTTTATTCTCCCCTTGCAGGGATCGGACCCATCCACCTCAACGAGATCCAGTGCACAGGCAATGAGAAGTCCATTATAGACTGCAAGTTCAATGCCGAGTCTCAGGGCTGCAACCACGAGGAGGATGCTGGTGTGAGATGCAACACCCCTGCCATGGGCTTGCAGAAGAAGGTGATGGGACTGGACACCTAGAGGGGACTGTAACTGAGGCTGCAGAAAGTATAGCCACAGAGCTCTGGGGTGAACCCTGGAAGTGACCAGGTGCTGCTGCTAGTACTGCTGCAGACATTGCCACTTGGCATTTGCAATGTTTAGTTCCCCCTCGAACCTCGGGCCTGGCCCTGGCCCGGCAGCAGGCCCAAGCCCCTGTGTGCAGTGTGAGCTGGAAAGGCCCTGCCTCCTTGCATGTTAACATCTGAGGTGAGTTACCTCACCTCTGCCCCACCACCTCCAAAGACAGGCGTGGGACCGGCTAGCCACAACCTTATCAAAACACGGTGCAGCCTGGCTGTGCTCTGCTGGCTGGAGGCGTTCTCTTTCCTCTATTCATGTTCAGAAAAAAACTGGGCTGCCACACACTTCGCTCCCTTCTTTAAAACCCTGTGCTGCTGCCACTGAGAACCAAAGGAACAGGAAAAGGGAAATGCCTGGGCTGTTTTAAGAGACTTGGAAAGGGCTTGACCTTCCCTGGCATCCTCCTTGGGTGAGGAGGTGGAGAGGGTGAGGACAGAGGCTCCTGGCTGACCATGAGGTCCCATACGCTCCATTGTCACTGGTGAGGTCAGACCCCGCTCACCAGAAAGCCACACGGTTACCAGGATGCTGACGCTCTACGTGGGGCTCTGGGAATGGCAAGCTGTGTCCTTTGCTGAGTTAGAACTGCATGCCAGCTACACTGTGCGCTCCAGTCTTCTCTAGAAAATGAGAAAAGCCCCCCAGTGCATGAAGTGTCCAGATTCCTTCCAGAACAGTCAAACCCTTCTCTCTGTCCTAGAGGCCATCCCGGGCCTGGTAAGCCTTAACGCCTTGGAGCCTTGGCAGGTGCCCTTGGTGACCATGTGTTTTCCTGGCCCCAGAGGCAACGAGGCAGCCACATTCCGCAGCCAGAGCCTCTGAGACTTGCCTTGGCTTTAGGACCTAGAGCAGGAACACTGCTCTGGCTCAGGCAAGAGATGAGGGAGGGTAGGGAAGGACTGGAGGGAAGTGGATGCATTGGAGAGAGACGAGAGATAAAACCCACAGGTGAAGACCGACAGGATGTGAGATAAGAGAGTGGGAGATGTCAAGAATTGCTCCTCTGTTTCTGGCTTGAATAACAGCAGATTCAGGAGCCAAGAAACTATGATATGTGGCCAAGCCCACCCTTCCTCCTGGTTTTTTATTCGTTTGTTTTTTGAGACGGTCTTGCTCTGTTGCCCAAGCTGGAGTGCAGTGGTATGATCATAGCCCACTGCAACCTGAAACTTCTGGGCTCAAGGGATCCTCCCACCTCCCGAGTAGCGGGGACTACAGGTATGCACCACCATACCTGGCTCATTTTTTAAACTTATTTTTTTGTAGAGATGGGGTCTCACTATGTTGCGCAGGCTGGTCTCAAAACCCTGGGCTTAAGTGATCCTCCCACCTTGGCCCCGCAAAGTGCTGGGATTACAGGCATGAGCTACCATACCCAGCCTCTTTTTTAAGATAAAGTTGTATCGGAACATGGCCACACCCGGTCATTTAGGGTAAAGAGAAAAGACAGCAAGTTCAGATTTGTGATCTCTGAGATACCAAGTGGGGTTGTCAAACAGGCAGCTGGTTAGGTGGGCCTCAGACCAGCAGGAGAGCCATGGGACAAGATGCCAGTGGCTCTGGAACCCGCCAGGTAGGGGATGTGGCAAAGAGAAAAGTGCCCAGGCAGGAGTCTTGTGGGATTCCAACATGTCAAGGTCCCGAGGGCACCATCCTCCCAAAGAGCAGCCCCCCACTGATAGGCTCATGGGGAGCAGGGTCAGCTTCTGCTGTGGGGCTCAGTGGAGTCACAGGGCCTCCCCAGCTGCTTAGGGTGCCTGGGGTGGGGACCTCACTATAAGACCATGCTAGGCACAGCGCTGCCACCGGGGGCTCCCAAGGGTGCTGCTGAATCTGAGTGTGTCCCGGGCAGCACCACCTGGCTTAGGACTCCAGGACACTGGGGCTGATGGCAGCGTAGGGGGGAAGCTCCCTTGTCCCTCTTGGTGACCGTGGCCTGCCTTTGTGTCTGCAGCTGCGCCTGAACGGCGGCCGCAATCCCTACGAGGGCCGAGTGGAGGTGCTGGTGGAGAGAAACGGGTCCCTTGTGTGGGGGATGGTGTGTGGCCAAAACTGGGGCATCGTGGAGGCCATGGTGGTCTGCCGCCAGCTGGGCCTGGGATTCGCCAGCAACGCCTTCCAGGTGAGAAGCCCCGGCCTCAGACCCCGCATTCACCCCCCATGCAGTCTGACCACACTGTCTTCAGTCAGCCCCCCTCTCCCACGTACCCTCCCTAGCCGTGCAGGCAGGACAGAGCAAGTTGCCCTGGACCCAGAGGCAGGGAGCCTCGCTCTGGCCACAGCGCTGCTCCTTACAGGCCTGAGTCCTCGGGCAGGTCGCTCCCATCTCTGCCTCTATTTCTCGGCTGCAGAACGAGGGGCTGGGCTCTGCTTTTCATGGTCCACTCCTGCTCTGCACACTGGGGTTCACCCTGGGCTCAAGACTGATCCTGGGGGTTCCTGATGTGCCTTGTGCAGAAGGAACCAACTCAGTCCTTCGGGGAGGTGGTGACCCCCAGCCCAAGGCTCAACCCCCGCTAAACGCCTTAGCTTGCTCCCTTGAAACCCGCTCTGGTCTGAACACGTTTCCCCGCTGGCATCTGTGCCTAATGCATTCTCCCATTGACACGCTAGGGAATCTCCAAGCCTTGTCACATCAGCTGCACTTCCTCCCACTGCCCCCTCTCCAAAGAGAGTGACTCAGCTGAGAACAGCTGAGCTCTGGTCCTAGTTCCCACCCTCCCGCCCCCATCACAGAGCAGCAACAAAATAGGAGGCTCTGGGTCTAATCCCGACGCATTCCCACCAGCTGGCTGTGTAATGGTCTGAGGCAAAGCAGCCACCCTTCCCTGCCTCAGTTGTCCTCCCTGTGACATGGAATGAATAATCCCAAGACCTCAGTATCCTGGTTGTAAACACTTCCATTAAGCAGCTTACATAACGGGAAGATGCTTGGAGACCCTGCTCTTGTGTTGTTAACCCTGACTCCAGCTCTCCTTCCCCAGTGGTCCTTCTTGGGGCCTAAGAAAGGGGTTTAGGGAGAGAAGAGGAGAATTCCTGCATCCTTACTGAGCCTGACTGTCTCCCATGGGCTGGGTGGGTCCCAGGTTGCTCCAATGGGAGGTCCTGAGCCCTGAGCAGAAGCTGCCTGGGATCCCCTGCCCTGTGGCTCCTCATTCCGGCATCCAGAAGAGACAGGCCTTTAAAATAGCTGCTTACGCCCTCTGGGAGCTTGGCCTCCCCAGGCAACGCAGTGTTTCTGCTAATATTGTTTATGACAAGCCAGGGCACTCTCTAAATCTCCAAGGAGAGTGGAAAAACGGTGCCACATTTCAAGGGAGTCTTCAACCAGATATTTTTCTTCCCAGTCAGCTCATTCCTAAGACACCTGGGCCTCAGCTGGGGTCTTGAAATAGGCCTGGGACTGACATTTGTACCAAATCTGCCACTGATTACAAGCCCCATCCCTTCTCAAGTCCTCATTTTTTTCATCTGGAGGATGGAGGTGGGTATTGGTCAAGTTCTCTAGAGAAACAAAACCAGTAGGTTGTATGAATGTGTATTTTTGTGTGTGTGTGTGTGTGTGTGTGTGTGTGTGTGTGCTATCAACCAATAGGATGTATGAATGTGTGTTTATATATGTGTATGTATATCTCTCACACACACAGCATGAAGAAAGATATTTCTTTTAAGGAATTGGCTCATCCAATTATGGGGCTGGCAGGTCTGAAGTCTGCAGAGTAGACCAGCCGGCTGGAAGCATTGATGTTGCAGCTAGAGTCTGAAGTCAGTCTGTGGTCAGAATGGCTTCTTCCTTGGGAGGCCTCAGGTTTTTTGGGTTTTTTTTTTTTTTACCCCTTAAGATCCTCAACCGATTGGATAAGAATTGCCCATATTATGGAGGGTAATCTGCCTTACTCAAAGTCTACTGATTAAAATGTTAATCTCATCTAAAAACAGCCTCACGTAAGCATCTAGAATAGTGTTTGACCAAATATCTGGGTACTGTGGCTTAGCCAAGTTGACACGTAAAATGAACCATCACAGGAGAGTTTAGATGAGATACTAATACTTCCAAGGCCCTTCCTATCCTGATGGTCTGTCTCTGACGATCCCGAGAAGACCTCCCTGAGCTCTAATCCTGCCTCAGCCTCCAAGCCCGAGAGACCTGAGGAACACAGCACCTGTGTTCTCATCCCGTTTCTGTACCTGACGATCCCAATTCTGCTCCTCATTTTTCTCTGCTGGAAACTTCTCTGAAGTGTGAGAGTAAATCCTAACAGTATTTCGAAGGCCCATAGAGCAAAGGGGCCAAATAAATCCCAGCATCCTAAGCCTCGGATCTCCTCAGCTTCTGTGCAGAACTACTCTATTAATTGCTCTTTAAACTGGGGAAAAGTCTAAATTCAGAAGTTCGTCTTTATAACATGTCTAATGATTGACCTATGCAAATAGATTTCTTCTTCTCTCCCACCACTTCCAATCAACCAGTAACATCTTCCTGGAGCACTGTGTTGAGAAGGATTCTGAGATCCTATTCGGGCTTAGAGGAGAGAGTGCTGTGATTGATTAGCAATGTCTGCCCTGGATCAGGACTGGGGAGTGGGCAACCTGAGTTGTGTGCACCTGCCATTCCTGACACACAGCCTTGCAGTGTCTGACCACAACCTTAGCTCTACTTCCCTGAGGGAGAGAGTGACAGAGTCCAAGTGCTACACTCAGGAGACCTGGATTCCCACTCACTCTGCCACCAACTAACTGCACAGCTTGGATAGGTGACCCTCCGTGCTGTTTCGATCTGAAAAATGGGATCATGAAACATTGGGATTTTTGTGAGGCTGCAAGTTGATAGGATATGAGAAAGTGACAGTTTGAGATGATGTACCCACCATTTGTTTTGTTGGTTCTTCCAGGAGACCTGGTATTGGCACGGAGATGTCAACAGCAACAAAGTGGTCATGAGTGGAGTGAAGTGCTCGGGAACGGAGCTGTCCCTGGCGCACTGCCGCCACGACGGGGAGGACGTGGCCTGCCCCCAGGGCGGAGTGCAGTACGGGGCCGGAGTTGCCTGCTCAGAAAGTGAGAGCTCCTCCCCTCCCTCCCCACCGGGCTCCCAAGGGGACCAGAGTCCCACCAGTTATTCCTCAAGAGACTCTGAAGCCTTGCCATGAGCCAAGCAATAGAGGAAGGTAGAATGAAATCCTAAGGGAGAAAAACTGGGGGCAAGAGAGATGACCGCCACCCCAACCACAGATCGCTGTCTATGATGTAGTGGGGAGAAAAGCGGGAGGGAGGGGCTGCAGTCTGTAGCCCGGATTCAGTCACAGGACCACTGCTACTGCAGTGACCCAGGGCAGACTACATGACTGAGAGTGCCTCCGTCATGCCAGTTAAATGAGGTCGATGACATCTTCCATGGGTGTTGGCTTCCTCCCTCCACCTCCTCTGTAGAGCATTTCCTGTTTTCAGACCCTGGAGGTCACTTAGCTGCCCGGTAGTTCGCTGGGAGTCCTAGAGAGATTGAGCCCACAGAAGGGAATGCCAGCCAGGATTCAGGATGACCCACTTCCTGAAGCCTCCCTCCCATGCTGAGAGAAGAGGAGCAGTAGACAACCTTTTGGAATGCTGCCCTCCTGAGCCCAAACCCAGCCCTCCCTTTCCTGGCCTTGTAATATAAACCCACACGCAGCCATCTCCATTGGGAGGCCCAGGTGCTGGCCAGAGAACTTGAGACCAGACCCTGCCTTATTGGCTGATCTTGGAAAAGCGTGTCAGCCTCTGTGGTCTTTAGTTGTAGTTTTCCTTAGAAATTAGAAATCAAGTGTGACAATTAATATGTGCAAGGGCTTCATAAACAAAGATGCACTGTCATCCTGCCATCACGGAGAACGCGGGATTGAACAGCAGCTGCGTCTCCCACCAACCCCTTTTAGACTCACTAGCATCTCCTAGCCCTTGCAAAGCAGGACCTCAGGGCAGGCTTCGCTGGGCAGACATCACAAGCTATCACATCCTTGTGAGAGGAGAGATGGCGAGATCACCATCTTACCAGCTCCCCGGGGGAAAGCATCCCAGCAAAGAGGAACAGCCACTTCCCTGTCGGGGGCCTTTTCTTTATTTATCAATTTATTTATATTTGCAATATCCCATCTTTTCCAGAAGGAAATGAAGATAATACAAACCTAAATACAATTCAAGATAGCATAAAATAAAAACAGATGAAAGATAGACAGGTGCTGGCAAAATGGTAGTGGCTTAAAATGGAGCCAGGGAGGGGTTAATTTTACAAATGTGTACTAGGGGGTTCTATGCATTTATTATGAGTAGGTCATTCATTTCACAGTGAGCTTCCTAGCAGCCAGAGCAAAGAGAATACTGGTCATTAATATAACTAACAGTACCTGTGAGATAGAAATATGGCTGTGAGTCAAGAGAAGCCCACCACTCTAGAGATTAAAGGGAATTTCTCTCTGAGGACTGAGATTTATGAGATGAGCCATGCCGTCAGATCCTCATGGGAGATCCAAAAATGAGTTTCATGGGGCGATTTCTCAGAATGCTCCACAGCTTAGGCTGAAGCATCACTGGGAGTGTGTCTGCAGCGGGGCAGTAGGCTTTGGGGCCAGGAACACAGCTCTTGGCTGCTCTGGCTAAATGCACGTTAGAGTATTCAGGGAAATAAAGTAATTCTTCAGGCAACCCTTCATAATATCTTATTCTCACCCCACCAACTGCATATGCTAGAAATCTACACAACCTCCTTGATTCTCCCTCTTCCCCACCACCCCCATGTCCAGTCCCTCTTGATTTTTACCTTTCAGTATTTTCTCAACCTTCTGTATGTCTTTCCCTGCCACTGTTGCTGCCTGTGTCCAGATGACCACACAGCATCACTGCAAAGGAGATCCCTACAGTGATACGTGGCCCTGCGGTGGCTTCCCCTCCTCTCCCCTCCCCAAAGCCAGAGCCAAGGCCACGTCCCACTTAAATCCCACCCAAGGGTCCCACTGCACTTCCGTGACCAGGGGCTCGCACGGGGCTTGTGTTGTCCAGCCTCCTCGCTGGCCACCCCCTCCCATCCTCAGTGACTGCACCACACTGGCTTTGACCCTCCGTGGTGCCGCAGGGGCCTGGCACAGGCTACTTGTTTTTTGTTGTTGTTTTTCTCCTTTTTTATTTTTATTTTTATTTTTTTCTTTTTTCGTTTTATTTATGTATTTATGTATTTATTATTATTATACTTTAAGTTTTAAGGTACATGTGCACAATGTGCAGGTTATTTACATATGTATACATGTGCCATGCTGGTGCGCTGCACCCACTAACTCGTCATCTAGCATTAGGTATATCTCCCAGTGCTATCCCTCCCCTCTCCCCGCACCCCACAACAGTCCCCAGAGTGTGATGTTCCCCTTCCTGTGTCCGTGTGTTCTCATTGTTCAGTTCCCACCTATGAGTGAGAATATGCGGTGTTTGGTTTTTTGTTCTTGCGATAGTTTACTGAGAATGATGATTTCCAATTTCATCCATGTCCCTACAAAGGACATGAACTTATCATTTTTTATGGCTGCATAGTATTCCATGGTGTATATGTGCCACATTTTCTTAATCCAGTCTATCATTGTTGGACATTTGGGTTGGTTCCAAGTCTTTGCTATCGTGAATAGTACCGCAATAAACATACGTGTGCATGTGTCTTTATAGCAGCATGATTTATAGTCCTTTGGGTATATACCCAGTAATGGGATGGCTGGGTCAAATGGTATTTCTAGTTCTAGATCCCTGAGGAATCGCCACACTGACTTCCACAATGGTTGAACTAGTTTACAGTCCCACCAACAGTGTAAAAGTGTTCCTATCTCTCTACATCCTCTCCAGCACCTGTTGTTCCCTGACTTTTGAATGATTGCCATTCTAACTGGTGTGAGATGGTATCTCATTGTGGTTTTGATTTGCATTTCTCTGATGGCCAGTGATGGTGAGCATTTTTTCATGTGTTTTTTGGCTGCATAAATGTCTTCTTTTGAGAAGTGTCTGTTCATATCCTTCGCCCACTTTTTGATGGGGTTGTTTTTTTCTTGTAAATTTGTTTGAGTTCATTGTAGATTCTGGATATTAGCCCTTTGTCAGATGAGTAGGTTGCCAAAATTTTCTCCCATTTTGTAGGTTGCCTGTTCACTCTGATGGTAGTTTCTTTTGCTGTGCAGAGCTCTTTAGTTTAATTAGATCCCATTTGTCAATTTAGGCTTTTGTTGCCATTGCTTTTGGTGTTTTAGACATGAAGTCCTTGCCCATGCCTATGTCCTGAATGGTAATGCCTAGGTTTTCTTCTAGGGTTTTTATGGTTTTAGGTCTAATGTTTAAGTCTTTAATCCATCTTGAATTGATTTTTGTAGAAGGTGTGAGGAAGGGATCCAGTTTCAGCTTTCTACATATGGCTAGCCAGTTTTCTCAGCACCATTTATTAAATAGGGAATCCTTTCCCCATTGCTTGTTTTTCTCAGGTTTGTCAAAGATCAGATAGTTGTAGATATGCAGCGTTATTTCTGAGGGCTCTGTTCTGTTCCATTGATCTATATCTCTGTTTTGGTACCAGTACCATGCTGTTTTGGTTACTGTAGCCTTGTAGTGTAGTTTGAAGTCAGGTAGTGTGATGCCTCCAGCTTTGTTCTTTTGGCTTACGATTGACTTGGTGATGCGGGCTCTTTTTTGGCTCCACATGAACTTTAAAGTAGTTTTTTCCAATTCTGTGAAGAAAGTCATTGGTAGCTTGATGGGGATGGCATTGAATCTGTAAATTACCTTGGGCAGTATGGCCATTTTCACGATACTGATTCTTCCTATCCATGAGCATGGAATGTTCTTCCATTTGTGTCCTCTTTTATTTTGTTGAGCAGTGGTTTGTAGTTCTCCTTGAAGAGGTCCTTCACATCCCTTGTAAGTTGGATTCCTAGGTATTTTATTCTCTTTGAAGCAATTGTGAATGGGAGTTCACTCATGATTTGGCTCTCTGTTCGTCTCTTGTTGGTGTATAAGAATGCTTGTGATTTTTGTACATTGATTTTGTATCCTGAGACTTTGCTGAAGTTGCTTATCAGCTTAAGGAGATTTTGGGCTGAGACAATGGGGTTTTCTAGATATACAATCATGTAGTCTGCAAACAGGGACAATTTGACTTCCTCTTTTCCTAATTGAATACCCTTTATTTCCTTCTCCTGCCTAATTGCCCTGGCCAGAACTTCCAACACTATGTTGAATAGGAGTGGTGAGAGAGGGCATCCCTGTCATGTGCCAGTTTTCAAAGGGAATGCTTCCAGTTTTTGCCCATTCAGTATGATATTGGCTGTGGGTTTGTCATAGATAGCTCTTATTATTTTGAAATACGTCCCATCAATACCTAATTTATTGAGAGTTTTTAGCATGAAGGGTTGTTGAATTTTGTCAAAGGCCTTTTCTGCATCTATTGAGATAATCATGTGGTTTTCATCTTTGGTTCTGTTTATATGCTGGATTACGTTTATTGATTTGCGTATATTGAACCAGCCTTGCATCCCAGGGATGAAGCCCACTTGATCATGGTGGATAAGCTTTTTGATGTGCTGCTGGATTCGGTTTGCCAGTATTTTATTGAGGATTTTTGCATCAATGTTCCTCAAGGATATTGGTCTAAAATTCTCTTTTTTGGTTGTGTCTCTGCCCAGCTTTGGTATCAGGATGATGCTGGCCTCATAAAATGAGTTAGGGAGGATTCCCTCTTTTTCTATTGATTGGAATAGTTTCAGAAGGAATGGTACCAGTTCCTCCTTATACCTCTGGTAGAATTCGGCTGTGAATCCATCTGGTCCTGGACTCTTTTTGGTTGGTAAGCTATTGATTATTGCCACAATTTCAGATCCTGTTATTGGTCTATTCAGAGATTCAGCTTCTTCTTGGTTTAGTCTTGGGACGGTGTATGTGTCGAGGAATTTATCCATTTCTTCTAGATTTCTAGTTTATTTGTGTAGAGGTGTTTGTAGTATTCTCTGATGGTAGTTTGTATTTCGGCACAGGCTATTTGTTTTGCCCTAGCCTCATCCTTAGTGTTACTTCCTCGAATCCCCACTCCTCCTTCAGAGAAAAACTAAAACACAACTTCTCCCAAAGCAGCCTCCTGACCACCTACCCGACAGGTTCCTCCCGTTACAATTCCCATCATATCTCCTGCCAGCTCTTGTTGCAGTAGTAATTATTATGTGCTGAATATGTCTGTCTCTTGTTAGTCTAGGGTAGTTCCACCTCTGCCTTGCTCAGCTCTGTCCAGAGAACCTAGCACAGAGCATCGTAATACTCGAGCCATGGGTAGGTGGGAGGATGCCACCTAGGAGTTCTGCTGCCTGCTGGATGCAGGGGAGGCCAAGTCCCCAACCCATGGCAGCTGTTGAGATTGCACATCTCAGGCTACCAGCTAAGCACAAACCATGGTACATTAACGATCCCTCGCCTTGCGAGCTGGCGGGAGAGCCCAAGTGGAGACCTCCATGCTCAGCTCAGAGGTATTCAGAGGGGCTGTCAACTAATAAGAGGCTCACATGACACCCTCATAAAAATAAGCGTGCCCAGAACACTCGGTGTAGGGCAATGCTGCATCCTGGCGTAGCCTCCAAGAAGAAATACTTGTCAGTAAACGGGAGCCTCCTGATTTACGGCTTCCGTGCCCCACCCCATGTGCCATCTGTGTGCACCTTTTCCCTACCCTTTGGTTCCACACCCAATTCTTGCGAGTGGATCTGCTCTCTAGAGGATGCCAGCTCCATCAGGTGCCAGTGAACTCACAGGGTTTACTGAGAACCCGCTGGACTCTGCTGCAGCCTGTAAGCCTGGAGGGGGAGGGGGAGAAGGGAGACAGAGCTCACTCCACGTGCTGGTGAACTTGAGGGAAGCAAAACTCACAGACTCTGCTTGCTTAAAATTTATAAGCAATTCTGCAAAGCAGTCTAGGGGGAAAAAAATTTACAAGCAACTTGTCAAAATAAAAGATGGCAGGATCTTGTGATCACTGATTCATATATGGCATTTTTCTGTGTACTAGAAGTGTTCACTGAAAGCTCACTTTTAAAGGTAAAGCCTACAGTTAATCCTTTTGCAAAGAAGCTAAGCTTTCTAATACAATTGTTTAGTAAACGTAGATTGTAGCCATCAGTCATTCTTTTAACACCTGCTATGTGCAGTGCACTAATTGAGTAAATCAAGCATTGTAAAAGACAGGCACCTGGGGAAAACTCTCCTGTGGGGCAGCAGTGTGTCCTGTGGAACCTGGAAGACCCTGTTAAGAAGGCAATTTGGCAGTAGGAATCAGAGACTTAAAAACAGACAATGCTTTCTCCTAGCACTTTCACTTACAGAGATATATTCTAAAGAAAAAAATAAGTTATATGCACAGATTTACTACAGGGTATTTATCACAGCTTGTAAGTGAAAAATTCCAAACAGCCAATATATCTAAAAATATGAGCTAGAGCTAGGAATTAAATCTTATGTAGCCATGAAATGAATGTGCTGTAATGGATATATGTCAATGTGAAAATATGTGAAGATGTATTTTAAGGGGAACTGTATTAGTGCACCATAAATCCACAGACAATATTATACATGTTGGAAAATACATCATTCCCAGAAGCAGCAGACCAAGGTATTAGAGGTGTTCTTTCTCTCTGGGTAGCACAATCACATCGTTATTGTTGTTTTTGCATTTTATTATGGAAAACTTGAAGCCACTTGAAGTAGAATAATATAATCAACCCCCACGTGCTCATCACTCACATTCAGTGCTTATGAGGCACAGGATCTGTTAACGTACCATGATCTGTGCTTCGCTCGTAGCCTAGGACCAGGTGTGTGAGATTTTAACATCTCGCTCATCTGCACCGATAACTGAAGAGTTGTCAAAGAGGACTCACAGCAGAGGAAAAGAGGAATTCAGGGTCTTGCTAAACAAGAAGGTAACCTTGAGGAGCCCTTGAGTCATTCCAGAAGGTGGCGGTAGGCAGGAGAGGGGGTTTGTCCCAGCTCAAGAATCAGAAGTAGAAGCCCTGGGGAGGGGTCTCTTGCCTTGTTGACCAGCATGCCATCCTCCGCAGCCGCCCCTGACCTGGTCCTCAATGCGGAGATGGTGCAGCAGACCACCTACCTGGAGGACCGGCCCATGTTCATGCTGCAGTGTGCCATGGAGGAGAACTGCCTCTCGGCCTCAGCCGCGCAGACCGACCCCACCACGGGCTACCGCCGGCTCCTGCGCTTCTCCTCCCAGATCCACAACAATGGCCAGTCCGACTTCCGGCCCAAGAACGGCCGCCACGCGTGGATCTGGCACGACTGTCACAGGTAGGCCTGGCTGGCCACCCTCCCCACTAAGCTGCCCGGCGGACATCCTGCAGGCCTCAGATGGGAGTTGAGAGTTGCCAGGGTCACTTAGAGCCAAGAGGCTGCATGGCCTGGGGATAGGATCCTCCTAAGTGGGGGGCTTGCATCTGCCACACTGGCTGTCAGATTTCCCGAAGCCATTCTCCACTCCAAGTTCCCCTGGCCTGCCACCCTTCTTCCTGCCTCCAATGCTTCTAACATCAGGAAACACACTTTGTTTTGAGCGCCCATACCCTCCTCGTTGACCTTCAGCCCATGGTTTCCAAGTGTGTCCACAGGTTTGTGTGCTGCCAGGTACTCCAGGCTGTGCAGTTGCTGGACTCTAAATTCCTTTAGAAATATTCCCAGCCTGGCGCGGTGGCTCACGCCTGTAATCCCAGCACTTTGGGAGGCCGAGGCGGGCGGATCACGAGGTCAGGAGATCAAGCCCATTCTGGCTAACACGGTGAAACCCCGTCTCTACTAAAAATACGAAAATTAGCCGGGCATGGTGGTGGATGCCTATAGCCTCAGCTACTTGGGAGGCTGAGGCAGGAGAATGGCGTGAACCCAGGAGGCGGAGGTTGCTGTGAGCTGAGATCACGCCACCACACTCCAGCATAGGCGACAGAGCCAGGCTCTGTCTCAAAAAAAAAAAATATATATATATATATATATTCCACGTACTGGTATGTATTTTAAATACCTCTAGGAAGACAATGGGTGTGGAGACTGAAGTCTAGGCCCAAGAGTCCTGAGACCTGGTCTCTAAACGCAGCCGTGCCTCTAGCGAGCTGCATGATGTCAGGTCAGCTGGGCGGCATCACCTGGGACCTCGCCTGTCCCTTCCAGCTCTGTCAGTCTGTGGACCTGATCCCAGCGCTGCAAATCCCAGACAAGGACAGAAGAACAGGGTGAAATCCTACAGCCAGACCTGGCTAGAGCCACCACAAGCCATCTGCTCATCCTCTTACCTTCCCTCTGTTTCTTTGTTTTCCCTTTTTTGCCTGGACTCTTAATCTAATCCAGAGCCTGCTGTCTCTGTATGTCCAGGGATTTTTTTGCTCAGACCTGAACTGGGTGGGTAGAGGGAAGAGAAGCAGGCACACCCTTGGAAAGGAAGGGAGACAGGCCTCTACCACTAAATAAAGCAGGAAGCCCCCGAGGGGCTACAGGCGTGGCCTAGTCATTGCCCTTCTCCACACTTGGATGGGCCATCTATACAACCTGGCCTTTGCACCACATCCCTGCTTCTCAAAGTGAGGTCCTTGGACCAGAGGTATCTGCCACCACCTGAGAGCCTGGGACCTGCTCAATCCCAGGGCCCGTGGCAGACCGACACATCAGCATCTGCATTTGGCAGGATTCTCAGGTGACCGTGTGCACACTGCAGTGTGAGAAGCCGTTGTCTAGATGATGTTGAGGCTCCGCTGCAGCTCCGGAATGTGGTCATCACTGTTATGGGCAGAACTAACATGTCCTGGCCCCTTCTAAGTGTCAGGCCTAGGGAACCTTCGTTCTCCTAGAAAAGGACACAGAGGCTTGGAGTTGTCTCTTGCCCAAGATAATGCTAGGAGTTGCAGAGAGCAGGAATCCCGGCTCGGGCCTGTCTGACTCCAAACTACATGCTCTTTCTTTTTTGTCTGCTGACTCTTCATCAGAAATCTATCTTTGGCTTTTTTTTTTTTTTTTTTTTCATATCGCAGCTGATGACCTAGTCACATTCAAATCAGTTTTGGGATAGTTGTTCCACTAGTCTCACAAGAAAGGACTATGGTAGAATTCAGGGGTGCTGATTTTCCATTCAAACAATTGAATATTCTGAACGTCCTAATTAGCCCAAGAAGGTGTGGTCTTTATAGAGAAGCAGGCTAGTCTTCTTCAGGTTGTAAGTCAGTAGAGTTAAAGTCATGACGGTTTTGGTGCTTGGCTCCCTTCGGGGAACGTGTGGGTGGAAGCCCTGGGCGGCGGGGGCTGACGCTGCCTATGGGTCTATAAGCAGAAGATAATTGCATCCCAGCCCTGCATATGGCAGCCCACCCACAGATTACATGGTAGGAACCTCCCTGTGCCATACACTTACGCTCCAAGGACTTGGTCTCCTCTAAGAATAGGCACATGGTGACATCCTGGAAATGTTCTTCTGATCTGGAGACCCTGGCTCCCTGCCTGCTCCCCAACCCCCTGCTCCCCCACTTTTCCTGTGGTCTATTTTATTTCTTTGTTTACAGATGTTCTAGTCAGTGGCTTGGGAGGGGATGGGAGGGAAGGAAGGACATGCTGAGCACATGTACCTTCTGGTCTCCCCCTCCTGGTCCACAGCTGAGAAACAATGACCATAAGATCCTAGGGACCTTAAGAGGAGTACCTCGAGCTCCAGGTGACTTCTCCAGGTGCTGTGGGAGGAACAGGATCCTGGCCTCAAACATCTGTTGGGTTCCTTTTGGAAGCTGATGAGAGCTGGCCCTTCCTCTCCTCAAAACAAATATTTCTAGAAGTTTAATAGCCTATGTCAGCAGATTTGCAGACACTCTGAAGGCCATCTGGAGCCAGGCTTGAGAACCCTGGCTCAAATTAGTGGGAATGGGAAAAAATGCCATTTCCAGTTTAATTGACGCTACCTCGGGGAAGAGAGCTCTGTTCTTTGAAAGCCCTTGGCTGAAACACAAAGATTGGCCCCCTTGGAAATTTCCTCGAAAACCAGACCTGGAGGAAAGTGCCCCCGGAGTTATTCTGTCTCATGTGCACTGTGCCCTGGCCGATGGTCTCCATGCCTCTCTCTCCTGCCTCTTGTGGGGCCACCGCTGCTCAACTGGCACGATGTGCCACGCTCTGACAGGACAAAGCATGGGGCACAGATGCACAACAGGCTCCACAGGCCAAGGGGCTTGGCTCTCCCACCTCGGGGGAATCCCAGGAGAGGAGCTAGGAGTTGGAGAAGCAGGGCGTGTGGGCTCCAGCTCAGATGACAGTCCTCCGGGTCAGGGATGGCATTGCTGCAAAGAGGAGAGACTCCCTTTCACTCCACCCTGCCTACCACATGTGCGGCTCAGCTTCCTGGGAGGATCAAAGCCCACAGATGTGACGTGGCCCCTGGGAGCCAATCTGAGGCCCTCATCGCATCTGTGGGGCTTGCTCCTGCCAAGGGGCTGCCTGGCACAGGGGGATGGGGGCGTGGAGCTAGCAGAAGGGCCTCTGCCTTTCTGGCAGCTCCTTCTGGGATGGAAACATCCCCACTGTTTTCTGAAACGAGGACAGGAGTGTTGCCCCCACCGTGGCAGAGCACCTCCAGGACTGTCCATTCTGGATGCCCCGCGGACACGTGGCTGGGGTGGGAAAAGATGTAGAGTGCAAGCATCTCCTCTGCAAAGGGCACCAAGGCTCTGACTGGGAGTTTCATTGGGGCCACCAATGACCTAGGACAGCAAAGAACATACCTGCTTCTCCCATCTTTCTCTGAACCAGCTTTATCTGCCATCCGTTTTGCATCCAACACCTCCTCCCTTGACGAGTGCCATGTCTTAAAACACTGAGCTCTGGGATGGACGCAGTGGCTCACACCTGTAATCACAGCACTTTGGGAGACGGAGGCGAGTGGATCACTTGAGGTCAGGAGTTCAAGACCAGCCTTGCCAACATGGTGAAACCCCATCTTTACTAAAAATACAAAAATTTGCCAGGCATGGTGGCGTGCTCTGTAGTCCCAGCTACTCGGGAGGCTGAGGCAGGAGAATTGCTTGAACCCGGGAGACAGAGGTTGCAGTGAGCCGAGATCATACCACTGCACTCCAGCCTGGGTGATGGAGTAAGACTCCATCTCAAAAAAAAAACAAAAACAAAAAAGCATTGAGCTCTGGAGTCTCACGGTAGAAGGCTGTGTCTTCTTTTGTCCAGATCACAGTGACCTCCGCCAAGTGTCAGGCTCTCTCTCCCCTTAGCGTTCTGGATTTTCCTTCCAAGTCCATGCTTCCCTAACTCTACCCCAGGGATCCAGCCCCCTCCTAGATGCCCAAGGGTCACGACAGCTCAGCCTGCAAGAGGAGGAATACCTTCCTCGCCAGGACTCACCATCCCATCTTCCCAGAGTCCTGCTCTCTATTTCCTGGGGGGAATGGGTGGGTAGTGCTGGTGGGCGGGGGGTGTGGGGGGGCTCTAGGCTCTAATCCAGGCAGCTGGGAAGGAGATGTGGCCCTAGGGAGGGATGACCGCATACGCCTAAGAGGCAAAGCGAGATGCCCAGGACAGAAGCCAGGGAAAACTGGGAGGCCATGAAACCAGCTGCTCCCCTGAGTGTTTGCAGGGGAAAAACTGAAGCTGAGGAAGATTTAAATCAAGTCTGCAGGAAGCCCAGCAGTGGGACGGGGTCATCCTTACAAGAGTCTGTCTGTGCGCTCCGTCTGAATTCTGTTTAGACAACGGAGCATCAACCTATTTCTCTTCAGTCTTTCCAGCTGGTAAACATGGTCACATAAGCCCCTCTCTGAGCGATGCAGACATTTTTTAGGCAGTGAGTCAGACCTCATGTCTCTTCTTGCTCCTTCAAGAAGCCAAAATAGACTTTCTCAAAGTCGTCACTTCCACGGCCACAAAATGCCTCCTTGTGAATGTTCTCAGTGGAACCCGGGCTTAGCGTCATTTTACCCAGAAACATGAGTGACCGAGGGAAGCCCAACTTAGCAACTTCTGATATTATTTTTAGCAC
The DNA here is from genome assembly GCF_000001405.40 of Homo sapiens. Classification (NCBI taxonomy): domain Eukaryota; kingdom Metazoa; phylum Chordata; class Mammalia; order Primates; family Hominidae; genus Homo; species Homo sapiens. Next base: position 23,304,947 of record NC_000008.11, on the reverse strand, counting down.
AGGCAAATGCAGGAGGAAGGGAAAAGAGCCTCGAATTTCCTCGCAGGAAACCTATCCTGTTCATTGCTGTCTTCCCCGTTCCCCGTGCCCCCACTGCCCGTACACAGCAGAGGGAACCTGAGGCCAAGGGCAGGGGGCTGGGGAAGTGAGGAGCTCCTGCCTGCCGTTGTAGCAGCAGTGTTAGTGGATGTAATAAAAATCCTGCCACCGTGACTGCTATGATGGGAGTGTCACGAGGAAGGGGACAGGTATGTCAAGTGCTGACTAATGTGCTACCACTTCGCATTAGTTATTTGACGCCGTTCATCTTATTCAATCTTGCGGCCCCGAGAGCGGGCAAAGCCACCCTCCCCTCTTTGCCGAAGAGGAAGCTCAGATCCTGCAGCAACAAAACAGGGGACTCTGCTCCCATGACTTGGCACCTTGTTCCTCAGTTTCCCTCATTTTCCAAATGTCCCTGTAATGGCAGAGACAAGCATATAGAATAGTTGCAGACACTTGTGACATGCTCGTTGCAGGTTGGGATCGGGCTAAGACAACCTCCTTCCTTCAGCCCCGGGCCTGGGCAGTGCAGGCTTCGGGAAGGCCCTGCAGCAACAGGCGACAGCCCCGTTTCCCTTGTTTATTCTGAAACAAGGGCTATTCTAAACCAAGCGCATGTGTTCCAAGACTCTGCATCTGTTCTCAATTCCTCCCGAGGGAAGAGAGGGAGCCTCGTTATGTAAACCAGCGGCAAGGGATTTGCAGCCTGCTTGCACAAGCTCTCCTGCAGAACTCTTTTCTGGAACCCCCGGGGACGTGCCTCCCTTTGCCGCTGCTGTGTGCCCCTGAGGATGAGTCAGTGTCTCCCTCCCAGAGGGCCTCCCAGCTGTCTTTCTGCTCCTCCCTGCTTTATTTGCACAATGCGAGGAGCACAGACTTGCTGCTCACCTCCCAGGGCCAGAGGCGAAGCTGCAGGCCCTTCCTGACCAGGTCTGAAGCACAGGCACGACCTTGGGGTACCTGTGTGTGTCCTGTGCAGGGCACATGTTCTATTCCTTACTATTCCTGTTCTTTCTGCTGCTCCCCCTTAATCATGCTTCTTACCCTTTGGTTTTTCTCCCTACCATATTCCATTTCAAAAGACGTCAAAATGCGGAGTTTTTTAATTACCCTGAAGAAAGTGCATCAAACAGGAAGGGGCTGTGAGAGCCAGTTGCACGCTTATTAAAAACAATAGCTGGAGTTCTGTGCTTATCATATGCAGTGCTGGCTAATCTGCTCACCTCCCTGGTACCCACAGCACCCCATGCATTACGATGATCATTCCCATTCAGCAGAGGAGAGGACGGAGGCTTAGCAAGGTGAGCAGTGGTCTGACTCCAGAGCCCTGAAGCTGCCTCTGCAGCACCGGCTTTCCTTTCCTCAGGCCTCTCATCCACTCCTCTCCCCACCCGGCCCCCTCTGGTCCCCTGGAAGTATTCCCAGAGGCAAATCGCCAGCCAGGCCTCTGCTTGCAAGCAGCAGTTGCTCCAGAAACTGACCTCCAGGCCATCTCTCTCTCGCTCCAGGCACTACCACAGCATGGAGGTGTTCACCCACTATGACCTGCTGAACCTCAATGGCACCAAGGTGGCAGAGGGCCACAAGGCCAGCTTCTGCTTGGAGGACACAGAATGTGAAGGAGGTATCTGAGCGGAGTGGGGGGATGGGAGGCCTCAGAGGGACTCGAATGCCTCTGCCTCCACGATCACCTGGCTGGAGCCCAGGCCTGGCACTGACCCTGTGTCACTCTGACCACTGCCACCTTTCCCCACCTGGACCTTCCTCAGCTATAGTGAGGCGCTGGGGGCATGGGCATGACCTGGTTCCAAGGGCACCCGGATTCCCCAGAGCTGTGCTGACAGGCACTGGTCGGTCCACAGGGCCTCCTGGACAAGATCCAGACTCTGGGGACCCTGCTCCATCTGGGCTTAGCAGCCTAGACCCTGATGCGTATGCCCCTCCCACTCTGGCTGCCACCAACCTTTTTTCTGGTGTCCCAATGCCAAGTGTCCCTACCACACCAGGTGTCACCCTTCAATTATATCTCAAATGCCCTCCTCTGAAGCGCCCCCCCGTCCCGGCAGGTGTGGCACTCTGCTCACACTTCTGGTAGGTCACCACACCTGCCCTGTGATCACCTGTTAGTGCACCTGCAGCCCTGGGGGCTCTTCATGGGGAGACATGTCAGTTCTTCTTGCTAGACCCACTGTTTACAGCAGTGTCCAGGCATGGCAGCTTCTCAGTAAATGCGTGTTTAATTTGTTATTCATTGAAGCGGCCCGCCACTGACTTGCCGTGAAATCACACAGCAGACAGGTGTTGACCTCTTACCATGTGCAGATAACATGTAAGTGTCAGAGAGACATGGGCCTACACTCTAATTGCCGATCCTCCAGAGGAGACAGACAGTATGACCCCCCACGTTTTGCTAAACCACAGGCACCAGAGATTTCCTCGGTCCACACACACGCAGTTATCCCCAGGCTGAGGATGTCACAGAAAGGCCAGGGTGGATCAGAGTGGTCAGGGAGGGCTTCATGGAGGAAGGGGAACTTGAGCCTGGCCTGAGAGAAGAGGCAGGATGTGGGTAGGGAATTGAGTGGGGGGTTCTACTGAAATGAGAACAGATGAGCAGCCCACACAGTGGGGTGGGATGCCGAGCCCAGATGAAGCAGCGGTAGGGGCCTTGGAAGCAGGAAGAGGGTGCGGCAGTGGGGCCATGGTTCCCTGGTGATGAGCTCTCCTCTACCCTGCCCGCAGACATCCAGAAGAATTACGAGTGTGCCAACTTCGGCGATCAGGGCATCACCATGGGCTGCTGGGACATGTACCGCCATGACATCGACTGCCAGTGGGTTGACATCACTGACGTGCCCCCTGGAGACTACCTGTTCCAGGTGAGGTGGGTGGGAAGGGGTTCCAGCCCTGCAGGGGGAGGAGGGGAGGCCACCTCCACAGGCTCCTTCCCATTGGTGTCCACACAGGGGCATGGAAGTCAGGCTGTCTAAAGGGCAAGGTGCTACCCCCAGAGGCCATCACGGTCCATCAGTTAACCCAAAGATATCAGGCATGGGGGCCTGAGAAATAGGGCGTGCACAGGACCAGAGACACCACAGGCATTCACATTTGATTGAGTTAACACCTGGTGCATGCAAATCAAAACTCATCAGCAGGCTAGATTTGCTCCTCCGGCCAGTTTATTCCATACATGCTCAGGCAACCCACACCTCTTGTCTCCTATGGAGCTCTTGTCTCCACCATCCCCATTTCTCCTAGTGCCCTAGGCTGCCTTGGTCTGTGCTTTCAAGACTGAAAGCAAACTCATAAAGAGCCAGTCACTTGCAAATATCTGTGACTTAGCTCTTCCGGAAATATCTGCCTCATAGAGGAGGATCTGCAGAAGGGGCCATTCTCAATGCAAAGTGAATCTATAAGAATAAAATACTGAACACGAGACACAGCCTGGCCAGGTGACTTCTTTGTCAGAGGGGTTGCCGAGATTTGTTTCCACATACTCTGGGTGGAAGGCCAGCCCTGAGGAGGAACAAGGGGGCCTTGGCTTCCCTCCTTCCTGAAAACAGCGGCATGTTCTGGCCAGGGCTCTAACTGGGGGAGAAAAGGGGCATTGTGTCCCTAGTGTCTCTCCCAGTGCACGGGTACACGTAGCCTGCAGAAGCTTTATCTCACCCTCTCACTCTCTCCTACGTCCTCACCCATCTCGTTTTCCAGCTTGCCCTGTTGGCTAGCAAAGTGGATGACCAGAAATGTGTCATTCCACCTTGAAAGCTTTCCTGAGGGGGCATTCAGCCAGCCCAGGGCCTGGCCCACGGTCCCCACCTACAGACAGTCCTCTGAAGAAACAACACCTTCAGAGAAGTCACCACAGAGGGGCTTTCAGAGAATTCCTGGGCAGTTTCAGAGGCTGGAAAGCAGACAGCCAAGCACTTTTCCACCCACAAGCCCAGAACCACAGACTTGGAGAGGCCTAACCAGAGAGTTATTTATTTTAAAAGATGAATAGCCGTGGCCATGTGCACGTATACAGTGCCTGGTGGTTTCTGTTTGAGGTTTGCTATCATTTTGCTGGGTGAGTGTGTATCTCCCTGTATTCTGGCCAGTGCCATCCACTTAATAACTACTATCAATTGCCTAAGCCTGGGGAATGCATTGTTTGATTTAATCTCCCAAGGAAGGGGCATCATCATTACCCTCATTTCACGGCCACCCAACCCCAGACATATCAACTCTTTATTTTGTTTTCTCAACCCCTAAACAATACAATTAGCAAATGGACTCATTAGGGGCATGTTAATACCTCTGATTAATCAAAAAGAACATTCCCCTTAAGATAGACATGGAGCTTCTTTAGGTGCCACAAGCACCGGCCTGGGGACTCACGGGACACAAGAGGTGGTCTTCACTTCAGACATCAGTGGTGCTGTGAAGGACAGGAGGAGGGAGCTGGGCGAGGAGGAAGTGACCGTCCACGCAGAGGGACCTGTGCAGAGCTCAGAGGCAGGGGTGAAGGGGCCTCCTGGCTCCTGGTGGCCCCGCTTTATCCGCTTTCTCATCATTTCCTAGATTCACAGACATACAGAAACCTAAAGCCACTTCCCGCAGGCCCTCGTGAGATGTCGGTCTGCAGTAGATGAGTGGGGTGAAACAGTGGGGGACACACATTTCCAGCCCCGCCTCCACCCCACACGTAACACTGGCCCTCGTGTCCCCAACACGAGCCCTTGCTGCATCCAGCCGCCCTCACGGCTGCACTGTCGAGACGCCTGGGCGGCCAAGGAGCTGCCTAGGCCTGCACAGCTGGAGGCCTTGGCATGTGGAGCTGTGTTTGCCCCATGCCATGTGTGGGCCAGGAACGAGGGGGCAGCTAGAATGGTTGGGTGGAAAAGAAAAAACTCAAGCCGCCCCGGAGCAGGGCATGTACCTCCTTAGCTAAAGGCACAGGGCCCCAGCGGGACACAGCTGAGCCAGGTGCAGGCCCCCAGAACAGCCCCGCTGGGCCAGAGCAGAGGGCCGGCTGCCAGGCTGGCCTTGGCTTCCCACAGCACCTCTTTGGGCAAGCCCAGCGGCCTGCTAAAGGTTCGTGTCCAGGCCCTTCTGGGGCCCCAAATTTAGAGAATGTTCCTGAACGAGCAGCCTGTACCCGCCCCCCTGCTGTGGGTCGCAGCCCTTCCAAATGTGGCAGGACCCTCGAGGGAAGGCCTGTCATCTGTGTCCTCTGCCCCTCTGTTCACCACTGTTGTCTCTTCTCCCTCTCCCTCCCTTTCTCTTTTCTCCTCGGGTCCTCACCGTAAACCTCCCCTTTTCTGTTCCCTCACAGACACTCTCCCAGAATATGTCCTTCCTATTCCTGCTGTAGCTGGGGGGATGCGGATACAGGGGTGGGTGGAAGGATGGGGAGAGGGTGCAACTTCTCCAGCAGCCCCAGAGCCAGGCCCTCGGCCAGCAGAGCAGACAGGGACATGGATCCCCAAGTCCCACCTGTCACTTTACAGAGAGAGGAAGGGACATGTCCACAGTCACACGCCTGTGACGAGTGTCCCATCTCCAACGCCCAGGCAGCCCTCTTCCAGGTTCCCACACCGCCAGGTCCTCCCTGCACCCTTCTGCTTCTCTTCAGCATCTTCTTTTTGGGGCCTCCCCAGACCCCAACTTCTGCCTTCCCCAGAACTCCCAGGAGTGGGTGACCCCCTTCCGAAGGCCCACCCTGGGTAGAGGGGTGTGTGTTACACGGATATGGACAGAGGGCAGGGTTTCCCTCTTCCAGGCCATGCTTCCTCTGCTCCCTGACTCATCTCTTCCCCTCCCCAAGGACTTTGTTGAGACCCACAGACCCCCGTCTTGGGTCCCGGCACCTGCCACGCTCCCCTTCCCTGAGGTGCTGGTCTCTCAGAGCCCCAGGCCTGGGTGGAGGTGGCCGCAGAGGGAACAAGCAGCCTCCTCTGCCCTGCTTCTCCCTAGGTTGTTATTAACCCCAACTTCGAGGTTGCAGAATCCGATTACTCCAACAACATCATGAAATGCAGGAGCCGCTATGACGGCCACCGCATCTGGATGTACAACTGCCACATAGGTAAGGCCAGGCCGCCCCCACTCCAGGAAGCAGGCGGGAGCTGCCCTACTTTCTCAAGGACCCAGAGGCAGCTTCCTAATTTGGGTAAAGAGCTCGGGGAATGCAGCCAGCATCACATTTCCACATTCAGGACAGAAGCCACAGACACACAGGCCTGGATGGAGACTGAGTTTTTACAGCCAGCTCCGGCCACGGATAGAGGATGGTACAGGACCAGGCCAGCCCAGTGCAGACCCCAAGGCTTTTTAAGGGTTGGAGCTGAGGCCACTGGCTCATTATGTATGTGACCTCAAAAATGTGGGCATCAGCAATCTGTGGGCTCTGCCTATCAGGTTTTTCTGTCGAGAGCTGGAAGCTAGCAAACTACTGTTATTTCTAGTCTCCAATAAAGACACTTTTTTCCTTGGATGATAGGACTTGGGGAACAAAAGGGAAGGCAGAGCTTTTTCCTCTGCAGGAAAAGTCATGGGCCTCACTCTTGGCAAAAGGTTAAAATTAAAGGCGCTATATTTATTCACTCGTTCACTCAACTTTGACAGAGCACCTGCTATGTGCCCAGCCCTAGAGATGGCCAGTGCCTGGCACCTGTCCTTTTGAGGAGGGCACACACAGGTGGCCCCAGCAGCCCCTGAGGCCCACTCCCCTGGCTCAGGGTCAGGCAAGGCCCGAGCATCTCATTTGTCCACTCTCTCTACCCGATTCTCGCTCTTCAGGTGGTTCCTTCAGCGAAGAGACGGAAAAAAAGTTTGAGCACTTCAGCGGGCTCTTAAACAACCAGCTGTCCCCGCAGTAAAGAAGCCTGCGTGGTCAACTCCTGTCTTCAGGCCACACCACATCTTCCATGGGACTTCCCCCCAACAACTGAGTCTGAACGAATGCCACGTGCCCTCACCCAGCCCGGCCCCCACCCTGTCCAGACCCCTACAGCTGTGTCTAAGCTCAGGAGGAAAGGGACCCTCCCATCATTCATGGGGGGCTGCTACCTGACCCTTGGGGCCTGAGAAGGCCTTGCGGGGGTGGGGTTTGTCCACAGAGCTGCTGGAGCAGCACCAAGAGCCAGTCTTGACCGGGATGAGGCCCACAGACAGGTTGTCATCAGCTTGTCCCATTCAAGCCACCGAGCTCACCACAGACACAGTGGAGCCGCGCTCTTCTCCAGTGACACGTGGACAAATGCGGGCTCATCAGCCCCCCCAGAGAGGGTCAGGCCGAACCCCATTTCTCCTCCTCTTAGGTCATTTTCAGCAAACTTGAATATCTAGACCTCTCTTCCAATGAAACCCTCCAGTCTATTATAGTCACATAGATAATGGTGCCACGTGTTTTCTGATTTGGTGAGCTCAGACTTGGTGCTTCCCTATCCACAGCCCCCACCCCTTGTTTTTCAAGATACTATTATTATATTTTCACAGACTTTTGAAGCACAAATTTATTGGCATTTAATATTGGACATCTGGGCCCTTGGAAGTACAAATCTAAGGAAAAACCAACCCACTGTGTAAGTGACTCATCTTCCTGTTGTTCCAATTCTGTGGGTTTTTGATTCAACGGTGCTATAACCAGGGTCCTGGGTGACAGGGCGCTCACTGAGCACCATGTGTCATCACAGACACTTACACATACTTGAAACTTGGAATAAAAGAAAGATTTATGAAACGTGTCTGTGTTTCCTTTGACCCACAGCACCTGGGCCCTGAGCAGCAGGCTTCCTATGTTCAGTGGCCAGAAGCAGAGCTTCAGGTACATTCGTGGTTTTCTCCGGTGGACATGGGTCCTCAGATCCCCTCCAGCCCAGTGTGGCCACCAGGGCACCTCCTTCAATAGACTCCAAAAGGGGCAGCTCCTACCATCTGGGAGAAGCAATCTAAGGAGATCACAAAAAGTAACGGAACAGGAGTCATAATCTTTCTTGAACTCCTGTGGTTTTTACTGAAACTTGTCAGAAGGCATAGGAGTTGTGCGAGGGCTGGATGGGAAGTCTAGATTTAAACAACAGCCACCAGGCAGCTTATCAAAGCAAGAGGGCATCCGTTCACAGGACAGGGGCTCCCAGCAATTCCCAGTGGCAGTGGGGGGGTGGCTGGCCCATGCGACTCACCCAGACACAGGGGACTTCCCCTTGTGTCAACAGCATGCTAGGGCCCAGCAAACTAGAGGGTAGGTAGGACCACCTTGGCACCAACTCCACTCAAACCACAATTGAATGAGGGCGTCGGCACGCATTCAGATCTCACCTCTTGCCTTTGTTTACATTTATTTTGCAGGAACTGGCACTGACTGACAGGTAAGACCAGGACCAGCCCAGGGGTCCCAGAACTGTCCCACAGCACAGGCCAGAAGGCTGGATACCTGAACTGCCAAAGGAGTGTGGGCAGGTGCTACACAGCAGGTGCAACCCAGCTCCCAAAATTGGGCAGGCTGTGCACAGAGGCCCTGCAGGCCCAGTGGGGATCCTCCCGGCTAAGCTCAAGTGACCTTCCTTCAGCAGCTGCCCACCTGCACTGCAAGGTGGAATAGCACCCCCTAGCGTCCCCTACAGACCACATTTCAAAGTGATCACATTAGAACAACGTGAGTTTTTATTTTTTCTCCATTTCTGGGACTAAACTAAAGCCCACCACACCCCATGGTGAAGCTCGAGGGTGGTGCGGGGCTGCTCTGGCGTCTGTGAAGGCTTATGGTGTTGGGGGCGCCAGCTACGTCGGGACGCAGATCCAGGCCAGTTGGGTCTCCAGGCCTCAGGGCGGCAGCGGACCCCGGACAGCAGGCCGCTCTTTCTTTTTGTGTTGGAGTCCCAGGGCCCGGGCCACCAGCCGCCGGGCCACAGTCGCATTTGTCTGTGGCCTCTCCTTCACCAGACGCAGGAGTTCTAGAAGGAAAGCCCCACAGTGGGGACCTAAACACAAGGTCGTGGCTGCCTCTCCCCCAGCAACACAGCAGCCGTACAAGCCATCAGAGCCAGCCTCTCATGTGACACATGTGGGGCCTCGGCCCAGCTGTGCCCGTGGTGTGGCCGGATGCTCATGAGAGGGGGCCAACTTAGGGATCCTGGCCCCCCAGGGGATGCTGACCCAAACTTGTCGCCTCTACATGCCCTTGTTTCTCTGTCTCTACAGTGAGGGGGCTGAGGGGTTCATCCTGCACACCTCCCTGCTTTTTAGGGTCCTTTGGGAGGGGTATCAAGTCAGGATGGAACACCCAGAGCTCACAGACCTACGGACAGGATATTTATTGTTCCAAGAAACCCTGGACCATGTTGGCTACGTAACCACCCACGAGAGCACAGCTGGCCTCGGCAGGCCTCTTGCAGGTCCATTTTACTAGTTACTACTTTGAAGTCATGGAAAACTCGTGTCTAAAATCTCTCACCATGGTTTCTGGAAGTAGAAGGGGAAAAGGAGGCGCTATAACGGTTATCTGGTACCTTCTATGTGCCCTCAGGGCTCCAGGCAGGTATGCCAGGCTCTCATTCAATCCTTCAGACTGAAGAGTCTGCTTATTTTACAGAAGAAGAAACCAACTCACACACTGAGTGACTTCCTCAGTGTCACTGAGACCAACTGAAGTAACTGACAGAGCCATTTGGGGGTCCCGGAGCGGACCCCAAAGCCCAGGCCCTTCCCGGCCCTATGGGATACGGTTTCCAGGGCCCTCCAGAAGAAGGACCAAGCTTTTCCCTGTGCCCAGAAGAGGGTATGAGCAGGAGAGCCTCCCTGCACAGCAGCTGGCAGACGCCACTCCCCAAGGGAGACCCCTGCCCCAGACCCCCCCTAGGCCTGCTAGGGAGGGGGAACACAGCCCCACTGGCTACTGCAGCCCAGGGCTCCCTAAGAGCAGAGAAGTCAAGCGGGAAGAATTAACAGAGGGGAAGACCCTGCCCAAACCAGACACACACACACGCACACACACACATGCTCGCACGCACACACACACACACAGCCTCCCTATTCAGGGACATGCGCTTTCCTTACTTGGCCTCTGCAAGGCTTTGAGCTTTGACTGCTTGGTTCCCTGTGTGAGGGGCCGGATCTTGAGCACCGAGAACTCCCGGGTCAGGGCTTCCGCAGCTGTGGAAAGAAAGCAGGCGTGGAGCCACTCCCTCCTCCTCAGGACCCCGCGGCACACCCACCACCCCGAACCCCTGCAGCCGTGTTGTGCACCTATTCAAAGCTCAGGGCAGGGCTGCTCCGACACCGCCCTGGATGGGCAAGAGACGACTGCCGCCTGCTTGCCTCATCCCCCAGAGCCCCACAGGCCCGCACAGGGACACCTGCGCTCAGAGGACACTCCCACCCCAGGCTGGTCAGGGAGAGCACTGGGGAGGCTGTGATTCTGACATCAGAAGAGGCGGGCTCCCAGTTTCCAAAGCCCCAGGGCTAAACACAACCTCTCCCCCTTTCACCACTCAAGACCCTCCAGGGAACATGCGTTCACTGCCCTGAGTCATGCCTGGTGTTGCAGCACCCCGACTATTTACAGAGTATGGCAGAGCAGAGCTGGGAGAGGCTTCAGGTCCAAGCTGCCCACTGTTCTACAGAAGAGGAAACTGAAGCAAGGGAACCTGCTCTCACCATAGTCTGTGGAGATCAGAACGCCATGGCCAACCCCAGCCACAGCTCATTCCTCTCGCAGCACAGGGCAGCCTCTTGGCCTCCCTCCCTGCCTTCCTTTCCACAATCTCCCTCTCTGGGGTTTGAGACCCCACCCTGCCCTGTTCCCTCCCTAAATGCTGCCAGGGCCCTCCCTCCTGAGGACTGGGCCCCAGCAGCAATGGCGCTCCCAGGCCCCAGCTCGGGTTTTCAGAAGGCTGTTTCTGGGAAGACCAGTAAAGGGGGCGTGGCGCGGGTAACTATAAATTATACCAAATGTAAGCACGGTGGTGTGGCAGGGCAATGCAGGCAAGTGACTGAGGGAGACAGGAGCACTGGAGTCATGAGGCAGTGTGGTGCCCCGAGCTGTGACACTGAGAGGCTGTGTAACTTGGAGTGTACCCCTGACACTCTGGGACCCTTAAGTCTCTCCAGCTGTACAATGGAGGTAACCTGACCTACATCTTGAGGCTGAAGCGAAAATCGAGTAAGAATGTGTCTACTTGAACCACATGAAATCTCCAGAATTCAAATGCTTTTGGCCGTTAAAGCAGCACTTTGCTGTGGTTTCATTTAACACAGGGACATCCGTTGGGCTTGGCTCACGACCTTCCTCAGCAAAGGTCGCCTGAATCTGATGCCTTTTCATTGAAAGCACTAACACAATAGGAAGGGCTTCTTCATTAAGGCGCATTACTATGGGCCAGAGACCGCTCAGCTCCCCCTGGGTTTTAGGCTGGGAACAAAACCCCCAGAGCCTACTGGCTCAGCTGAGCCTGCGCCCAGGAGATGGTGGCCTCTACCCAGGGAACCAAGGGTCCTCCCTCTCAACAGGGATCCGAGCAAGGGCTGGGCCCACTGGGGGTGCCTTACCTGAGGCCAGGCAGGGAAAGATGCCGAGTGCGTGAGTATCATCCACCCACTGAATCCTGAACCCCTTCTCTCTGTGCGGCGAGAGAGGAGACAGCACATTCAGGAAAGCAAGCAGTCAAACTCCTCTTCGAATCCCGCAGCCACACCCCCTCGCCTCCAGCCCGCAGATGCCACCAGCCTGAGGCAAGGTCCCATCTCTTCTGGGACGGAGACAATCATTTGCAGCAAATTTCCTCTGAAGCCCATATGGTTGGCTTCAGAAAGACAAATGTCACTCCTGTCAATGTCAGGCAGGTCACCAGTTTCTAGAACTAAAGAAGCCAGGACTCAAAGAGCTCATATGGCACGACACCAAGGAGGAAGAGACTCTTCACCAGGCCTGTCTCAGCCCAGCCAAGGCCATGGTGTCTGAGGCTGGGGAAGAAAGGGTTTCTGTGGTGGGGGAGGGGTATAGGACCTCAAACCAGCAGGGCCACCATGCTCCTGTCAGCTTTATTCCTATTGCTCAGGAAGGTGCCACCTACCCTGCAGCTTGTGAGAGGCCTAAGGCAGTGTGGCCCCACCCGGGCAGAGAAAGGCACAGCGGCCCCAGCCTGGCTGCACCATCAAGGTAGAGAACAGAAGAGCAGAACGTGTTGCCCCTAGCCACCCCTTCGGCTCTCCTGCTCAGGAGCAGAGCACAGCGGAAGGCTTTAGGAAGCAGAGTTAACAAGGGCCACGTGGAAAGGGGTTTCTTTTTGTTTTTATTTTTATTTTTTTTGAGAGGGAGTCTCGCACTGTCACCCAGGCTGAAGTGCAGTGGCACAATCTCGGCTCACTACAAGCTCCACCTCCCGGGTTCACACCATTCTCCTGCCTCAGCCTCCCGAGTAGCTGGGACTACAGGCGCCTGCCACCACGCCCAGCTAATTTTATTTTTTTGTATTTTTAGTAGAGACAGGCAGGGTTTCACCATATTAGCCAGGTTGGTCTCGATCTCCTGACCTCATGATCCGCCCTCCTCAGCTTCCCAAAGTGCTGGGATTACAGGCGTGAGCCACCGTGCCCAGCCACAGAAAGGGGTTTCTAAAAGCCTAGGCAGAGCTGGGCACGGTGGCACATGCCTGTAGTCCCAGCTACTTGGGAGACGAAGGTGGGAGGATCACTTGAGCCCAGGAGGTTGAGGCTGCAGCAAGCTGTGATCGTACCACTGCACCCCTGCCTGGACAAAAGAGCAAGATCCTGTCTCAAAAAAAAAGAGGAGAAAGAAAGCCTGAGCAGGAACAAAGAAGGGGAAGGGGAGAAGGCAAAATGAGAAAAAAAAGGAAAAGAAAAAAGAAGGAAAGACAGGAGGGTGGATCTAAAGGCATGTGGGGAAGCTGAGGAGGAGGGAAGTCGTGTCTCTCAATACAGCCTCTGGCCACCATTCCGACCTCCACTCTGCCCCAGCAGGCTGCTCAGTGCACCCTAGAAACAGTTCCCACATGGAGCTGGCCCGTAGCCTGCTGGAGACACACTGAGCAGCCGCTGGGAGGCAGGCAAGAGGAGAAGAGGAGGCTGCCATGTCCCTTGAGACTGAGGGAGGGCGCATGGCATCCTGGCAGGCGTGTGGCCATGCAGGGGGGCAGCCCAGGTCTAGGGCCTGCAGGGTGTGTCTACAACCAACAAATCAGTGCTCTCTTTCCCGAGGGACGGCCGGCAGGGAGAACTGCCCAGGAATACAGAGCCCAGGCAACACACCCACTTTCTGTCTCTCTTGCTGAAGCATTAGGCACTGGGTGTGGGGCAGGCAAGCACCCCCAGCTACAGAGAAGTATCTTAGCTCCTCTCTGAAGGCAGCACCTCCCCAGCCACCACTCACTGGAACTCAGAAAACGTTGCCAGCAGGTCCTCCGTCTTGAGCGCTGGTTCAAAGTCATAGATCTCTACCACGTGGGCAAGGTCCTTCTCTCCAGGCAGCTCCTCCACGAAGGAGGATGTGTCCAAATGGATCTTCTCTATCTGAATCTCCTTCTTCGTCAGGTTGTCTGTGATCTAGGAGAGATCGGACCCTTAGCAAGGGGAGCTTGGACACGCAGAGCTCCCAAACCACTAGCCCACGCGCTGAGAGCTCTGCAGGGAGAAGGGGCCCACCTGGCAAAAGTCTGGGAAAGGCAGCAGCAGGCAGACTGGGCTGCAAGGTCAAGACGTCAAGACGCATGGGTTTTACGGGAGGGCACTTACTTGTATGGAGTCCCCACTAAGTGACTGGCAATTACACACATAATGTTCCATAGAATCCTGAAAACTATATTTTAGAAAGCTGTTTTACAGATGGGGAAACTGAAGGCCCAAGAGTTAAGTAATTTTTCCCAAAGTGCAAAGTCAGTAAGAGGCAGAGCTGGGCAAGTCCAAGAACTTTCCCTCCTCTACTAGTGATGTGATATTTGGCAGGTCTGTGGTCTGCATTCTTCATGTATAAAATAGCCATAAAAGATGCCACCCTCCCAACTGAACCCACAGCCAGTCTCAGGGGCAGTCGCACGGTCCCAAGAAAACAAGATTTATAAGATAAAACTTCAGGCTAAAGAGTAATTTCCATGACTGGCATCCGTAACACAAGACGATGTACTTGCACACAGAGTCCATCTCCATGACCTAGTGAAGGCTGTATTATCAACTGGTTTTAGTTTCAGATGAGGAAACTGAGACTCAGCCAAACAAAATAACTTGCCCAGGGTCAAGCAGCTCCTACATGGCTGGGCTGGGACCCAAATCCACACCTCATCTCCTGAGTTCCCTAAGGAATCCCTGTCACCCAACACCCAGCCCTACCTCCCCTTGCACATCCCCTGCTCTCCACACCATAACCCTTGGTCCCCATCCACCCACGGCCACACCCACCTCACCTCCGCCCTCCCTTTTCGGGCTCAAGAGCCTCATCACCTCCTGCAGCAGCTCACTGTAATCGTCCTCCGAGCAGCTGCTGGGGCCATCCTCTTCCACCTCCTCTTCGTCCTCTTCCTCCTCTGCCACCAGCCTCTTCTCCAACAGACTCTCCTTCCCCTTTTCCAGGTCTAGCTGCAGGGTGGACCCAAACCGTGTGGCCATCTCCACCATGTCTCCCTTCCCTGACTGACTCTCAGGCCCCAGAGGCTCAGGGCCAACAGGGTCCAGCAGTGGCTCATTCTCACACCTTTGTCCTGGGCCCTTTAGGTCCTCTGTTCCCTGAGTCATCAGCACAGGGAGTCCCTGATCAGAGTTGGGGTCTCCAGCACCAACATCTCCAGGCTCTTCTGGGTCCCTGCCAGCTGGGGCCTCTCTCTTGAGCACCGAGGTAGAGGTCAGCCCCCATTCTTCCTGCCTGCGCAGCACCCGGGGCACATACAAAGGCTGGTCAGGCTTGCGTCCACGATACCACCGGCCAGCCCGGGCACCTCGGGGAACCGCAGCTGCTCCTTGGTTGGAGATGGGCCGAGGACCGTGGTACCTGCTGGGGCAGGAGGCAGGAGCGCGGCAGGGGCCAGAGAGGCCATCCGAACTGGGTACCCTGGAGCAGGAATGGGAGGAGGTAATCAGAGTGTGTAGGGGCCCAAAGGAAAATGATTTACTAGAGCCACTTGTCATTCAGGAGAGACATTCGGGTCAGCATTAGGCAAAAACCACAGCCAAAATGACCCTCGAAAATCCCTTAGGAAGGCATCACAGTGGAGGCTGTCACTTTTGCATGAGCCCAGAGCAGCCAGCTTGCCCTCTAGTGCTGTGATCCAAATTAGAGATCAGTCCATCTTCAGTTACACACCAGGGGAGGTAAGCTCTTGCATTTAAGAAGTATGCTATCAGAAAAACATGTCACTTCAAACACTAGGATCACAGTCATTAAAGTAAGATGCTCACTGAGACGCACATGGGAACAGAGGGGACCGAAGCCCAGCAGGTGCTTTTCTGGTCTCTGTGGGACACAAGCTCACTGAGAGGAATGCTAGGGAGGCCCCCCGCCACACACCCACTACTTAAACAGATCTCTCTCTCTCTTTTGGCCCAACCATATAGCTGATTTTGCCAAGTGAATTCCACAAACTGCATATCTGCTCCACTGTTGATGCAAAAGGCAGCCCTGGCTGAGCAGCTGCAGCTAGGAATGGCAGCAGCCGGGGGTCCCAGCCCTGGTTCCCCCCAGCCCTGCCCTTCCAAAGGCTGACCAGCTAGCTGGCCACCCACACACCACCGCTGCAGGCACTTCAAGGTGGGAGGCTACACACCTGATGTCCTGGTGACAGATGACCGTCCTCCTCTTCCAGCCCTCCCCAACGGAGAAGCTGCTCAAGAGATCAAAATTCTCTGCTGTTCTATGGATCAGGTACCGGAGGCGACTGGAGAGTGGGGGGAAAAGAAGAACCCTGGGGAGGGAGGGGAAGAAGTGCTGAGCAGGTGTCCAGGGCCTGGCCCCTACCAGGTCCACTCCCAGGTTAATCGCGGATTAACACTGGGCTCCCTTCTGCCCCTCTGGGTCCCAGATGGACTGCAAAGGATCTGAGCATAGATAGAGGTGATCGCAGGGACCCACAGGTCCCATCCCCAATCCCTGTGCCGGGCCCCATCAGTCTGGGGGTGATGCTCACAATTACAAAGATGCAGCTAAAAGAGGCAGCTGGCGTTATAAAGACTAAAGGCCAAGGTCAGAGCCAGCTGCCAGGCACCACCTGGGGGAGGGCACACAGGCGGCTCGGGAACCCTGCCCTTCCCAGCAAGGCGGCACCCTCGCCCCTCACATGAGCCTACTTTGACAGCTGCTTCTGCAGCAGAAAGCGGTCCAGTTCCTCCTGGATCCGGTGGACGAAGTCATTCTCGGCTGAGGAGAGGAAGACACCATCCAAGCAGAGAAGGGCCAGGGTGACAGGTGGGAGAGCCTGTAAGAGAGACGGGCAGGGCCGGGAATCAGAGCACAGACCCCCGGATCTCCCGCGACCCCGCAACGCCGGCACCGAAAGGGCCTTAGAAACCCTCTGGTCCAAGGCTCGGTGGCGGGGAAGTGATGCCAGGGACCCCCGGCAAGTCAGGGGTCAGGGAAGGGGTCTCCTGGCTCCTGCCCAAGGCTCTCGTCCCCGCCTGCGGTCGGATGCTGAGGGTGGCTCCACACCCTGCGCTGCGCTCCTTCCCGGGGCTCACGGGGGCCTGCTCCGCGCAGCCCAGCTGCTCCTTCCCACCCGGGAGCCCGGGGGTCGGGACGACCACCCCCCCAGTGCTGCTGCACTCACCGCGGCCTCTCGGCGCGTCGCAGCCGCCCTCGGCGTCCCCAGGGGCCAGCGCGCCCGAGCGCCCTAGAGAGACCCGGGCCGCTGCAGAGACGCAGCGCCACCGCGCGGCCTGGGGGAGGTAACGCAGGAACGGGAGAGTGCGTGTTCTTGTCACCTATTGGGAGGGGGCGCACCTGCCACCAACACAAACCGCTTCTCCTAGAGTGACACGACTAGCTTTCATATTCATGGCAAAACCGAGACCCAGACAGGTGAAATAACTTGCCTCAAGTTGCACAGATGGTACATTCTAGAGTCTTACTTTGAGCAAAGATAGGTCTGATTCCAAGATGGGCTCTTTTCTTTTTTTCTTCCATGTTGGCACAGTCTTGTAAGATCAATTAAGTTCAACAAACACTTTTGTTCAGCTACTATTAGGTTGGTGCAAAGTAATTGTGGTTTTGCTAATAAGTAAAAAACCGCAATTACTTTTGCACCAACCTAATAGCACTGTAAGCTAGCTAACGGCGGTGCTAGGGTTTCCCATTCATTGTTCCCCTCCCCAGGGACCTAACAGAGGAATAAAGAGGAAGGAAGTTTCTGAGCACCAGATATTTCAGCACTGTTGCCCATCATTGCCCTTCCTTCTCCCGCATTGATGTAACCTGTAAAAAGGTCTAATTCACACCACAGTGGCACTGACAAGGCGTGGTAGCCTTGTGGGTTACTGGGTTGGGCAGCCACTATCACGGTGATTTGCAGCTCAGCAGCTTGTGCTACTCTGCTCCATCCAGAAATAATTCTAGCGTCCACCTTAAATGGGGCTTAAAATTCTTGCCATCAGACAGCCTGTGGGATGGATGATTATAATCTAGGAGACCAGGGTTGAAATCGTTCTGCTCCCTGAAAGTAATTAAAATGCAGTCCCTTGGTCACTCTGAATCCGGAAGCACTGACCTAAGGGCACTTAAGACCTAGGTTTTGGTCAGGGGTGGGGCAGTCTGAGTGGGCTCTGACATAAAGCACAGGCGGGATGGGGGAGGGAGGGCTGTCCCTCAAAAAGCTGACTGGGAGAAGTGGCTTGGGGATGGAGAAATGGAGAAAAAATTAGATGCATTTTGCTGTCTCACAATTTTTTCCAACGCATTTCTAAAAATGACAGTGGCATTATATTATATTACAAAACCTATCTTTCCAGATACCCAGCAAGAAGAATAAAAAATGACCTAGAATAAAGACAAAACCAAAATGCAGAGAGAACTCAGGGAGCTGAGTCATGAATTTCCTTTCTGGGCATGGTTGTGAGAGGAGTTTCGGGAGATCTGACAGGTCCCCAGTCCCTAGACTGGAGGGCATTCAACTCCTGGGGAAAAAGGATGAGCAGAGAGCACCCGTTTGGATTCTGGTTCCACCAGCCCTACCCACACTCCATGCTGGCTTAATGGAAGTGGGAGCAGGCCACACCATGGCATTGTTTTGTCTGCCCAGGGTCCCTGGACTAGGCAGCGTGAGGCTGAGAGGCAAGTCCACTTAGCACCACATGCTGTCTCTGAAAACAGAGGCCCAGCTTTTTCGACAAAGTGGCTGCACCTCCCCAAAATGGAGGAACAAACCCAAAACCCAGGAAGCAAGCCATGTCCCCACCTCTTTAGAGCTGGGTCATGGTATTGAGGTGTTCAACAAATTCAGAGAGAGACTCAGTAGGGACAAGCACCGGGGGAAGGCTGTCCAGGAATCTAGTTTCTACCAAACCCTCTTTAGGCAACTCAGAGGTTAAACAGGAAAAAAGGTATCAGTGTCCAGGTCTCCATCATGGGTGGATGTTATCTAGAGATTCCTAGATAAACAGGGAAGGGAGTCAAAGCACATCTACCCACACCTTTGAGGGCAAACAGCAGATAAGGTAGAATGGTCCCCATCAAAGGTGAGTAAATGCAACAAAAGCAGCACAAAGGATGGGCAGAATTTCTACTGAAAGAAAGAAAAAGAAAGAAAGAGAGAAAGAGAAAAAGAAAGAAAGAAAGAAAGAAAAAGAAAGAAACAAAGAAAAAAGAAAGAAAGAGAAAGAGATAGAGAAAGCAAGAAAGCAGAGCAGGGAACAGATACAGGATAAGAATATTTTGGAAGACTCTCTTGAGAAAACAAGAAATTTCCAGTTAATAACTGCTTCACACTCTCAAGGAAGTCAAAGCCTGATTTCCATGTTCAATGGGTAAGCCATGAATTGAGATGAAAGAGAACTGTCAGAGCTATGGAAAGACGTGAAAGAGGCAATCATGTTCATCATCAAACCAGCAAAGCTAGAGTCAACAATGCTGAAAACAAATCAGTGATATGGAGTAAAGGCTTACAAAAAATCAAGATAGTTACTACTTATTGACATAAAGCTTGCTAAACAAATTGCACTTTAGTGGGGATGGGCGCTGTGGCTCATGCCTGTAATCCCAGCACTTTGGGAGGCTGAGGCGGGCGGATCACGAGGTCAGGAGATCGAGACCATCCTGGCTAACACAGTGAAACCCCGTCTCTACTAAAAATACAAAAAATTAGCTGGGCGCGGTAGCGGGCGCCTGTGGTCCCAGCTACTCAGGAGGCTGGGGTAGGAGAATGGCGTGAACCCAGGATGCAGAGCTTACAGTGAGCCGAGATCACACCACTGCACTCCAGCTTGGGTGACAGAGCGAGACTCCATCTCAAACAAACTAACAACAAACAAAAAAAACCAAATTGCACTTTAATCTTTGTAGCAGCCCTCTCAGATGAAAATTGTTAACCTTATGGTATGGGGATAAACAGAGGTTTAGCCAAGGGAGACCCAGAGATTTGGAACTCAAACCCAGATCTAGCCTGTCAACCCCCTGCTCTTGAACACTGCAAGGTGAAGACTCTCCAACTTTAGCATGTCATTAAAATTGTTTTGTTTTGTTTTGTTTTTTTGAGACAGTCTCACTCTGTCACCCAGGCTGGAGTGCAGCGGCACAATCTTGGCTCACTGCAACCTCCCGGGTTCAAGCAATTCTCCTGCCTCAGCCTCCCGAGTAGCTGGGACTACATGCATGCACAACCACGCCTGGCTAAATTTTGTGTTTTTAGTAGAGACGGGGTTTCACTATGTTGGCCAGGCTAGTCTCGAACTCCTGGCCTCAGGTGATCTGCCCACCTCGACCTCCCAAAGTGCTGGGATTATAGGCATGAACCACCGTGGCCAGCCTAGAATTGTCCTAATCCTGTGGCCAATAGCCAGGCACCAAGGTCAGGGATTAAATAAATTAGATGGACCTTATCAGTGGGAGAAGCAGGCTGGGTGTGAGCTATAGAATTTTACCCAAAATGGGAGGTATGATTGAAAGATTATGAAAGGATTGAATCCAGGGCACATGGGGTTGCAAACGGCCTCAGCTGAGGGGATGAACCTGGAGTCCCCCGCTGCCATAGTGACCCTAAATGACAAGCCAGCACACTCTCCTTGCCGTGGGCAGGATCACCTTGGGCACCTGCAGCTCTGAAGTCTGTGGTTTGAGTCTAACAACTCCTCACTCTAAGCAAACACAGCCTGCCTGAAAAGGTAATGAATACAGGCATTGAACTGTCCATGCAGTAACCTCAGCTTGTTTGAGAAGACAAATTGTTCTCTTCATGCTTAAGTGTCTTTCCAACCCAGGAAAGTTAGGTTTATGAATATCCAGTTTATGTTTGTTATTTGACGTCATTGTAATGTTCACATGTGTTTGGCATATTAGTGAAATCTGTCTAATACATTAGGTAGTGATTCAATTTTAAAAGTAAAATGGATCTCAGGCTTACAGTTTTAAATGGGCAGATATAAAAGAATTTGATGAAGTTGTAAATACTATTATAATACTAAAGAGAACTAGATTTACAGTATTTTTAAATCAGTGAGGGTTGCTGAGTATGGCACATAGGAAGGTCTTGCTTCATAGCCGCTGGGTGCTCCATTTAATGCGTTTTAAAAGGAAATCAAGACTTGGTAGAAGATGGAAAAAACATACTTTTTCCTATTCCTTCCACTAAATACAACTAAACTTCCTGGATATCATATGTAAAACAAGCATAAGAAGACTCTGAAAGGTGGAGAGAAGAAAGCAGGTCAGCGAGCGACCTCACGGCTCAAGGAATGACAAAGTGCTAAGTTTCCTGGGTTTTCTTTATGCCCTAAATCACCAGACTTGCAGCTTGAGGAAGCCAGAAACTCAACAATACCAATGGATACAGACTAAATAAACACAAGTAACCCTCCAAAAGCAAAATCCCAATAAAAACCCTCTTTATCCCTGTAGGAAATGGGTGAGGAAAGGGGCAGCCAAGCAAGACAGAAAACACTGCAAAAATGACTGGTCTACCCCAGCCAGACAGCATCCCCAGCCACGTGAACATGGGCCAAGGGGAAGCCTAGGTTGTTGCCCTCACCAGGTTGTAATGAGCACCACAATCTGTCCACCAGGACGAGGTCAGAGAAGGCCAAGTAGCAGCTGGGATTTTCAATCCCTCCAGGCACTAATGAGCCTCGCCCCTTGCAACGTCGGTAGAGACCCCTAGAGAACCTGGACTTCCACCCCTTACCCGGCAATAACAAAACTCCCTTCCCACTCCACCTTGAGGTGGCATTAGAGGAGGTCTAGCTGACAGTAAGGCTTTTATCACCACCTAGTAATCAAGAGGCCACCTTACCTTCTTGATGTTAGTGCAGGCCACATGAGGAAAAACGACAAGGCGCTTCTACCCCTCCCAGATAGGAAGGTATCTGTGGAGGTCTAGTGGGGACCCAGAACTCCCACTCCCACCCAGCAGTAATGAGGAACCCCCATTCAGGTGTCAAAGGAAGCTGCATGGAGAACCTAGACTTTAAATCCCACCTGACAGTAACAAGGCTTGCCCCCCATTCCTCTGCTTGGGTAGTGTCAGAGAAAGAGAGCTGAAACAGAAGGTACAAGTAAGATCCAGCATCTCATAACACCTAAGATGTCCAGCATTCAACTAAAAATAACTATGATACCAAGAACTAGAAAGATCTCGGACTCAATAAAACAGACAATCAATAGATACTAGCTAGCACTGAGATGCCAGAAATGTTAAATTATCTTACAAAGATTTTAAAGCAGCCACAATAAAAATGCTTCGACAAGCAATTATGACCACCCTTGAAACAAATGTAAAAATAGTTTCAGCAAAGACCTGAAAGATACAAAGAGCTAAAAAGAAATTTTAGAATTGAAAAATGCAATCACAAATAAAAAGCTCGGTAGCAAAATGGAAGTGGAAAATAAAAGAAATAGTGTATTAGTCTGTTCTTATGCTGCTAATAAAGACATACCCAAGACTGGGTAATTCATAAAGAAAAAAAGGTTTAATGGACTCACAGTTCCACATGGCTGGGGAGGCCCCACAATCATGGTAGAAAACAAAGGAGGAGCAAAGCATGTCTTACATGGTGGCAGGCAAGACAGCAAGTGCAGGGGAACTCCCATTTATAAAACCATCAGATCTCAGGAGACTTATTCACTATTACGAGAACAGCATGGGAAGGACCCACTCCCATGATTCAATTACCTCCTACCGGGTCCCTCCCATGACACTTGGGAATTATGGGAGCAACAACTCAAGATGAGATTTGGGTGGGGACACAGCCAAACCATATGAAACAGTGAACTGGGAAATAGACCAATAGAAATCACCAGTCAGAACAACAGAGAGAAAATAGACTGAAAACAAAAATGAACAGAGCCTAAGGGACCCACGGGACCATAACAAAAAAGATTTAACATTCTTGTGATTGGTCACCCCAAAAGAAAGGAGAAAGAGGGT
This sequence comes from Homo sapiens, assembly GCF_000001405.40. NCBI lineage: Eukaryota > Metazoa > Chordata > Mammalia > Primates > Hominidae > Homo > Homo sapiens. The sequence goes on along the minus strand of NC_000008.11, from coordinate 23,282,355 downwards.
GAGGTTAATAAAATACTCAGAGAAACAATGGCTGAAAACTTTCCAAATTTGGAAAATAAACCAACAGATTTAGAAAGCTATGTGAACCTGAAACAGTACAAAACCAAAGAAATCCATGCCAAGATGTAGCATTATTAAATTTCTGAAAATTAATGGCAAAAGAAAAAAAACTGAAAGCAGCCAGAAAAAAAAAGAAAACAAAAACCTACCTTACTTTACCTATGAGGAAAAGCTATTTGAATGACTGTCGATTTCTCATCAGAAACCAGAAGAACAAAAGAAACGGTATAAGATTTTGAAAGTGCCAAATGAAAACAACTGCTAACCCAGAATCCTATATCCCATGAAAATATGCTTCAGCAATGAAGAGAAAATCAAGGTATTCTCAGATGAAGGAAAACTAAGAGAATTTGTTGGCAGGAGACCTATCGTGAAAGAATGGCTAAAAGAAGTTCTCTAAACAGAAACAATTTTTTAAAATATTTGAATATCAGGAAGGAAGAAAGAACAAAGTAGGCAAAAATATGGGTAATTACAATAGATTTTTTCTCTTCTTAATCTTCTACATTATGTTTGCTAGTTAAAAAATATAACTTTAATGTGGTTCTAAATGTATGTCAAGAAAATATTTAAGACAATTATAAATGGGGGAAGGTAAAAGGATGTAAAGGGAGGTAAGCTTTCTGGACTTCACTCAAACTGGTAAAATGACAACACCAAAAGATTGTGATAAGTCATGTAATACCTAGAGCAACCACTTAAAAAGGATATAAATAGATATTTTTTGAAAGTAATAGACAAATCAAAGCAAAAAAAAAACAAAGGAAAAAAAGAAAAATCAAAGCAAAATTCTAAAAGAAATTTTCAAGTAACCCACAGGAAGACATGAAAACAGAAAATTGAAAAACACAACAAGCAGAAAAGAAAATAGCAGACTTATACTCTAACATATCAATAATTACATAAAATGTAAACGTTCCAAATATACCAATTAAAAGACAGAGGTTGGAATAGTCGTGTAAAAAGACAAAATTTAAGTATATGTTATCTGCAAGAAGCTCATTTCAAATACAATATAGGCAGGTTGAAATTTTAAAAATGCAAAAAGATCTATCATGCAAACATTAATTAAACAAAAGCAGGAGAGGCCATATTAATATCAGATAAGGTAGACTTAGAAACACAGAAAATTACAAGACACAGAGAGGGACATTATACAATGATAAAAGAGTCTATTTACCAAGAAAACAGCAGTCCTAAATATATAAGCATCAAACTGAACTGCGAGGTATGTAAAGCCAAAACTCAGAGAATTCAAAGGAGAAGTAAATAAATCTATAATTACAGTTAAAGACTTTCTCAACAATGGACAGGACAACTAGACAGAAAACAATCAACAAAGATATAGAAGAAATCAATAATACCATTAATAAACAGGATCTAATCAACATGTATAGAACATTCCAGCCAACAACAGCAGAATACACATTCTTTTCAAGTGCGTATGTAACATACTCCAAGGTGGATAATATCCTGGACCATAAAGCAAACCTCAACAAATTTAAAAGAATTGAAATTATACAGAGTGTGCTCTCTGATCACAATAGAGTCAAACTAGCGATAAATAACAGAAAGGTAGCTAGAATGTTCCCAAACACTTGGAAACTAAACAACATACTTCTAAACAATCCATCAGTCAAAGAGAAAATCCTGAGGAAAATAAGAAAATTCACCGAATAAAATGAAAATGAAAATAGACCTTATCAAAATTTGTGGGGCACAGGTAAACAGTGCTAAGATGAAAATTTGTAGTATAAATACATATAATAGGAAAAAAAGAAAAGTCTCAAATCAAAAGAAAAAGATCAAAATAGACCTAAAGAAAGGAGAAGGAAGAAAATGTTAAAAAGAGCAGAAATCAATGAAATTGAAACAGAAAAGCAGTAGAAAAAATCAACAACAAAAGCTGGTTCTTTGAAAAGATCAGTAACATTAATAAACCTCTAATAAAACTGACATAAAAAAAGAGAGAAGACACGAATTACAAATATCAGAACTGAAGCAGGGGATATCATTACAGACCTTGCAGACAGCAAAAGTCTGATAAGGAACTTTACATACATTCATTTGACAACTTGGTGAAAATATCCAATCCTAGAGTGCTACTTAGTCATTCCATTTATATAAACTTTTTGAAAAGACAAAATTTTGGAAATGGAGAATAGATTAGAGTTTGCAAGGGTCAGGAACAGGGAGTAGTGAGTGGCAGGGTGTGTTGGGGAGATTGACAGAGTAAGATTAGGAAATTGCACTGATGTCAATATCTTGGTTGTGATATTATACTACAGCTTACAAGATGTTACCAGTGGGGGAAACTGGGTAAAAGGTACATGGGATCTCTCTGTATATTTCTCACAATTGCATGGGACTCTAAGTTTCTCAATAAAAATTTCAATGGAAAAAGATCAAATATATCACATTTATAAATACAGTTGAAATGTTTAATAATAAAACTGGGACCAAATGTTTAAGTGAAATTTGTTCTGTCACCTTAAGTTTGTCAAAGTTGCTCTCATTTTATAAAAAAATTAGATATATAAATAAAATTATAATATTTATAAATTAAAATTTAAAACAGAGTAAAAACTAGGTACTTAAATTTGTTATTTTTATAAACTAATATAACTTAAAATCTGAGTAACTAAAGTCTTTTGTGAACAAAAGCCACTCTCAGACATGAAAAGCTCCACATAGAGGCCAGGCTCAGTGGCTCAGGCCTGTAATCCCAGCACTTTGGGAGGCCGAGGCAGGCGGATCACGAGGTCAGGAGATCAAGACCATCCTGGCTAACACGGTGAAACCATGTCTCTACTAAAAATACAAAAAAAATTAGCCGGGCGTGGTGGCGGGTGCCTGCAGTCCCAGCTACTTGGGAGGCTGAGGCAGGAGAATGGCGTGAACCTGGGAGGTGGAGCTTGCAGTGAGCCAAGATCGCGCCACTGCACTCCAGCCTGGGCGACAGAGCAAGACTCCGTCTCAAAAAAAACAAGAGAAAAAGAAAAAGAAAAACTCCACGTAGAAAATTACATGGAATTCAAAGAAAAGGCCAAAGGGATTAAAGCAGTTAGACAAAAACATAAATACAGGGGCATACACTGGAGATTTAACACGTGGACAATTAGTATACCTGAGGAAAAAAACAAAATTACAGGAAAAAGAAATTAAATGCAGGCTGAGCACGATGGCTCATACCTGTAATCTCAGCACTTTGAGAGGCCAAGGCAGGAGGATCACTTGAGCCTAGGAGTTCAATACCAGCCCTGACAACAGAGTGACTCCCGTCTCTGCCAAAAATTTAAAAAATTAGCCAGGCATGGCCGGGCACGGTGGCTCACGTCTATAATCCCAGCACTTTGGGAGGCCGAGCCGGGCAGATCACGAGGTCAGGAGATCGAGACCATCCTGGCTAACACAGTGAAACCCCATCTCTACTAAAAATACAAAAAAATTAGCTGGGCGTGGTGGCGGGCACCTGTAGTCCCAGCTACTCAGGAGGCTGAGGCAGGAGAATGGCATGAACCCAGGAGGCCGAGCTTGCAGTGAGCCTAGATCGCCACTGCACTCCAGCCTGGGCAATAGAACGAGACTCCGTCCAAAAAAAAAAAAAAATTAGCTAGGCATGGTGGCGCATGCCTATAGTCTCAGCTACTTGGGAGGCTGAGGTGGGAAGATCGTTTTTGCCTGGGAGGTTGAGGCTGCAGTGAGCTGTGGTTGTGCCACTGTACTCCAGCTTAGGTGACAGAGTGATACCCTGTGTCTCACACAGACACACACACACACACACACACACACACACACACAATGTTAAATACAACAATATTTTATTAAAACAAAAGAAAATGTGAATCTACAGATTAAAATGGTGTTCTAGAAAATAAATATATAAATAAAAGGTTGATCCAGATTATGGTAAAAATATTTTCTCTGATAATTAAAAAAATGAATTTTGATTTAGGCAAAATTCAAAGGAAAAAAATTAAGTGGCTGATAGATTTTCCTAGCAACTCATCTGCCAGAAAGCAATGGAACAATATCTGTAGAATTTTAGATGGAAAATGTTAAGACTGGGAAATTCTATAAAATGTGATGGCAATAGAAAGATATTCTCAAACCTGCAGTCACATTCTGCCAAGAGAAATGGAGTGATGCTGGCCTGTCAGGTGGGGATGCCAGGCCATACTGGCAGACACTGTGTAGGGACAGCCTGTCACGTGTACTGCACAGCTTTACTCAAAAGACATCTTGCAAAATCCACAGATAACTTTTTTTTTCTCTAGTGACCTCTTCAATCTCTTCCAGAACAGATCACCCAGACTAGCCTCTTTGATAGCCTCCAGCTAATCATTAGAAAAATCACCCTGCCTAGGCTGGCACCTTTTTCTTCTGTCTTTATAAATCCTCCCACTGGTTTGTTTGTTTATTTATTTAGGTCTTTGTGCCTTGGTAAGAATCTAATGTCTGTCTCCTTGGTGTGCTTGTGAATTAGTTACCCAGCTCATGAAATATTTCTGAGTTATGCTTTGAGATTCACGGTCCTTCCTAGAAAGCCACTGGAAGACATGGTCCCCACAACCAAGAGATGAATTCAAATAAATGACTCACAAGCTGGGATGACCTGGGAGAAGAGACCTTGTGCTAAATAATTCATTTACTTAAAACATTCAATTAACTTAAATAATCAGAGCAACAAAATGGTATACAAATATTATAAATCTTGAAAGGAAGACTACAGAATGTAAAAACAAAAGCAATTTCTTTATCGCCATAAACTGGGACAGGAACCCCAGAGTACATTCCAAAGTATGGTGGGGAGGAGAAGAGGCGTATAACTATGGCAAAGTCAGTAAATGCTATGTTTTCCAAATAATTGCCAGAAGTTAGGGAAGTTGGTTAAGAAAGAAACACTGCCCATATAGAAAAATATAACTGGGGAGGGAGAGGAAGCCAGAAAAAAAAAAAAAAGTAACACCAAAGTGTTTCAAGCAAACCAGACGTGGGATAATTCAATTATATTACAAACATTAAAATGGATTAAAAAGAGGCCGGGCGTGGTGGCTCATGCCTGTAATCCCAGCACTTTGGGAGGCCAAGGCGGGCGGATCACTTGTGGTCAGGAGTTCAAGACCAGCCTGGCCAACATGGCAAAACCCTGAGTGTGGTGGCTCACGTCTGTAATCCCGCTACTGGGGAGATTGAGGCACGAGAATCGCTTGAACCCAAGAGACAGAGTTTGCAGTGAGCCGAGACTGCGCCACTGCACACTCCACCCTGGGTGACAGAGAGAATGTTTCAAAAAGCGAAACATTATTATATGTTCTTTACCCAACTCACAGTTAGAACAACTCTACGCAAATTCATTTAAGGATCTAAATAAAATGATCAAAACACCACACACGGCTAAATGGAGAAGCACAGAGGAACCATATTCACTTCAGGACAAGTCAAGGCTATGTACCCATGCCTCTAGTGTTTACCTTTTTTTAAAGAGGTATTAACAAAAGCAAATTGACAAAAAGACATAAAAACTGGAAAGTTTAGACATTTGAGGTGATCAACTTCTCATTGTTTGCAGAATATTTGTGTTTTTGGTGGTTTTTGTGTTTGTTTGTTGTTTGTTTTTGAGACAAAGTCTCCCTCTGTCACCCAGCCTGGAGTGCAGTGACATGATCGTAGCTCACTGTAACCTGGACTCCTGGGCTCAAGCCATCCTCCTGCCTCCGGTAACTGGAACTACAGATGCACACCACCACACCAGACTAATTTTTGTATTTTTTGTAGAGACGGGGGTCTCACTATGTTGCCCAAGCTGGTCCTGAACTCCTGGCTCAAGCCATCCTCCCGCCTCAGCCTCCCAAAGTGCAGGTATTACAGGCATGAGACACCACACCCGACCTTTGATTTTTTTTTTTTTTAACCTAAAAAATCCAAGAAAATCAACTAAGAAACTCTTATAAGCCACAGCTGTTTCCAGAAGTGAAGACCATTCTGGAGCCAAGGCGGTGGGAGTGATAAAAGGGCAGAGAAAGGCAGAGATGGTGGAGAAAGGGCCAAAACTAGAGAGGGAAAGTGGGAGAGAGGGGAGGGTGCGGAGGCGCAGGGGCTGGTGGGAGAGGGGAATGAGTCATCTTCCCTAGTTCTCGCTCTACCTGATTAGCCTGTGTGTGTGTGCCATGCCAGCCAGGAGAGTCCCCGCCACACCCCCCAAATCTCTGACACTTTTGTTGTCCCTCAGTTCCCAGGAGACCTCAACCTCTCCAGAGTTCTAGCCTCTTCTTAAAGGGCAGAGTCATGGGAACTCAGATGGAGTGAGGGGATCTCCTGTGAAGGTCTCCTTACAATGAAATGACTTTGCAGAAATTTGGACACTACCTCCAAATGCAGATTTATGGCCCGGCATGGTGGCTCATGCCTGTAATCCCAACACTTTGGGAGGCCGAGGCAAGGATATTACCTGAGGTCAGGAATTCGAGAGCAGCCTGGCCAACACGGTGAAACCCTGTCTCCCCTAAAAATACAAATTAGCCGGGCGTGTTGGTGGGTGCCTGTAATCCCAGCTACTCAGGAGGTTGAGGCAGGAGAATTGATTGAACCCAGGAGGCAGAGATTGCAGTGAGCCAAGATCGTGCCACTGCCCTCCAGCCTGGGTGACAGAGTGAGACTCCGTCTCAAAAAGTAAAATAAAATAAAATAATTTTTTAAAAAATCCAGATTTATTTTCCCTAGCTCGAAAGCCAACCTCACATCGAGCCTGTCTGTGGCCACACTGGGGCCCAAGGGGATGGAGGAAAAATAGATACTAAAAATGAATATTAAGCCTTTGTAACGGCATAAAAAGTACCTATGTTTAAAAGTTTAAAGGTTATGAAAAAAATGAAACAAAATTGATCTCATTTACTAAACAAAAGGCAATAGAGGCTGGGCACAGTGTCTCATACCTGTAATTCCAGAACTTTGGGAGTCGGAGGCAGGCGGATCACTTGAGGCCAGGAGTTCAAGACCAGCCTGGCCAACATGGTGAAACCCCATGTTTACTAAGAATACAAAAATTAGCCAGGTGTGGTGGTAGGCATGGCATCTGTAATCCCAGCTACTCAGAGGCTGAGGCAGGAGAATCGCTTGAACCCGGGAGGCGGAGGTTGCAGTGAGCTGAGATTGAGCCACTGCACTCCAGCCTGGGTGACAGAGCCAGGCTCCGTTTCAAGGAAAAAAAAAAAAAAAAAAGGCAATAGAAAAGACAGTGAAGGAAAATATACTGAAATGTGGGCAGTGGTTGTCTCTGAGTGCTATGATGATCGGTTGTTTCCTCTCTAGACTCCTGCTCTTTTCACATAAAATTGTCTGTAATGTATGTATCCAAATGTATATCTCTATAGTGCATGTATAATATAGGCATGTGATTTTCATAAGCTGCAGGATATACCTATTTTTTATTCTTCCCAAATCATTCAAAGTAGCACTACTTGCAAATTTGGCAAAATTTTGAAAATTTATTAACTCAGCAAACACTTCTTTTTTTTTTTTTTTTGAGACGGAGTCTCGCTCTGTCACCCAGGCTGGAGTGCAGTGCTGCGATCTTGGCTCACTGCAAGCTCCGCCTCCTGGGTTCGCGCCATTCTCCTGCCTCAGCCTCTCGAGTAGCTGGGACTACAGGCGCCTGCCACCACACCCAGCTAGTTTTTTTGTATTTTTAGTACAGACATGGTTTCACCGTGTTAGCCAGGATGGTCTCGATCTCCTGACCTCGTGATCCACCCACCTTGGCCTCCCAAAGTGCTGGGATTACAGGTGTGAGCCACCTCGGACGGCCTAACTCAGCAAACATTTTTTAAAGTGACCCTCCCTTAATTGCAAAGTGCACTGATTTCCACCCTCCCCAGCGCAGTCCCATTGGGCAGGACATGACGTCACTAAAGTCACTAGGGCAGTGTCCGCCCAGCCCAGGTCCTGGGGAGGGCTAGGGTTAGCATCCTCATTAATTGGGCTTCTACTGTGCACCTGGCACTTTACACCCATTACCCCATAGAATCCCCAGGGAAATCCCTCAAAGTAGGTGTTATTACCCCAGTTTACAGACATAAAAATTGGGTCCCAATATTAATGTGCTACTAAACAGCAATGCTGTGCTTCCAACCGACGTGAACATCCCAAAGCTTGTGCTCAATTCCAGTGATTTCCAACAGTTACTAGCTGTGGAATCCTCTGCTCAAATATTACCCTAGTGAATGAGCTTGCCAGGGATGCCATACCAAAGTGCACAGGCTGGGTGGCTTAAACAACAGAAATCTATTTTCTCACCGTTCTAGAGACTGGAAGTCCACGATCAAGATGTCAGCAGGGTTGGGTTTCCTCTGAGGCCTGTCTCCTCGGCTGGCAGAGGGCTGCCCATTTGCTGCCTCTTCACTTGGTGGTCCTTCTGTGCACCGTGCACCACTGGAGTCTCTCTGTATCCAAATTTCCTTTTTTTTTTTTTTTTTTTTTTGAGACAGAGTCTTGCTCTGTCGCCCAGGCTAAAGTGCAATGGCGCGATCTCAGCTCACTGCAACCTCTGCCTCCTGGGCTCAAGCAATTCTCGTGCCTCAGCCTCCTGAGTAGCTGGGATTACAGGCATGCACCATGTCCGGCTAATTTTTTTTTTTTTTCCCCCGAGACAGAGTCTCGCTGTCAGCCAGGCTGGAGTGCAGTGGCACGATCTCGGCTCACTGCAACCTCCACCTCTCGGTTTCAAGCGATTCTCCTGCCTCAGCCTCCCGGGCTCCCGAGTAGCTGGGACTACAGGCACATGCCACCACGCCCAGCTAATTTTTTTGTGTGTATTTTTAGTAGAGATAGGATTTCACCATGTTAGCCAGGATGGTGTCGATTTCCTGACCTTGTGATCCACCTGCCTCGGCCTCCCAAAGTGCTGGGATTACAGGCTTGAGTCACCGCGCTGGGCCAATTTTTTTGTATTTTCAGTAGAGACGGGGAATGTTGGCCAGGCTGGTCTCGAATTCCTGGCCTCAAGGGATCTGCCCGCCTTAGCCTCCCAAAGTGCTGGGATTACAGGTGTGAGCCACCATGCCGGATCCCCAAATTTCCTCTTCTTATATGGACACCAGTCTTATTGGATTAGGGCCCACCCTAATGTATCCGGAATTGGTGGGTTCTTGGTCTCATTGACTTCAAGAATGAAGCCGCGGACCCTCCAGGTGAGTCTTACAGCTCTTAAGGTGGCGCGTCTGGAGTTTGTTTCTTCTGATATTCAGAAGTGTTTGGAGTTTCTTCCTTCTGGTGGGTTCGTGCTCTCGCTGGCTCAGGAGTGAAGCTGTAGACCTTCGCGGTGAGTTTTACAGCTCATAAGAGCAGCGTGGACCCAAAGAGTGAGCAGCAGCAAAATTTATTGCAAAGAGCGAAAGAACAAAACCCCCACAATACAGAAAGGGACCCAAGCCGGTTGCCACTGCAGGGTCGGGCAGCCTGCTTTTATTCTCTTATCTGGCCCTACCCACATCCTGCTGATTGGTAGAGCCAAGAGGTCCGTTTTGACAGGGCGCTGATTGGTGCATTCACAATCCCTGAGCTAGATACAAAGGTTCTCCAAGGCCCCACCAGAGCAGCTAGATACAGAGTGTTGATTGGTGCACTCACAAACCCTGAGCTAAACACAGGGTGCTGATTGGTGTGTTTACAATCCCTGAGCTAGACATAAATCTTCTCCACGTCCCCACCAGACTCAGGAGCCCAGCTGGCTTCACTTAGTGGATCCCGCACGGGGGCTGCAGGTGGAGCTGCCTGCCAGTCCCGCGCCCTGCGCTCGCACTCCTCAGCCCTTGGGTGGTCGATGGGACTGGGCGCCGTGGAGCGGGGGGTGGTGCTAGTCGGGGAGGCTCGGGCGGCACAGGAGCCCATGGAGTGGGTGGGAGGCTCAGGCATGGCGGGCTGCAGGTCCCGAGCCCTGCCCCGCGGGAAGGCAGCTAAGGCTCGGTGAGAAATAGAGTGCAGCGCCGGTGGGCTGGCACTGCTGGGGGACCCAGTACACCCTCCGCAGCCGCTGGCCCAGGTGCTAAGTCCCTCATTGCCCAGGGCCAGCAGGGCTGGCCGGCTGCTCCGAGTGCCGGCCGTCAAGCCAACGCCCACCCGGAACTCCAGCTGGCCCGCAAGCGCCGCACGCAGCCCCGGTTCCCGCTCGCGCCTCTCCCTCCACACCTCCCTGCAAGCTGAGGGAGTGGGCTCCAGCCCTGGCCAGCCCAGAAAGGGGCTCCCACAGTGCAGTGGTGGGCTGAAGGGCTCCTCAAATGCCGCCAAAGTGGGAGCCCAGGCAGAGGAGGTGCCGAGAGCAAGCGAAGGCTCTGAGGACTGCCAGCACGCTGTCACCTCTCACTAATAGCCTGAGTTTAACCTAATCACCATTTTAAAGACCTGATCTCCAAATACAGTCATATTCTGAGTGGAGGAGGACTGGCGGGTGGTTAGGGCTGCAATATGTGAATGTTGAGGGGTCACAATTTAGCCCATAACACCTGGACTTTAATGTTTAAATGGGGTTTGTTCTGGTGGAAGCTGGGCTGAGAGGCTTGGAGACCAACTTTCCAATTCCCTCCTTTCAATTTCCTAAAGCCCCTTTACTGCTTTGAGAGGGAAATATTAGGAAATCACTAGTTTTTATAGCTTTGGAAAAAGAGAAAATATTCAAGGAAACTCAATAAACTAAAACACCACACGAGTCATTTCTGTGAAAATACAGATGGGGCCATCAGCTAATTTAATATGAACGCTGACACAGTTCATATGACGTTTTCCTCAACTCACCCAGAATTTCTCTGTGTTGGCCAGAATAACCTCTGAATTATTTTCCTCACCAACTTCTGCAATTAAAAGGATAAGGCCAGGTGCAGTAGCTCACACCTGTAATCCCAGCATTTTGGGAGGCTGAGGCGGGTGGATCACTTGAACTCAGGAACTTGAGACAAGCCTGGGCAACAGAGCAAGAACCTATCTCTACAAAAAAATACCAAAGATTAGCCAGGTGAGGTGGCACATGCTTGTGGTCCCAGCTAATTAGGAGGTTGAGGTGGGAGGATCACTTGGACCCAGGAGGTAGAAGCTGCAGTGAGCTATGATTGCACCACTGCACTCCAGCCTGGGCAACAGAGTGAGACCCTGTCTCAAAATAAATAAGCAAATAAATAAAAGGATAAATACCCCTCCAGAAGATAGTAAGCTTTGCCTTTATGTATTTATATTTGAAGATAAAATATTGACTATTTTGGTGGCATAACTAGCATATTTGACACCAGGGGAGCTGATCATTTTTAAACATCTTCCTCCTCCATACAACAGAGTTATTTTTGGTAATAATTACATAGTAATAAGTAATAATCAGCACTGTCTTGATTTGTTCTTTAGCTGAACAACAATGAACACTTTGAAAAGAATAAATTTCCATTTAAAGATATTCAAATTTGGTAAAATATTTCATGCATGAACTAAAATTTTCACTTACCAAATAAAAGTATACCACATGGTTAGTTCTTTTCCACAGTTTTATTATTTATTTATTTATTTGAGATAGATAGGGTCTTGCTCTGTTGCCCAGGCTGAAGTGCAGTGGCACAATCATGGCTCACTGCAGCCTCAACCTCCCAGGCCCAAGTGATCCTCCCACCTCAGCCTCCTGAGTAGCTGGGACCACAGGCGTGTGCCACCTGGCCTGGCTAATTTTTTAATTTTTGTAGAGATGGGGTCTTTCTATGTTGCTTAGGTCAGTTTTGAACTCCTGGACTCAAGTAATCCATCTGCCGCAGCATCCTAAACTGCTGGGATTACAGGCATGAGCCACCGCGCCCGGCCCACTGTTTTAAATGTTAAACACAAGCAAAACTCCAAGTGGCCATAGAGAATGACATAATTACAGTAACTCATGCTCTGTGTCTTTGGTCTTTACAATTACTACACTGTCCTGGCTTACTTTGAATCTACTGTTTAAACACAGGAATACGTATTATCCTAAGTGTTGAAGACACAAGCTGCAACCACAATGAGCTCTAGTGATTCCAAACCGTTAAGAACTTACCTGCAAAGTGAGTATGTGAGAGCAGCCCCCAGTATCGTTGTGAGTTCTCTGGATGAACTTCCAAGTACAAGGGTTAGTAAAGCCCAAGAGATAGGAATGTGCCCACTGAAGCTCAGATAACCACAGTAGTTATTTGGAACTTAGAACAATAAATCACCCACATTGTTTAGAATTGTCAGCACACGGTGATAGTGAAAAGCAGACTGGGTTCTCTTCTTGTTTTTCTGTCATCTGCAAACAATGCCTCCTTCTGTGCCTGCCCCTGGAACAGAGGGCTCCCACTGCCTGGTTCTCAGCAGAACTCAATGATGGCCATTCTCTTTTAGTTTCCATCACCCTACAGGTTTGGGTTTCCATTTTCCTCCCCAGCCCCTTTTGGTTTTCTTTTCTGGCTCCTCCTCTCCTACTCAACCTCTAACAGCTGGAATGCCTCAGGCTCCATCCCAGGCCGACCTTCAAGTTTATTCCTCCCCAGGTTCTCACCATCTCAATATATGGCACCAGAGCCCACCCACTGGTTCAAGCCCACAGTGTATCCATCACCCTTTATTTCTCCCTTCCCGCCCTACCTTAAGCCTTCGGGAACCTGTGGGTTCTGGCTCCAGTGTATACCTGGGAACTGGCTACTCCTATAGCTCTCTACTTAGGCAAACCTTCTCTTATGGACTGATGTCTCCCCACCCCCCAAAAAAATCATATGGTGTGGCCGGGTGTGGTAACTCAACGCCTGTAATCCCAGCACTTTGAGAGGCAGAGGCGGGCGGATCACGAGGTCAAGAGATTGAGACCATCCTGGCCAACACAGTGAAACCCCGTCTCTACTAAAAATTCAAAAATTAGCCAGGCGTGGTGGTGCACGCCTGTAGTCCCAGCTACTCAGGAGGCTGAGGCAGGAGCATCACTTGAACCTGGGAGGCAGAGGTTGCAGTGAGCCAAAATCGCGCCACTGCACTCCAGCCTGGCAACAGAGTGAGACTCCATCTCAAAGAAAAAAAAAATCATATGCTGAAGTCCTAACCCCCAGCACGTCAGAATGTGACTGTATTTGGAGATATGGGCTTTAAAGAGGTAATGAAGTTAACATGAGGTCATTAGGGTGACCCTTAATCCAGTATGACTGCTGTCCTTACAAGAGGACATTAGCACACAGACTGGCACAGGAGGGAGACCACGTGAAGACACAGGGAGAAGGTGGTCACCCACAAGCCAACGAGAGGCCTGAGAAGGAATCGACCCTGCCAGCACCTTGACCTTGGTTTGCCAGCTTCCAGGGCTGTGAAAGAGTGCATTTCAGTTAAGCATCCAGTCTTCCGTATTGTGTTAAGGCAGCCAGACCTGACTAAGGCACCCTCCTCACCACTCTTCCCGCTTCCCACTCTGAAAATTGCCTTTTCCCTTTTGAGAATCGATTGCTCGTGCACCTTGCTGGCCCCCTATCCCCTTTGGGGTTTTCTATTTCTTTTAGATTTGTAGGACTTTGTCAATTATGAGTTGAAACTGTTTCCTTCTGGTTTTAGGCTTGCGTTTTCACCTTTTAAAAAATTATGTCTGGGCTGGGCACAGTGGCTCACGCCTGTAATCCCAGTACTTTGAGAGGCTGAGGGGAGCAAATCATTTGAGGTCAGGTGAGGCAGTTCTGCAGTCATTTACACACACTTTTAATTATATGCAAATCAAGGGGCAGGTTATGCAGACATTTCTAGAAAAAGAGCTGTAACTTCCGGGTCATTGGGTTGTTGCCATGGAAAGAGGTGGTAACTTTGGGTGTCTGCATGGCAGTGGTAAACTGACATGGCACATTGGTGGACATGTCGTATGAAAAGCTGCTTCCACCTCGTCCCTGTTTTAGCTAATCCTCAACTTGGTCCAGTACCCAAACACCGCCTCTGGAGTCCAATCCCACTTCCTACCTCAGATACAGTCCTTTTTTTGATACTTTCATTTAAAATCTTTTTATTTTTTTTTTTTTTTGAGACGGAGTCTCACTCTGTCGCCCAGGCTGGAGTGCAGTGGTGCAATCTCAGCTCACTGCAAGCTCCGCCTCCTAGGTTCATGCCATTCTCCTGCCTCAGCCTCCTGAGTAGCTGGGACCACAGGCGCCCGCCACCACACCTGGCTAATTTTTTGTATTTTTAGTAGAGATGGGGTTTCACTGTGTTAGCCAGGATGGTCTCGATCTCCTGACCTCGTGATCCACACACCTCGACCTCCCAAAGTGGCTGGGATCACAGGCGTGAGCCACTGTGCCCAGCCTATTTAAAATCTTTGTATGAACTTAAATATATCTCTTACAAATAGCTCAGGATTTAATTGTATTTTTTTAAACCTAAAATCATCTGTATTTTATTTTATTTTGAGATGGAGTCTCACTCTGTTGCCCAGGCTGGAGTGCAGTGGCATGATCTCAGCTCACTGCAACCTCTGCCTCCAGGTTCAAGTGATTCTCCTGCCTCAGCCTCCCGAGTAGCTGGGATTACAGATGTGCATCACCATTCCCAGCTAATTTTTGTATCTTTAGTAGCGATAGGGTTTTGCTATGTTGGCCAGGCTGGTCTCAAACTCCTGACCTCAGATGATCCGCCCGCCTCGGCCTCCCAAAGTGCTGGGATTACAGGCATGAGCCACCACGCCCGGACCAACATCTGTCTTTTATCTCGCAAGTTCAATTCATTTACACTCCTTGTGATTACTGACATATTTTTATTAACTTTTACTGTCTAATTTAGTACTTTCTATTAAACAAGAGTTTCTGTACTTCTGTTTCAAATTTTTCCTGTCTTCTATTGTACTTTGTACTGTTATTCTTTTTTTTTTTTTTTTTTTAAGACGGAGTCTTGCTCTTTGGCCCAGGCTGGAGTGCAGTTGTGCAATCTCGGCTCACTGCAAGCTCCGCCTCCCAGGTTCATGCCATTCTCCTGCCTCAGCCTCCCGAGTAGCTGGGACTACAGGCACCCGCCACCATGCCCGGCTAATTTTTTTTGTATTTTTAGTAGACACGGGGTTTCACCGTGTTAGCCAGGATGGTCTTGATCTCCTGAGCTTGTGATCCGCCCGCCACGGCCTCCCAAAGTGCTGGGATTACACGCGTGAGCCACCGCGCCCGGCCTGTACTGTTATTCTTATTGCCCTTTTATACCCACTAGTGGTTGGGAAGTTATTCATTCAACATCTTTTAGTGTTATTCACTTTTTAAAAAGTTGAAGTACAGCATACATAGAGAAAAGTGTGTCCTCCAGCTTTTTATTTTATTTTTTTTTTTTTGAGACAGTCTCACTTTTGCCCAGGCTGGAGCACAATGGTGCAATCATGGCTCACTGCAGCCTTGACCTTCTAGGCTCAAGCAATACTACCACCTCAGCCTCCCAAGTAGCTGGGACCACAAATGCACACCACCATGCCTGGCTAAATTTTTAAAAAAAATTATTTTCTGTAGGGACGGGATCTCCCTATGTTCCCCCAGGCTGGTCTTGAACTCCTGGACTCAACTGATTCTTCCACCTTGGCCTCCTAAAGTGCTGGGATTACAAGTATGAACCACCACGCCCAGCAGTCCTCCAGCTTTATTTCACTTCTTCAAGATTGCTGTGGCTATTTTTCATTCTCTGCCTTTCTATGTAATTTTAGAATGTCTTTTCTTTTTCTTTTCTTTTTTCTTTTTTTTTTTTTTTGAGACGGAGTCTCGCTCTGTCGCCCAGTCTGTCTGGAGTGCAGTGGCACAATCTCGGCTCACTGCAACCTCCGGCTCCGGTTTCAAGTGATTCTCCCACCTCAGCCTCCTGAGTAGTTGAGATTACAGGCACAAGCCACCACGCCCAGCTAATTTTTTGTATTTTTAATAGAGACAGGGTTTCACCATGTTGGCCAGTCTGGTCTCAAACTCCTGACCTCAAGTGATCCGCCCGCCTCGGCCTCCCAAAGTGCTGGGGTTACAGGCGTGAGCCACCACACCCGGCCTAGAGTTGCTTTTTAATTTATACATACACACACGTGCACACATGCACAAAATCTGCTGGCATTTTGACTGGGTTTTCATTGACCGTATAGATAAATTTTGGAAGAATGGATGGACATCTTTAACTTTTTTTTTCTCTATAATATTTTATAGTTTTCAGTGTAGGCAGTGGTTTTTAACTAGGGGTGATTTTGCTCCCATCCTCCCCGTCCCCCAGGGCAGTATCTGGAGTCATTTTTGGCTGTTATGCTAGGGGATGGACAGTGCTAATGGAGTCTTGTGCCTAGAGGCAGGGATGCTTCTGAACATCCCAAAATGTACAATTCCCATAACAAATAATTATAGGCTCAAAATATCAGTAGCACCAAGGTTGAGAAGCCATGGTAAAGGGTATTAAACTTTTTTCTCAGAATTCAATATATTAGGGGCTAGCATAGATCATTTCTTTTAAATTTTTATAATTTTGCTAGTATATAGAACTATACTAAATAGTCAATATTTAATACTGAACTATACTACTCAATATTTAAAATATTGAGCTTGTATCCAGTGACCATGCTAAAATAAATTTTCCATTCAAGTAGTTTCTCTATAGGTTCCTTGGATTACCACATACACAATTGTATCACCTGTGAATAAAGACAGCTTTACTGCTTTTGTGAACCAACTCCTGCAGGAAGTGCTGTGCAGCCAGTAGCCAGCTCTTTTCTGTACAGTTGAAGAGCCTGCTGCAAAATACAATGAAAACGTTATCTACAGGGTGCAGACCAGCAAAACAACAACAAAACAATCTTAATACTTTCTTTGGTTTCCCTAAAAATGGGGAGATTCTGAGGCACAGCCCTACCCAGTATCTCCTGGGAGGCAATTTCCTTTTTTTTTTGAGACGGGATCTCACTCTATTGCCCAGGCAGGTATGCAGTGGTGCGATGTGAGCTCACTGCAACTTCCACCTCTCGGGTTCAACGATTCTCGTTGCTCATCCTCCCAAGTAGCTGGGACTACAGGTGCCCGCCACCACGCCTGGCTAATTTTTGTATTTTTAGTAGAGATGGAGTTTCACCACATTGGCCAGGCTACTCTGGAACTCCTGACCTCAAGTGATCTGCCCGCTTCTGCCTCCCAAAATGCTGGGTTTACAGGCATGAGCCACCGCACCCAGCCTGTAATTTCCAATCTGTAGAAGTCTGTGAAACTGCACAAATGTCAGCCAAAGGAAGCTGGTCTGCCAACTGAAAGCACTGACATGGGGTCAGGGCACATGCCCACCACAGAAAGTACTTTTGGAGTTATCTTTTGAGAGTGTCTTTTTTCTTCTTCCATTTTTAGAGATTGGGTCTCACTATGTTGCCCAGGCTGGTCTTGAACTCCTAGGCTCAAGTGATCCATCCATCTTGGTCTCCCGAAGTGCTGGGATTACAGGTGTGAGCCACTGCACCTGGTCATGAGAATGTGTTTCTGAGAGTGTGGTTAGGAGTAGCCTGGTGCAGGAGTGGAAAGGGGTGATCTCTTTCTTCCACCTTATTAAGGGTCACAGCCAACACCCTTATAATAAAAGACAGGTTAACAAGAGAAAATCATAACAAATTTATTAACATGCATGAAGCAGGGAAGCCATATAAAAAATATGAACATACACAGAAAGGCCCAATGGTTGGCACTTAAATACTCTCTTCACTAGGGAAAGGGAGCTGGGGGGCTGTAAATGAATGGACCCAAATACCTGACAGTGGTTTGCAAATGGTTCTCTTTGGATGCTGAATGGGACTGAAGGACAAACAATAGCTTGTGGACAAGTCATGGAAGGTGAGGGGTGGTACTGCACTGTGAACTAAGGTTGTCTTATTATGCAGATACAGTCTCCCAGGTTATCTCTTGGAACCTCCCTCAGAAGAAAAGACGAAAAGTCTGTCTGGGTATGGTATCCTGGCTGTAGCTTCTTTTTCAGTCTTTTCTTGGGTGATTAATCATTCCTGGTTATTTAATGAGATTCATAGGGAGGGGGCTTTAAGACGGCTGCATTTATTTTAGAAGTGTTCTTAATCAGGTAAGGGAACTTCCAGAGAAAGAGGTCCTCCTGGTGCTTTAGAAAAGAAAGGGTTGAAAAGAAAAGAAAAAGGTCAGAGAGACAGCATGCTCCTGGTGCTTTAGAAAAGGGTCAAAAAAAAAAAAAAAAGAAAAGAAAAGAAAGGGTCACAGACACACGATGGCGGGGGAAAGCCAGAGAGAAACCTTGAAGCTGCTGCTTTAGTTCAGCTCGTCAAGTGCCACATTTTGGGCATTATTTTATGAGCCCCAACACTTGTGTGACAAAGAATTCCAAGCTGGAAGTCAACAAACTAAATTCCCCTGTGAGCTCTGTGGCCTCAGCAAGCTGCCTAAGATTTGGGTCCTCCTCTGTAAAACAGACGTTTCCCCTACCCTTCTCGTGGCTCCTTCTGGCTCTCATGTTCCGGAGTCTATAACCTTGCATTGCTTCTGTGCAGACAGAGAAAAGCAGCCACACTTTCCCCAAAGAGTAGCCACAACTACGTAAAAATGAGAAGACATGAAGACAGTTCAAAAGAAAGGAAGGTCACCAGGCTCACCCACAAGCCTCAGAGCAGGGCTTCGTTTTGATTCTTTGGGACTCAGCAGCTCTCAGTGATCTCATCTTTCTTCACAGCTCCAGCTCTTCCCTCCTCTTTTCTGATGGCCTAGATTATATTTTCAGCAGATCGAGCCAGATCCTCATGACCACTTCCCGGAGGTCTGCTCAGCCTTCGGCTGTCACTTCAGGCAGGCAGTGAGAACCGCAGTGTAACCCTTTCGTCTCTCTCACAACAGCATGTCTGACTGCAAAGCCCACCCCGGTCCCAGGACTCTGGTTACACAACCCTTTTAGGCAGGCCCAGGAGATTCCCAGGTAGCACCCTTCCCCTCACCTCCAAATACCCACTTACCCTTCTAACCACACCTCCTCTCTGCATACCATCACCGTTCCCATACTAGCAGTGATGGGGGACTCTCCAGCCACCCTCCCAGGCACGGCATCATCTCTTCACTTTGCGGTGTGGTGGTGCCGCTCTGACACCTGTCGTGAGGCAGCAAGGATTCAAGAGAAGGGAGAAGTTGGCCAGGTGCAGTGGCTCACACCTGTAATCCCAGCACTCTGAGAGGCTTAGGTGGGAGGGTCTCTTGAGGCCAGGAGTTTGAGACCTCATCTCTACTAAAATAAAGAAAATTAGCCAGGTGTGGTGGCACATCTATAGTACCAGCTCCTCGGGAGGCTGAGGTGTGAAGAATTGCTTGATCCCAGGTCGAGGCTGCAGTGACCCCTGATCTCACACTGCACTCCAGCCTGGGTGACAGAGCAAGATCCTGTCTCAAAAAAAAAAAAAACACTAAAAAAGAAAACTCTCAAGAGGAGTGAATCCCTCCATGGCGCCGACTCCTGAGGCCACTCAGCCCTGATTGTCCAGCTATGGGAATTCCATGCTGGCAGCTGTAGCCGCCACCACCAGAGTCCTGTAGATTACCCCTTCTTGTTCTCTGCTCCAAGCAGACTCAACAGCTCCTTTTAATTTCCTGTAGCACAGCAAAGAGTAAGTCTGGATCATTTAACAAGGATTCTTCAGTGGCTCAGGACAGTGAAAGAAAAAGTAACCTTAAATCAGATTAACAAGGTTCACCAGGTCCAGGCCACTTCCTTCCAGCAGAAGGAATGGAAGAGCGGTTGCCCTCTCTTCCGCAGGGCCTGTGAGCTCCAGTCCCTCGCCCTTCTCATCAGGTCCTTTAGATTCTCCCAGGGCTTTCTGAGCCGCTGCTGTCACCACCTTTTCCTGGCCAGTTCACCTCTGCCTTACCTGGAGCTGCAGACCTAGTGCTGCGGCCAGTTGTTTAGCCTATTCCTAATGCTGCCCTCAGCCTCAAAGCCCCTCTCCCTCACAGGGTGTGGCAAACACCATCCCTGGAGGAGGGGCTGAGAAATACCAGTGCCAGACTAAAATATGATACAATCACATGGGCAGAAGAAATTAGGCCACTTACAGAGCCCAGGCAATGGAAAACAGTAGCAATGGCACACTGCTAAAACCAGGGAGGCCATTCAAAGAATGAGTCCTCCCCAGGGGAGCTCAGTGAGAGCGGCCACTTGGATGGAGCAGCAGCTGCCGCAGCTTAAAGCTCACACGGTCAGGCTCTCCATATTCTCCTGTGGCCTTAAGAGAAAGAACCAAAGTGTGCAGAAGCTGGAAGCGTGGGGACGCACCAAGGAACAAGACGCTTGATAAAACCTAAAGAGGAGACGGGACAAGTGTTCGGTTTTTCTTTTAATTATTTACCAGATAAAAAAGAAAAAAATAGTGATTGTTTCTCTTCACCCCCAACATTTCCGTTTACCAAGGTCGAGTTGGAGAGAAATTCATTGAACAACGATTTGTGCTCCTGGCCTGGAGCAAATTCTTCTCCTCTGCTCTACGCCACCTCAGGCAGCAGGGACAGGGCAAAGGGCTCCAGGCAGAAATCCTGGTGGCTGGGCAGCAGAGTGGCAGTGTGGCGATCGCTTCTTCTCGCCATTGCCAGAGCATTCAGACCCTTTCCCGTCTGTCCCCCTACCCCAAGTCCCCCAGTCCCTCAAAGGAGGCAGGGAGTGGGGACTGCAGGAAGCAGGACAGGTGCACGGGTGGCCTGGGCAGCTCCCCACAGATCTGGCAGAGGGGACAACCCCTGCTTCTATTGCACATCCTGGCTCAGCCCCCCTGCCCCGAGCAGTAGGCCACAAAATGAAACACTTTCCAAATTCAGAGAGCCCGGTGCTGTGTGCCAGGCTCAAGGAGGGGAGGTGTGTTGTTGTGTGGCTTGTTCTGGAAGATAGATATGTATTTTTAAGTTACTCCATGATGGGGCCAAGGCAACAATTTTGCCTCTTTGCATAAGGGGTCTGGACATCTCAGGGTCCTGTAGTGACTGGGCCTCTTCCCAGGCGAGTGCAGAAGCCTCGGAAGAAGCCTTTCCCCCACCGGCGGACCTCCTGGCTCCATCAGATGAAGAGGCAGCGCCCACCGGCCACACCAGCCCCTCCGGACTGTCACGACTCTGGGCCACTTGGGGCGACCTCTTTCTCTGAACACCTGGAGAATTCTGTCAAATGACCCTGGAGAAAAACCTTTTATACTACATGTTTTTCCATAAAATGGCAGCTAAGTCCCCTCAAATAAAACCTTTAAGTATTTCATTCTCATTCTTACCAGTGAAATCAAGTGGGACAGGAATAAGCTATTTAACTGACATTAGCGACAGGATAAACCCCTCTAAAAAACCGCAGGGGGGAGTGGGAACTGATTCAGATTTGGCAAAGCTGCAAATCTTTCCCCTTCATGGGCTGGAACGAAGCTGGTGGGTGAAGACAAATCTAAGTGTGCCAATGGCAAGAACTGCAGGCTATGAAATGACAGGTCAGACACAGGACTGTATAAATCGTGGCACTATAAAGATGAGAAGGCAGGTCCATGATACAGCTGGGAGCAAGCCTTTGGAGCATCGCTTCCAGAAATTCTATCTGTCCTGTAGTAAGTAGTAGCATCCAGATAAAATCAGTGGTTCTCCTTTCTCCTCTTCCAAACACATTCTGAGAGTTTCTTGTTTAAATAACTATGTACACACCCAGCAAGCCTGGTCTCTCTTTTACATGAGGGTCCTTCACTTGAGGGTCCTACAATGGCTTTAGAGTCGGTTCCAATTGCCTTTTTGGAGATTTACTGCTTGGGACCAAACCTGCAAGGCAAAGAAATGACTGAACACTATAACAGGAAAATCTTGAAGATGAAGGCATTCCAGTGATTAAGAGACTGAGTCTTAATATAAACAACCCTCAACTCCCTACAGGGCTCTGGTACTCTGGCAAATGGAGTAATTGGGCTTGGGCCCATCAACTCTGTCAGCCAGAAGGCCATATGCCCTCCAAAGGCCTTGGAAAACAGCTCCATACCTCCCTCTGATAAGGACAGTTTCTCAAGTTCAGCTTCAAGTTCAGCATCTGAGATCCTAGGGTTAGGCACGCTGTTGGTAAAATGCCTATTGCGGGGGTTGTCAGGCAGATCCAAAGGTTCTTTGGTGGTATCCTGAAGGAGGATGTCCAATTCCTTCTCCAGTTCTTCACTGTCAAAATCTGGAAAGAAAAGACAACATAAAGATGCATAAACTCAAGGGAGAAATGCATTAATGAGTACAGGACTGAGGTTACCAAAACCCGCTTAGCTTTACAAAAGATGCCAGGCCTCCTTGCAGATTAAAAAAAAATCCCGGAAGTCAGGAGGGTAGCTTCAAGCAGAGATGATTCTTCCACACTCCAAGCTAAGTCACCAAGGAGGTGTATTCTGTTAACACCATGGACCTGACCCTGATTCCCACTGCCCTTGAAGGAGGATCCTCCAGTCAGAAGCCTTGTGAATGAGGAATGCCGCAGCACAGATGGGTCATGAGCACAGCTGTCGAGGAGGAAATGGCAATTCCCTGACTGCTCCCGCAGATGAGCCCCAGGGAGGGCAGGCTAGGAGAGGCCTGCCTGCACCCGGAAAAGCAAATCTACTGTCAAACTCATCACAGCACAGGGAAGCGAAGTCTTCCAGGATGAAAGGAAGAAACACTCACCTTGGGCCAGGTGTGGTGGCTCACACCTGTAACCCCAGCACTTTGGGAGGCCGAGGCCGGCGGATCACGAGGTCAGGAGTTCCAGACCAGCCTGACCAACAGGTGAAACCCCATCTCTACTAAAAATACAAAAATTAGCCAGGCGTGGTGGCGGGCGCCTATAATCCCAGCTACTCAGGAGGCTGAGGCAGGAGAATCACTTGAACCCAGGAGGCGGAGGTTGCAGCGAGCCGAGAATGCGTCACTGCACTCCAGCCTAGGTGACAGAGTGAGACTCCATCTAAAAAAAAAAAAAATGACCCCGTCTCTACTAAAAATACAAAAAATTAGCCGGGCATAGTGGCAGGCGCCTGTAGTCCCAGCTACTTGGGAGGCTGAGGCAGGAGAATGGCGTGAACCCGGGAGGCGGAGCTTGCAGTGAGCCGAGATCCCGCCACTGCACTCCAGCCTGGGCGACAGAGCGAGACTCCGTCTCAAAAAAAAAAAAAAAAAAAAAAAATGAATAAAAATAAAAATAACCACCTTGTCCACTCACCTAAGCCATTTGTTACCCCACCAGCCAGAGTCTGAGAAACTTCATCCTGGGTGTCACAGAGCTGTAAGAGACAAGTGCAAAGCCTTGAGCTGGGCATGGTGGCTCTGAGCATCTCAGTCTTTGGTGGAAAATATCTAGGGTTACAAAGCAATCCTGCCCCAAGTGAGAATCAAGGAAAGCTTCCTCAAGTTCACAAGGTCACAAGTCAGGTTTCGTTAAAGAGGATGTGCAATGAAGTCAAATCTGTCCTCTGTCACCTCCTTCTCTGTGTGTCCCTCCCTGGCCCCTTTCTGTACCTCTTGGATCTGATCCACGAGGCTCTCTGCCTTCTCCACTGTGACATCCTTCATGGAGAGTTTGAGTGCTCCTACCCCAGCCTGGTAGGCGTTAAAAACCTAAAGACAAAGCAAAGCTATCAGTGCAAATGACAGACATTTGGCAAAATACATACAATATTGTTTCAACTCCAAAAGGCAGCTTTGGGGTGTTTTTTTTGGCACCCAAGCTCAATTTACCCTATACCCACCGAGGCCAAACCTCCTGACTGGAAAGGCAAAGGCAACCCCAGCCACATCCCGAAAGAACCCAGGGATCCTCCAAACAGCCAAGCCGAAGCTGCAAGTGACCAACACACACGGAGAGACCAGCCAAGTGCTGGAGTAGAGGGGAGTGACTACCATCTGATCTGTCTGGGAGGCATAGATCCGGTCCAGGATGCCTTGAACAGTGTCCAGCTTGGCATGCAAGGCCTCGATGCGCTTCTCTGTCCGTTGCTTGGCCTTGAGAGACCTCAGTGCCTGGAGGCATGGAGACTTAGGTCAGTGCTGAACTGGGCGAGCCAAAGGGCAAGAGGAAGACAGCCCTTCCCAGACGCTAAGGATGTCCCAGCTTTCTTCCCTCCCATCTGTAAAATAAGCTGTGGTGCCTGGGCCCCCTGCAGACTCTACCCCCCTCAAAACCCCAGCAAGCTGCTCTCTGAACTGCTGGGCATTGCTCCAGGCCTGCCTGGGGCACTGCTATGGGTCTGGAGGAGACAAGAACTCACCAGCTGCTTCTTTCCTGCTCGGCATGCCCGGCGGGCTTCTTCTTTACACCTGGAAACAAAGGGACAGATAAGATTACTGTGCCACAGGATGGGAGTGGCAGGGTCCCAAAGGGTCCCTGAGAGCAGCACTCAGTTAAGGTGGTTTTAAATCTGAAGACTAAACCCAATACCCAGTGGCAAGAAAACTGATGCTGACGGCAAAAACTCTTGTGGCAAGTCTGTTGACAGTCTGTTGTGGCAGGCTCAAGCAGGCTGACTAAGGATAAGCTTTTTCAACCCACAGGGACAGAACATGCAAACAGGGCACATTATACACATCTTCCTGTTTTGGGGAGACAGGGAAGGAACTGTTAACACCAACAATGACCTCGGACATATCCTCTGCCTCCCAACAAGGCTAGACTTTCCCACCTGGAAGACAGACTTCAATGTCTGTGTTCTCCTGCCAGAGGGTGTGTCTTTATTAGGGATTCCTTGTACAGTCATTCAGGGGGAAGGGCAGGGGAAGAGCCCCTCAGAAAGACCTCTGCAAAGGCAGGGACCTGTCTTGTCCACGGCTGTATCCCCAGTCCCTAAGACAATGCCTGGCTCAATAAATATTAGTTGAATGGACACTGGCAAGGAAGAGCATAAACATAACATTCACAGTCATGGTCTGTGGGGGAAGCATTAAGACTCACGTTTTCAGCTGGGCACAGTGGCTCACCCCAGTAATCCCAGCACTTTGGGAGGCTGAGGTGGGGGTCTTGTTTGCGCCGAGGAGTGTGAGACCAGCCTGGGCAACATGGTGAGACCCCATCTCAACAAAAAATTAAAAATTAGCCAGGCATGGTGGTGCACACTTGTGGTCCCAGCTACTCAGGAGGCTAAGGCGGGAAGATTGCTTGAGCTCAGGAGTTAGACTGCAGTGAGCTAAGATCATGTCACTGCTCTCCAGCCTAGGGGACAGTGCAAGACCCTGTCTCAATTGAGGAAAAAAAAAAAAAAAAAGGCCGGGCACGGTGGCTCACGCCTGTAATCCCAGCACTTTGGGAGGCAGAGGCGGGCGGATCACGAGGTCAGGAGATTCAGACCATCCTGGCTAACACAGTGAAACCCCATCTCTACTAGAAATATAAAAAATTCGCCAGGCGTGGTGGCGGGTGGCTGTAGTACCAGCTACTCGGGAGGCTGGCGCAGGAAAATGGCGTGAACCCAGGAGGCGGAGCTTGCAGTGAGCCGAGATCGCACCACTGCACTCCAGCCCGGGTGACAGAGCGAGACTCCGTCTCAAAAAAAAAAAAAAAAAAAAAGAGGCCTCATTTTTTTTTCTCTTTTGTGATATTCTGTGCTTTCCATGATTTCTGCATTGAGCAGTGAGTACTTTTGTAATTAGCTAAAAAAAAAAAAAACCCACCTATTTTTTAAAAGCCCACATATACTAACATTTTGCTGGCTCTGGGGGCCAGCAACAGTGGGGAGGAGGCTCAGTTCAGGGTTAAAAGTTACCTCTCTGCTTCCTGGGATAAGGACTCCACTTTGCGTGAGAGAAGCTGTTCACTCTGCATCAGCTGGTACACCCCAACATCTACGTCATTGACTGGAGAGACCTTGGCACGTGGCCCTCGGGCAAACTTCACAATCTGAGGGACAGGGAGAAATTACTACTGCTGCTACCACAAAGGCTGAGAAATTCCCAACCAGGAGCGCTGGTGGTGGGCATGTGAGAACAGCAGGCCCCCCTTATCCATGGGGGATATGTTCCAGTGAATGGAATCCCCTGTGGAGGTCTGAACCCTCAGAGAATACTGAACCCTATACATATAGCTATGTAAACATTTTTCCTTCTTCACAATTTTTCCTATAGAAGATTCATTCTTACTGTAGATCCTAGCAAACTCAGCAAATGATATTTGGTCTTCCTTATTTGGTCCAGAACTTTTACCTTTTCACTTAAAGGAAGCACTTGACCGCTTCTCTTTGGTAAATCTGGACTGCCAGCACCACTGCTCTTGTGCTTTGGGGCCATTATTAAGTATAATAGGCCAGGCACGGTGGTTTACACCTGTAATCCTAGCACTTTGGGAGGCCGAGGCAGGCAGATCACTTGAGGTCAGGAGTTCAAGACAGCCTGGCTAACTGGTGAAACCCCTTCTCTACTAAAAATACAAAAATTAGCCAGGGGCCGTGGCGCATGCCTGTAATTCCAGCTACTTGGGAGGCTGAGGCAGAAGAATCGCTTGAACCCGGGAGGCGGAGGCTGCAGTGAGCTCAGATTGCGCCATTGCTGGGCGACAGAGCAAGACTCCATCTCAAAAAAAAAAAAAAAAAGTACAATAAGGGTGGCTTGAACACAACCACTGCAATGCTGTGACAGTCAATCTGATCACTGAGACGACTCCTAAGTGACTCAGGCGGGGAGATGCTGGA
The DNA here is from genome assembly GCF_000001405.40 of Homo sapiens. Taxonomy (NCBI): domain Eukaryota; kingdom Metazoa; phylum Chordata; class Mammalia; order Primates; family Hominidae; genus Homo; species Homo sapiens. The sequence continues at coordinate 23,255,672 of NC_000008.11, read as the reverse complement.
CAAAGCAGGGATGCGCATACAGGCGGGATACTACGAGGTCCCATCACACTACTCAGAACAGTGCACAACTGAAATCTATGGAACTGTTAATGTTTGGAATTTTCCACTTATTATTTTTGGACCGTGGTTGACGGCAGGTTACTGAAACTCTGGAAACCAAAATCTGAGATAAGGGCTCACTACTCTATGTACTTAATCAATCACTGCTGAGTCAGTGAATGAACAGATGAGCCTCCATACCTTCTCCCCGTTCTGCTCGAGGACTGTGACCCTCTTCTCCTTCTGCAGCTGCAGCAACACCAAGTAGAAGGTCCTCTCATCTGGGCAGGAGTTAGCACAGAGGGTGCTGAGCTCTGACAGGGCCACCACGGGGTGGGAGGAGAGGGGCGAGTTCTGATACAGACGATACACCTCCTCAGCCTTTTCCTGTGGGAAAGGCAACATTGGCTGACAGGCCCTGGCCACTGCCATGGGATGCAGGGACCCTGACCCTGAGTTTCAAAACCATGATCACACAAGGCAAGCACCCGGGAATCCCAACCCCATCCTCCCCAAAGTAGCGGCTTTTCAAAAAGGAGGAAGGATCTGTGTTTTTAAGCCTTGGAGGAAAGTTTGGTGACTCCACATGAAATGAGGCACATGAGATGCTGGGAGCCAGCTCTGCGCTGCACGCCCATCGGGGATTTTACACTCCTGCCTCTCACTGGCCTGTGGTTTCCCAAGGGAAGACTGAGGAGGTGAGGTGAGGTAGAACAGCTGTGAACGAGAGCTGAGGCCTGATTTCCAGCCTAGCCTGGGTGACCTTGGGCCAGTCACAGCCTCACTAGTCCTCAGTATCACTCTCTGAAGAGGGTGGATGAAATGACATCTAATTCCCTTCCAATTGTAGTCTCTCCATTTTCCTGCCAATTGGCTATACTGCAAACACAAACATTATTGACTCTGTAAAAAGCCTTAAGGGAAAAGGGCCAGGCGTGGCAGCTCATGCCTGTAATCCCAGCACTCTGGGAGGCTGATCACCTGAGGTCAGGATCACCTGAGGTCAGGAGTTCGAGACCAGCCTGGCCAACATGGCAAAACCCTGTCTTTACTAAAAATACAAAAAAAAAAAATAGCTGGATGTGATGGCGGGCACCTGTAATCCCAGCTACTTGGGAGGTTGAGGCAGGAGAATCACTTGAACCTGGGAGGCGGAGGTTGCAGTGAGCCGAGATCGCGCCACTGCACTCCAGCCTGGGCGACAAGAGCAAAACTCTGTCTCAAACAGAACAAAACAAAACAAAAAACAAAGAAAAGTACATAATAAACAGATGGGATAAGATTAGTGACAAGAGTAAGAAATATAAGTTCCAAGAAATAATGTCACCATTTCGCTCATACATGGAAATTACTACCAGAAACAAGAAAGACTGAGGTGTCCATGGGATGCTATGAAAATATAGGGAAGGACTGCCTGGGGATTCAGGATTTCTTGAAAAAAAAAAAAAGTTGAGCAGAATTCTGAAGAGTGAGCAAGTTCCTAGGTGAAGAGGTGAAACGGGTATCTCGGGAAGAGAGAGGAACATGAGCATAGAAGGGTGGGTCAATGCGGCACGTGTACAAATGTAGAGGGGAAAGGAGAGAGAGGAGAAGCACTCCTATATTATAGAAAGTGTAATATCCTATATTATAGAAAGTGTAATATCTTATGATGATCCTTTATTCTGTAGATGGTGGGTGGTCACTGAAGGAAACTGACATGGCTAGATTAACAGAAAGCTAACTGCCAATTGGGAGACGATGGATTGTAGAGTTAAGATTAGAGGCAAGGAGACCATTTACACAAGAGATTATGTGGGTCTGAACAACAGGCTATTTGAATAATAAACATAGAAAGAGGAGTGGTGGAGACAAACAAAATTCAGAAGATAACACTGGTAACTGGATATAGGGTTGGAAGAAAAAGTCTAGTGGAAAGTCACTATGGATTGAGTGACTGGTGGATGTGATGCTATTAATAGGAAAAAATTCAGGAGGAAAAGCCTAGTTTAAAGTAAAGACAAAATATCCCATCTTGGTTATGATGTTTTAAGATGTCTGAGAGAAGCCAGGCACGGTGTGCCTCACGCCTCTAATCCCAGCACTTTATGAGGCCGAGGTGGGTGGATCACCTGAGATCAGGAGTTTGAGACCAGCCTGGCCAACAGGGTGAAACCCCATCTCCACTAAAAAAAATACAAAAAATTAGCTGGCCATGGTGGCAGCGCCTGTGATCCCAGCTACTTGAGAGGCTGAGGCAGGAGAATTGCTTGAACCCAGGAGGCGGAGGTTGCACTGAGCCAACATTGTGCCACTGCACTACAGCCTGGGCAACAGAGTGAGACTCTGTCTATAAATAAATACATAAATAAGATGTCTGAGCTATATCCAAGATTATGTATACAACCTATCAGTGGATATACAAATCTGAAACTCAAAGGAGACAGCAGGACAGCGATACAATGTTGAAAGTCCTCAGCATATCCACAGCAAAGATCCCAAGGACATTCAGGGAGGAAAGTAATAAGCTGAAGGAAGACCACTGTTTAGGAAGTGAAGGAAGCCACAAAAGAGAGACAGAAGGACTGCTTTGGGGGAATCAAGGAGAACTTGCAGCGTCATGTAAACAAATTCAAGGAAATTGGACATTTCAAGAAGTGACTCGTCAACAGTGCCAAAGGGTAGAAAAGAGCCTAATAAGACACAGACATCGAGTTTTCATTGATTTGACTGCCCTACCAGATATGCAACCACTGCAGTAACTGCACAGTAACCACACACAAATAAATTAATGTTACACGACATCAAGAAAAGATACTGAGACAACTGGCTATCCATTTGGAAGAAAATAGAGCTTTCCCCACCACATACACAAAAATAAGTATTGAAGGAAATGTAAACGGAAAAAATTAAAGTACAAAGTAATAAGTTAAGCTTGAGTCAGAAGATGCCTTCCTAAACAAGACCTGAAATTCAATAGCCATACAGAAAAGTCTGAGAGATCTGACTACAGAAATATGAAACCTTCTATAGGGTAAAAGACATCATAAATAAAAAGTAAGCAAGCAACAGACTGAGAAACAATATTTACATCCTTAATACTAAATACATTATATATATCTATCTCTAACACATAAAGAATACAGATTAACATAAAAGATAACACAATAAGGCCAGGCGCGGTGGCTCACACCTGTAATCCCAGCACTTTGGGAGGCCAAGGCGGGTGGATCACGAGGTCAGGAGATCGAGACCATCCTGGCTAACATGGTGAAACCCAATCTCTACTAAAAATACAAAAAATTAGCCGGGCGTGGTGGCGGCACCTGTAGTCCCAACTGCTCGGAAGGCTGAAGCAGGAGAATGGCGTGAACCCGAAAGGCGGAGCTTGCAGTGAGCGGAGATCGTGCCACTGCACTCCAGCCTGGGTGACAAACTCCATCTCAAAAAAAAAAAAAAGATAACACAATACAAAACAGGAAAGGATATAAACAGACAATTCACAGAAGGAGATATGTAAATGGCTAGTACATAGGTGAAAAAAATGCTCAATTCACAAACAGGACGTATCATTTTTTTTTTCCCAATAAGTTGGTAAGATTTAAAAGACTGATGTCATCCCGTGCTGACAAGGATGTGGGGAGACTGGACTCCCTAATACAGTCTTGATGAAAGTGCAACTTATTACAAACTTTTGAAAAGTAGTTTGGCAATTTTTGTTAAAATTGAAAAGGCACATATGCATTTCCGAAAAATCAATTCCATAAAAATAAAGGGAGAAGTACATAGATCTCTGCACAAGTGGCATTTTTTTGTAATGGAAAAATGGAGAGAGAAATTGGAATGATTGAAATGTCCATCTGCGGAGCACCTGTTGCATAAATTGTGGCATATCGATAGATTATCATGCAGGCATCAAAAAGAATCGAGTAAATCCATACTGTGTAGGGCCTGGAAAGAGGCACCTGATACAATGCAATGGAAAGAAAACAAAGCAGGGTGCACACCAATTCCATTTCTAGAAAAAAATGGAGTGATGTGTACACGTGTCTGTGCGTGTGTATTCACTCACTCAACAGGTATTTATTGACTGTCTACCAGGTATCAGGCACTGCTCCCAGGGTCCCAGGGCCCATGGCACTGTTCCCTTCTAGTAGGAAAGACAGACAAGAAACAAGTGAATAAGATTTTCAGGAAGAACTAGAGTTGACAAAGCCATTAAGGAAACATAAATCTGTAAACATACACACTCACGCACTCTCACACAAATGGGAAGAGAGTACCCAAAGAGAGAAAAGTTGGATGAACAGAAAGAAAACTTTCATTTCTTTGTATTTTTTTTAAATAACAAAATAATGGACAATTTTTGCTTTTTTTATTTTTCAATACCATCCAAAAGTAAAAAGTTACTGGCTGTTTCTCTGTCTGGACTTGGGAAAAAAAATTTACCTCAACAGCAGGCTTTCTTTGTTTGCCAGTACAAACCTCATCTGTGGGGATCCATGGGTTTACCTCTCCTCTGCCCCAGGCTGCAGGACAATGTGAGATGACAGAAAGACCGCAGAGAGGACCTGAGCTTGGCCCAGAACCACCCAAACCATCCTGCAGTCTTTGCGGGGACCCTGACTGAGCCCTGGAGACCAGGCCACTGGGCAGGGGAATAACTGCATGGGTGCGGGGAAGGGGTGCAGATGGAGCAGAGGGGCTGCCCTGAAGAAAATGTGGGCTGCTTAGTCAACAATCCTGGGAGACAGGGAGAGATTGGCAGATTTTGGAGACCTCTTCCTCAATCTGAGGCAGAGTGGGCTGGAGTCTCTCAAGGTGAGGAGAAATGGGTGCTTCTCCCGGGGTGAGGCGTGGGGATTCTGGGCTGGCTCCAGCTGTGTGAAGCCTCTAGGGCTATGCAAGGGCCCTGAGGTCAGGCTTGGTCTGTGAATTTCAAAAATAACTATTCTCTGCAGTGTCCTTTGGTCACCAGGTGCTCAGTCAACACACACACACACACACACACACACACACACACACACACACACAGGCCCCTATCACCTCATCCACAGCAGTCTGGGTGGAGGGGGTGGTTGAAGCAGGTCTGCACCAGATGACAGAGTGAATGGGAGGTAGGAAGTGGTGACACAAAGGTCGGTTGAGAAGGAAACAGCAGTCACTAGGCAGGGCCCAGGTACCACAAAAGAGACAATCGGTGTTCGGAAAAGCATTGAGTGGGTTTGGGTTTACAGGCTGAGAGTGAGATGGAACATACCAGGCAAGAGGCCAGCCGATGGGACAAAGGGACAAGAGGGGCAGGGTAGACGCAGAGCAGACGAGAGGCAGAGGAAGGACACTACACTCTGAGCACAGGAGGAGGTGGGCTCTGAGGAGGTCAGGCTTGGGGTAAGAGGACAGAAAACTGTAGACCGACTCAGGAATGCTGAGTCTACTTTCTCAGTGAAGTGCCCGCAGAGAGCAAAGAGGACACAGGATGGAATGAGCGTGTGAGGGGACAGAGAGAAAGAAAAATAAGGCTGTGGTGTGGCTCCGAGGGCCTCCCACAGCTGGGGACCATGAAGGGGACCGCAGTCTGATGACAGGCGATTTTCTCCAGCAGGGGTGGTAAACCCCATGTGGCTGATCGAGGGCTACGGATCTGCTGGGAGTCTCCTGGTGTGGACCAAAGGAGATGCAAAGGAGCTGAGGGTGTTGCTGAGGAAGGGAGTGGAGCAATGAGCCATGCGATCAAGGCTGTGGGAAAGGCAGGCCGGGAGGAGGCTGACTGACCAGGAGGCTAGGACGGGACCATGGCCCCAGTGGCCTCTTCGAGGGAGAAGAGCATGTGCAGCAGAAGGCAGGCCATCAGAAAGCTGGAAGGGGAAAGGGCACGGTCACAAAGTAGGAAAGTGGAGCTGAGTGGGCCAGTTTAGAGGTGGCAATGCTGAAAGCCACAAGGTCCTCAGGAATCCTGAGAAACTCTTGTCAGTAAACTACAGAAGGCAAAGCATTTCCTAAACTGCTGCTTAACATTAATCCCTACAGATACTAGAAAATAATCCACTGTTAACTGAAAATTCCGACACAAAGGCTAACCCCTTGAAATGTACAAGTCCCACTAATGAATATTACAAAGTGCAAGTACAAGGGAGAGCAGATAAACTCAGTTATCAACTCAGTAGCCATGTAAAAAAAGAGACGGTCTTTTTTCAAGAACGCACACAAGGGACGTGGAGGATGCTGTGATCACACCAGGTGACACCCAGACACCCCCTTCTGAGTACCCACCTTCAACAGCTCCACAGCGACAAGGACCTCCTCAGCTGGAACCTTATTATCTCCCAGCATGTTAGAAAGAGTCCACTTGAGAGGCTTCAGCAGGAAGACCCCAACCCCCCAGGAGATCCAGCTGCTGTCTACACTGGCCATGAAGTCTGACTCCCGCTGCAGCTCCCCTCGACTGCAGGGAAGAAAAAGAAGGGCGTGTAGTAGCACTTAATGCAATGTCCCATTCCAGTCTCTAGCTCCCCCTTTACCCTAAAAGAGGAATTTTATCATTATCATCACGACCATTTGTTAAGCACCTACGCTGTGCCAACGACACGCAGCATTGTTTATACTCCAGCTCTAAGCGTCACAACACTTCTGCATGGGAGGCGGTATTATGAGCATTTTAACGAATGAGAAAACTGAGGGACTCAGAAGGTAAGCAGAGAGGCCAAATTTACACCATGATAGGTCTGGAACCAAAAGGCAAGTGCTCCACTAAGGCAACAGAAACACAGGCGGCTTCTGGGCCTTCGGTGAGATCTCCTTTTACAATTGGTGCTCAAAACAATAAAATGAAAATAAATCACTGTCGAGTGCAAGACATAAGAAAGAAAACAAAGATGTACAGAGAAGGACTTCTTGCTCTTCCAAGGCAAGGGTGAGGATACGATGTAACTATTTGGTGGTGCTGGTAACAGTAACAGCAGCTCAATTTATTAAATGCTTGCCGCGGGCCAGTCACTACGCTGAAGGCTATATAAGGAATATCTCTTCAAATCCTCACAATAAACCTAGGTACAATTATCATCACCATTTTAGAATTCGTCAAACTGATTGCTAAAGACAGCATAAAATTTGTGCAGGGCCACATAATTTAGCAAATGGCAGAGCCAGGATTCAGGCCTAGGCCAGCCGGCCCTCAAGCAAAAGCTGTTAACTATTAGGTTGGTGCAAAAGTAATTGTGATTTTTGACACTGCTTTTAATACTAATACTATGCCACGTCGCCTCCGTGGAGAAGTATCATCCTCAGAAATTCTTCAGGACCCAGGCAAGCACCAGGAAGCTTCAGTGGAGCACCAGCAGTCAGGAGAAGAGACTTTAATACCACCATAGAGGTATTAAAGTGTCTGAATTGGAAGTGGAAGATGATCCACTTCCAATACAGTAAGGAGGCCCATTCTGGTCCCTTCCCTCACTGACTTCTTCAACTACTGTTTCTCCTGTTCCCTGCTTCAGGCATGAACGAAAACGGTTTCCACTGTATGCCATCTCAGAAAGCCTCGTTGGCCAGGTGCAGTGGCTCAACGCCTGTAATCTTAACACTTTGGGAGGCTGAGGTGGGAGGATCGCTTGAGTGCAGGAGTTCGAGACCATCCTGGGCAATATCAATGTCCAGTCCAATGGGAAGGTACTGGGAACAAAAGTAGAGAAGGGAGATCTCTTAATCAGAAAGAGCAGCAAACTAAAAAAAAAAAAAAACCAACCAAACAAAAAACATCAGAGTTGACTTTCTCCTTCCCTCACTGAGAGAGGTATCACGCTAGGCTGGTCTCAGAATGATAAGTACACTGAAGTGCAAATGACTTATCCAAAGACCAGGGATCCAGTCCCGGTATCACCTTTAACTAGCTGTGTAACTCTGAGTAAGTCACTTGATCTCTCTGAAACTCAGTTTCCTCTTCTGTCTGCTGAGGATAATTCTATCACCTCACCACAAGACCGCTGAGTGGGTCAAATGGTGCATGCAAAGTATCTGCATGCTGGGAAGTACTGTACATGTATTAGTTATCAATGTTACCCTCAGATACCGCCAAAACTGCACCTGTCGCACACGTATCTCCTACAGACCTTTTAAGGGCACTCAGATACTCAGCAAAGCCCTCATTCTCCTTCACGTCCTCTCTGCTCCAAAAAGCCTGTGCCAAGGACAAGCCAGACGAATGAGCTGTGCCAGGGGTTGTTGGCAAGATGCCTACAGGCCTCTTCCCCACGAATGCCCGCTTTTTAGCTCTAACCTTCCCTAGGTTAATGAATCCTATCTCTTAGACCTTCTGCTCCACGGGCCATTCAAATTTGGAGGCCCTTAGGAAACAACAACATAACGGGGTCCCAGTCCAGGCAAATTACTGTCACCTCTGTTAGGCTGGCTTCTCTGGAACTCGTCTAATCGGACTATCCCCGCCCCCCAATCTTCCCCCAGATCCCCTCTTCCTCTCCCTCCAAGCCTCCCTAGCCCAGCCTCCTTATTTTCCTTCTTCGCCTTCTGAACACACACTGGATGCCTTCTCTGGGCCAGACACTGGGCTGGGCGCAGTGCGCTGTGCAGAGAACAGGACCAGGGCCCGGCCCTCCGAGAGCTGCCCCCGCCCGCCCTCGCGGCCCTGGCCCCAGCCCGCCCCTCACCGCAGCAGGTCCTGCAGCACCGTGGCCAGCCCCAGCGGGACGCTCCCCTTGCGCTGAAAGGCCTCCTGCAAGTCCCGCAGACGCAGGCGCACCACCCCCTGGCGGCGGCTGTGGCTCAGCACCAACGGCGCCCAGAAGCCCATCTTGCTGTCCCAGTCGGTGCTGTTCACCTCGCGACTCCTCTTGAAAGCGGAGAACAGGAAGGACATGCGCTCCTCGTCCTCCTCCCACTCGGGGGGCAGAAGGCCCGCCGGGTCTCCCCCGGCTGGGGCCTCGGCCTCCCGCTCCGGGGACCACATCGGAACCCCAGCCCCGGCAAGGCTGCGAACACAAGCCTGGCCCTGGTCCGCTTCCGCCCTCGTTCCCTCCCGGCTTCCGTTCCTTGACCACCTCCTTCTCGTTCACACGTCACCGCCGCCCTGAGCGTGAAATAAGTTCCATAAGTCTTCAAGGCGCATGCGTTGCGCTGCGCTCCGTCAGCCAGGAGGCAGTATGATGAAGTTCTTTTCAGAGAGACACCGAGCGCTTGCGCCGACCCCTCCTCCCACGGTCTTTGTGCCGAAAGAAAGGCTTGCGCCTGCGCGGCAGGTGGCTGCACCTTACGTCTCCTTCAAGATTCTGGAGTTCGGCAAAGCGTTGTACAGCGGCTTCTGACCTGTGGCTTCAGAAAATGGAACTGGGGAATAGCCGCAGAGGGGCGCCAGTGGTGCCCGGACCACCCGGATGGATCCGTGAATCTCTGTATAGAGGGAAATTTATATCAATGAATGCACAAACCAGAAAAGAAGAAAGATCTAAAATAACCTAAGATTCCACCTTGGGAATCTATAAAAGAAGAACAAATTAAGATCAAATTAAACAGAAGAGAAAAAATAATAAAAAGAGCAGAAATCAATGAAATTGAAAACAAACTCAAAAGATTATCAACAAAACCTAAAGCTGATTTTTTGAAAAGGTCAATGAAATTGATTAACCTCTAGCCTGGCTAACAAAGAGAAAAAACAAATACTCAATATCAGAAATGAAATAAGGGACATTACTGCAGATCCCATGGGCATGAAAATGATAATAAAGGAATACTATGAATAACTGTATGTCCACAAATTTGATAACCTAGACGAAATGGACACATTTCTTGAAAGCACACTCTGCCAAAACACACAAGAGGAAACAGACCACTTGAATATGTTTATATCTAATTAATTGAATCAATAATTAACAACATCCACACAGAAAGCATTAGGCCCAGATGGTTTCATTTGATAAGTTCTACCAAATATTTAAGAAAAAAGTTGTACCAGTTCTGTGCCATCTCTTTTATAAGATAGAAACAAAAGGAATACTTCCCAACTGATCCTATGAGGCAAGGATTACCCTAACGCCAAAACCACACAAAGACATTACAAGAAAGAAAAAACACAAAACAATATATCTTGTGAATATAGATGCAAAAATCATCAATAGAATGTTAGCAAATTGAAACCCACAATGTATCAAAAGAATTGTACACCAGGTTAAAGCGGAATTTATTACAGCTAGGCAAGGCTAGTTCAATGTTCAAAAATCAATTAATATAATCCACCAACAGACTAAAGAAAAATCATATGATCATATTGCTAGATGCAGAAAAAGCATTTGACAAAATCCAACACCAGCTCATGATAAAAAGTCTCGGCACTCTAGGAATAGAGGGACACATCCTCCACTTGATAAAGAACATAAACAGGAACCTTACAGCCAACATAAGAATTAATGGTGAAAACCTAGATCGTTTTCCAGTGGAATCAGGAATAACACAAGAATGTCTGCTCACACCATTCCTAGTCAACACTGTACGGGAAATCCTAGCTAACACAGTTAGCCAAGAAAAAGAAATAAAAGTTGTACAGACTGAAGAGGAAGAAATAAAATGGTCTGTCTTTATAGAAGACATAATTATCCATGCAGAAAATTATGAAAGAATTGCCAAATCGATGTCCTGGAACTAAGAGGCAATGAGAACAAGATTGCAGATACAAAGTTAATGTATAAAAGTCAATTCCCATATACCTATAATGATCAAGTGGAATATGAAATTAAAAATGCAATACCATTTACATTAGCACCCCCCTATAAAACTTAGGTATAAATCTAACACGGTATGTACAAATTCTACATAAGGAAAACTACAAAATTCTGATGAAAGAAATCTATGAAGGACTAAATAAATACAGAGGCATTTTATATTCATGGACAGGAAAACTCAATATTATCAAGATATCAATTCTTCCCAAATTGATCTGTAGATCCAGTGAAATCCCAGTGAAAATCATGGCTAGTTATTTTGTGGATATCAACAAACTAATTCTAAAGTTTATGTGGAAAGGCAAAAGACCCAGAAGAGCCAACACAATATTGAACAAATAAGTCAGAGGACGGATACAACCCAACTTCAAGAATTACTATAAATCAACAGTAATCAAGATAGTGTGGTATTAGTTAAAGAATAAACAAATAGATAAATGGAACAGAATAGGAATCCCAGAAATAGGCACATGTAAATACAGTCAACTGACCTTTCGAAAAAAGAAAGGCAATACAATGGTTCAAAGAGTCTTTTCAACAATGAGCACTGGAACAACTGTACACCTACATGCAAAAACAAAAACAAATCCAGGTACAGATCTTACACCATTCACAAAAGCCAGCTCAAATGGATCATGGACTTAAATGTAAAAACACAAAACAATAAAACTCCTAGAAGACAAAACATCTAGATGACCTTGGGCATCATGATTACTTTTTAGATACAACACAAAAAGCATAATCCATGAAAGAAATAATTGATAAATTAGACGTAATTATTATTATTATTATTATTTGCTTTCTGAAAGACACTGTGAAGAGAATGTGAAGATAAGCCACAGACTGGTAGAAACTATTTGCAAAAGACATCTCTGATAAAGGACTGTTATCCAAAACACACGAGGAACTCTTAAGACTCAAAAAAAAAAGAAAAAGAATAACCCAGTTAAAACATGGATAAAAGATCTGAGCAGACCTCTCACCAAAGAAGATCTACCAACGGCAAATAAGTATATGATAATATGCCCAACATCATATGTCATTGGGGAACAGCAAATTAGACAAGAATAGCATACTACTACACACCTATTAGAATGGTGAAAATCCAAAATACTGACCACACCAAATGCTGGTGAGGATGCAGAGCAACAGGAACTCTCATTCATTGCTGGTGGAAATGCAAACTGGTACAGCTACCGTAAGGTTGGCCAAGAGAAAAGACGAGTATACTCAAAGTCAGGCAAGCAAGTTTATTGACCTGCCGGCCTGCTGCATAACAGTCAGAGGAGGCAGCCCAGGGTGTTTAAGGTGAGGGACTTATATAGGGCTTTGAGGGCCTAGGGGCTTTCTGAGGTTAGTCTACATCCTGCAGTTGTTTGTCACTTCTTGCCCCACCTGGCTTAGAGTACCAGGATGTGGTTTGGCCTGGGGGTGGATACAGCTGTACCTAAGTTCTGGTAACGTGAAGTAGGGGCAGCATCTCAGAAGAAATAAGCTGCAGGGCATTTAGGGGAGGGGGCTTGCTGCGTTCTTCTGTGGACAGGTTGTCTCTAAGAGCTACTTTGGAAGACAGTTTGGTCGTTTTTCACAAAATTAAACATTCTCTTCCCATGCAAGTTTACTTATAGTTTAACTTTGAAACAAAGTATAACAGTCCTTTCCCAAAACAAAACTCCTTACTGCCTGTGGACTAGACTGCCTAGACTGCCACAAGATTAGAAGTTATGGTAATTTTACTAAATCAAGATGTAGCTATTTTCATTAAACCAGTATCAATGTCTTATTTATTAATGGTTACACGAGCAGAGATCATTCTGTCTTGGGCTGGGTTTATAGCCTGTGCCAAATTTTGACACCTAATAGTATTTGGCAGGGTTAAGTATGAAATTGCTTGATTAATAAACGCAAATAAAAATGTATGCTGGCAATTCCTAAGACATTTCTAATATTACTTTACCAATAATTTTAAAGATAGCTTATTTATTAAAGATTTTACTTAAGTCACATAACTTGAAAAAGCATTTGACTAGTCTTTCCTTTTTCTAATAAAGTATTTGATGTAAATGCTTTTATTTTTTAAGACAATTAATTAGAGCTCTTTGATATATTTTCAGGAGTGCAACATTGTATACATAACATATAAATACATAGATGTATTAGGCATGCTGATAGAAGAAGTACATCTTACAGATTCATAAAAACCTTTTTTCTTTATCTTAGACTTTCAGATTCTTGATAACCTGTTTCACAGTGCTAGGCAGTAGTCAGCTAAATAGTCTTAAATTTGCATATTAAAGGAAACAACTCAGGTGAAAGTCAGATAGCAAAATTTACATTATAAGGTCTGAAGAGAAATTCTGTGAGCTAGAGGGAAATTAAAACAGATTTAATTGCCAATTGAACATAAAATTATAGAAATTTATCACTGGATTGTATAAGGAGACCACTGTTATTTAGATAGGGACTACCAATTCTTTTTTAACTGGATCTCTGAGCTCTGGGCAGAGCCCACACTGAATCCTGGGTCTCCAAAAAGGGAGAATTATTATGAGGCTAGACCACATGATGCTTTTACAGTGCACTTAAAACATTTTTGTAAACAAAGCATTTCTAAGTGTCTAAACTATACTCTTTCTTAAAAACCCAAGAGTAGCCTCTGTTGCAATAACTATTTTAGTAAAAAAAAAAAAAAAAATCGAGTGGAAACAGAATTGAGTCAATTGAGAACAAAAAAAGTTTTTGCTCAAAAAAAGACAAGGTCCTAGCAGAGAAAAACAAAAACAAAACCATGAAGGCCTTTTAAATATGAACATGCACTTATGCACACATACACATACACATACATTTTAAATATTAGCTTTTAATTAAGTTGACTTTTAACTATTGAGTGTCTTTAAAAATAAAAAATCTTGGGCTGGGTGCAGTGGCTCATGCCTGTAATCCCAGGACTTTGGGAGGCCCAGGCGGGCGGATCATGAGGTCAGGAGATGGAGACCATCCTGGCTAACATGGTGAAACCCCGTCTCCACTAAAAATACAAAAATTAGCCGAGTGTGGTGGCACGCGCCTGTAGTCCCAGCTACTCAGGAGGCTGAGGCAGGAGAATCGCTTGAACCCGGGAGGCAGAGTTTGCAGTGAGCCAAGATCGTGCCACTGCACTCCAGCCTGGCGACAGAGCAAGACTCTGTCTCAAAAAAAAAAAATTCAAAATTTTATTATTATATTTCAGCTAGGACAAATTGCTGCTATTTCAGAAGTACCAAGTATTGGTCCGGCGCGGTGGCTCACACCTGTAATCCCAGCACTTTGGGAGGCCGACGCTGGTGGATCACCTGAGCTCAGGAGTTCGAGACCAGCTTGACCAACATGGAGAAACCCCATCTCTACTAAGAAATTCAAAAGGCACATGCCTATAATCCCAGCTACTCGGGAGGCTGAGGCAGGAGAATTGCTTGAACCCGGGAGGCGGAGGTTACGGTGAGCTGAGACCACGCCATTGGACTCCAGCCTGGGCAACAAGAACGGAACTCTGTCTCAAAAAAAAAAAAAAAAAAAAAAAAAAAGCAGAAGTACCAACTATCAAACCAGAAAGGACTTGATTTAGGAACCAAACTTAGGCTGTCATGAAGACAGGAGAAAAAAAAAGGCAGAACCTTAGCTATTGAACTGCAGAGTAGGGGGACAGCCATTGCTTTCAGTTTGGCCTGGTTAGCAAAAAGGAGGCTTTGTTATGTAAATAAAACCCCTTAAGTAATAAAAATAAAACATTTTTCTTGCCGGCCGGGTGCGGTGGCTCAAGCCAGTAATCCCAGCACTTTGGGAGGCCGAGGCAGGCAGATCACCAGGTCAGGAGATCCAGACCATCCTGGCTAACACGGTGAAACCCCGTCTCTACCAAAAAATACAAAAAAATTAGCCAGGCGTAGTGGCGGGTGCCTTAGTCCCAGCTACTCGGGAGGCTGAGGCAGGAGAATGGCGTGAACCCGGGAGGCAGAGCTTGCAGTGAGCCGAGATCGCGCCACTGCACTCCAGCCCGGGCGACAGAGAGCGACTCCGTCTCAAAAAAAAAAAAAAAAGTTTTTATTTATTTTTTTTCTTTTGTTGGCCGTTTTTCTCCCCTCACTATACCACCTTTTTTTGTGTATGGGAATTTAGCCACTTTAGAGGCCTTGTTCCTCATAATTTGGAACTTTCCTTCGGATTTGATTGAGTTGGACAGAGTTGGTCAAACCCAACGGGAGAAAGACTGAAACAACAAAAACAGAAACAAATAAACATCAACAACAACAAAAAAGTTAAGCAAAACAAACAATCTCACAACTTAACATAATTCCTGAGCACTGTAATGGTAAGGAGAAATAAAGACCAGCTGGTTTTTAATCTTAACTTTAGCCAAGATAAACCCCAATTCAGTTGCTTATCTAGGAATGGATCTCAGGCTGTAGACCACTCTCTACCATCCTAGAAGCAGAAAAACAAACAAAACAACAACAACAACAACAACAACAACAACAAACTCACCTTCCCTGTTGGAAGTGAGCTCAAACTCCATAAAGGAGTTACCTATCTTCCATCATCATGGAAGCAGGAAAACTTGCCTTTCTTGTTGGAAGCAAGTAAAACTCCAAAAAAAAAAAGTTGTATAGCAAAATAAACTTTAGATTTCAACCAAATTTGGGAAGATAGTAATTCTCTTGGTGGGGCGGAGGGGTGAGGGGTGGGTTGCTCTCAGACCTCAGCAAATTGTCCCATAGGTTTGAGCCATAAAGTAAGCTCATGCTGGTACCAAGCACCAATAGGTGCTTGTCAAATCTAGCTTGTCAGAGGCTAGATTTGTCAGAGGTGGGGAGCATTCCACTCAGAATCCCTTTATGGTTATTAAATATGGGCCCAGAATATCTGAGACGGGTCTCAGTTAATTTAGAAAGTTTATTTTGCTGGCCGGGCGCGGTGGCTCACGCCTGTAATCCCAGCACTTTGGGAGGCCAAGGTGGGCAGATCACCAGGTCAGGAGATCGAGACCATCCTGGCTAAGACGGTGAAACCACGTCTCTACTAAAAATACAAAAAATTAGCCGGGCATGGTGGCAGGTGCCTGTAGTCCCAGCTACTCGGGAGGCTGAGGCAGGAGAATGGCGTGAACCTGGGAGGCAGAGCTTGCAGTGAGCGGAGATCACATCACTGCACTCCAGCCTGGGCAACAGAGCAAGACTCCATCTCAAAAAAAAAAAAAAAAAGGTTTATTTTGCCAAGCTGAAGACGTGTGCTCATGACACAGACTCAGGAAGGCCTGAGGACATGTGCCCAAGGAGGTCAGGGCACAGCTTTGTTTTACACATTTTAGGGAGACATGAGATATCAATCAATATATGTAAGAAGTACATTGGTTTGGTCTGGAAAGGTAGGACAACTTGAAGCAAAGGCAGGAAAACTAAAAGCGGAAAAGGGATGTATTAGTCAGGGTTATCTTACAGGGATAGAACTAACAGGATATATATAAAGAGGAGTCTCTTAAGTATTAACTTGCACGATCATAAGTCCCACAATAGGCTGTATGCAAGCTGAGGAGCAAGGAGTGTCAGTCCGAGTCCCAAAACTGAAGAACTTGGAGTCAGACGTTCATGTTCAAGGGCAGGAAGCAGCCAGCACAGGAGAAAGATGTAGGTTGGGAGGCTAGGCCCATCTCTCCTGTTCATGTTTTTCTGCCTGCTTTATATTCACTGGAAGCTGATTAGATTGTGCCCACCAGATTAAGGGTGGATCTGCCTTCCCCAGCCCACCGACTCAAATGTTAATCTCTTTTGGCAACACCCACACAGACACCCCCAGGATGAATACTTTGCATCCCTCGATCCAATCAAGTGGACAGGCAGTATTAATCATCACAGAGGGCTTCCAGGTCACAGATAGGTGAGAGATAAACGGTTGCATTATTCTGAGTTTCTGATTAGCCTTTCCAAAGGAGACAATCAGATATGCATTTATCACAGTGAGCAGAGGGATAACTTTGAATAGAATGGGAGTCAGGTTTTGCCTTAAGCAGTTCCCAGCTTGAATTTTCACTTTAGCTTAGTGATTTTGGGGGCCCAAGATATTTTCCTTTCACAAAGGATACCCAAAAATGTGGAAGCGACTTCAGAAGTGGGTAACAGGCATAGGTTGAAACAGTTTGGAGGGCTCAGAAGAAGACAGGAAGATGTGGGTAAGTTTGGAACTTCCTAGGCACTTGTTGAATAACTTTGACCAAAAAGCTGATAGTGATATATGGACAATGACATCCAGGCTAAGGTGGTCTCAGATGGAGGTGAGAAACTTGATGGAACTGGAGTAAAGGTCACTCTTGCTATGCAAAGAGACTGGCGTCATTTTGCCCCTGCCCTAGAGATTTGTGGAACTTTGAACTTGAGAGTCATGATTTAGGGTATCTGGAGGAAGAAATTTCTAAATGGCAAAGCATTCAAAAGGAAGCAGAGCATAAAAGTTTGGGAAATTTGCAGACTGACATTTCAATAGAAAAGAAAATCTCATTTTCTGAGGAGAAATTCAAGCTGGCTGCAGGAAGTTGCATAAGTAATGAGGAGCCAAATGTTAATCACCAAGACCATGGGGAAAATGTCTTCATGTCTGCAGGGCATATCAGAGGTCTTCATGGCAGCCTCTCCCATCACAGACCTGGAGGCCTAGGAGGAAAAATTGGTTTCCTGGGCCAGGCCCAGGGTCCCCCTGCAGTTTGCAGCCTTAGGACTTGGTGCCCTGCAACCCAGCCACTCCAGCCATGACTAAAGGGGGCCAATGTACAGCATGGGTCATGGCTTCAGAGGGTGAAAGCCCCAATCCTTGCCAGCTTCCACATGGTGTTGGTCCTGCAGGTGTGCAGAAGACAAGAATTGAGGTTTGGAAACCTCTGCCTAGATTTCAGAGGATGTATGGAAATGCCTGGATGTCCAGGCAGAAGTGTGTTGCAGGGTGGAGTCCTCATGGAGAACCTCTGCTAGGGCAGTGCAGAAGGGAAATGTGGGGTCAGAGCTCCCATACAGAATCCCCACTGGGGTGCTGCATAGTGAATCTATGAGAAGAGAGCCACCATCCTTCAGACCCCAGAATGGTAGATCCACCAACAGCTTGCACTATGCAACTGGAAAAGCCACAGACACTCAACACCAGCTTGTGAAAACAGCCAGGACAAGGGGGTGTACCCTGCAAAGCCACAGGGGCAGAGCTGCCCAAGGCCTTGGGAGCCCACCTCTTGCACCAGCATGACGTGGATGTGAGACATCAAGTCAAAGGA
Organism: Homo sapiens; assembly: GCF_000001405.40. NCBI lineage: Eukaryota > Metazoa > Chordata > Mammalia > Primates > Hominidae > Homo > Homo sapiens. Next base: position 23,237,642 of record NC_000008.11, on the reverse strand, counting down.
GATAATTTTGAAACTTTAAGGTTTAATGACAGCCCTACTGGATTTCGGACTTGCATGGGGCCTGTGGCCCCTTTGTTTTGGCCAATGTCTCCCATTTGGAATGGGTGTATTTACTGAATGCCTATACCCCCTTGTATCTAGGAAGTAACTAGTTAGCTTTTAATTTTACAGACTCATAGGTGGAAGGAACTTAACTTGTCTCAGATGAGACTTTGGACTTGGACTTCTGATTTAGTGCTGAAATGAGTTAAGACTGTTGCCACGGCATGATTATGTGTTTTGAAATGTGAGGACATGAAATTTGGGAGGGGCCAGCGGTGGAATGACATGGTTTAGCTGTGTCCCCACCCAAATCTCATCTTGATTTGTAATGAGAGGTAGTTTAATCATGGGGGTGGTTACCCTCATGCTGTTCTCATGATGATGAGTAAGTTCTCATGAGATCTGATGGTTTATAAAGGGCTTTTCCCCCTCTTTGCTCTGCACTTCTCCTTGCCTGCTGCCATATAAAATGTGCCTTTGCTTCTCCTTTGCCTTCTGCCATGATTGCAAGGTCTCCTCAGCCATGTGGAACTGTGAGTCAATTAAACCTCTTTACTTTATAAATTATCCCATCTTGGGTATGTCTTTATTAGCAGCATGAGAACAGACTAATACAAATGGTTTAGCACCATCCCATGGTGATAAGTGAGTTCTTGCTCAGTTAGTTCGTGCAAGATCTAGTCATTTCAAAGGTTACAGCATCTCTCTCCTTTCTCTCTTGCTCCCACTCTCACCAAATAATGTGCCTGCTCTCACTTCACCTTCCCCCCCATGAATAAAAGCTAAAAGCTCCCTAAGGCTTCACAGAAGCCAAGCAGATGCCAGCATTATGCTTGTACAGCCTGCAGAACTATGAGCTAATTAAACCTTTCTTTATAAATTACCCATATAGCAATGCAAAAATGGCCTAACACAAGTGGTTATGAGATCTGTGTCAAAAATCATTTGACCGTATTTGTGAGGGTTTAATTTTGGGCACTTTATACTATTCCATTGGTCTATATGTCTGTCTTTCTGCCAGTAGCACACTACTTTGATTCTTATAGCTTTAGTTAAGTTTTGAAAAGAGGAAGTATGAATCCTCCAGCTTTGTTCTTCTTTTTCAAGGTTGTTTTGGCTGTTTAGAGTTCTTGAGATTCCATATACATTTTAGGATGGATCTTTCTATTTCTGCAAAAATACATCATTGGTATCTGGATCGTGATCACATTGAATCTGTAGATTGCTTTGAGTAGTGTTGGCATCTTAAGTCTTCCAATCCATGAACACAGACTGTCCTTCCATTTATTGATGTTTTCTTTAATTTCTTTCAGGAACATTTTGTAGTTTTCAGTGTACAAGTTATTTGCCTTGTTGGTGAAGTCTATTCCTAAGTATTTTTATCATGCCATTGTAAATGGAATTGCTTTCTTAATTTTCTTTTCAGATTGTTTATTGTTGGTGAATAGAAAAGGAACTGATTTCTGTGTATTGATTTTTTCTGCAACTTTTCCAAATTTGTTTATTCATTCTAATAAATGTTTGTGAAATCTTTAGGGTTTTCTATGTATAAGATCATGGCAGCTGCAAATAGAGATAATTTTATGTCTTCCTTTCAAATTTGAATGAGCATATTTCTCTTTCTGGCATAACTGCTCTAAGACTTCTAGTACTATCTTGAATAGAAGTGGTGAAAGCAGGCATCCATGTCTTGATCCTAATCTTAGACAAAAATCTTTTAGTCTTTCATCCTTATGTTGGTTTTCATTTTTCAAATATGTTTTTCATTATGTCTATCTAGTTTCCTTCTATTCCTAGTTTGTTGAGCATTTTTATCATGAGACAGTATTGAATTTTGTCAAATGCTTTTTCTGCATCAGTTGAGATCAGTATGGGCAACAAGGAGACCTTGTCTATACTAAAAAAAAAAAAAAATAGCCAGGCATGGTGGCACACCTATAGTCCCAACTCCTGGGGAGACTGAAGGACGAGGCTTGCCTGAGCCCAGGAGGTGGAGGCTGCAGTGAGCTATGATCAAGCCTCTGCACTCCAGCCTGGGCAACAAAGTGAAACGCTGTCCCAGAAACAAAAACAAACAAACAAAAAGAGATGAGGATTATGTGGTTTCTGTCCTTCATTCTGTTAATGTGCTGTATTACTTTGATTTTCATATGTTGAACCATGTCAGCATTCCAGCGATAAATCCCGCTTGATTATGGTGTATAATCCGTTTTTTTTTTTTTTTTTTGAGATGGAGTCTCGACTCTTTTTGCCCAGGCTGGAGTGCAGTGGCACAATCTCAGTTCACTGCAACCTCCCCGTCCCAGGTTCAAGTGATTCTCCTGCCTCAGCCTCCTCAGTAGCTGGCATTATAGGCAACTGCCACCAAGCACGGCTAATTTTTTTTTTTTTTTTTTTCTGAGATAGAGTCTTGCTCTGTCGCCCAGGCTGGAGTGCAGTGGTGCGATCTTGGCTCACTGCAAGCTCCGCCTCCCAGGTTCAGGCTGTTCTCCTGCCTCAGCCTCCCGAGTAGCTGGGACTAAGGTGCCCACCACCACGCCCGGCTACTTTTTCTATTTTTTAGTAGAGATGGAGTTTCACCGTGTTAGCCAGGATGGTATCCATCTCCTGACCTCGTGATCCGCCCGCCTCGGCCTCCCAAAGTGCTAGGATTACAGGTGTGAGCCACCACGTCTGGCTCTTTTTTTTTTTTTTTTTTTGAGATGGAGTTTCACTCCTGTTGCCCAGGCTGGAGTGCAATGGTGCGATCACGGCTCACCACAACCTCCGCCTCGTGGGTTCAAGTGATTCTCCTGCCTCAGTCTCCCAAGTAGCTGGGATCACAGGTGCATGCCCACCGGGCCCGGCTAATTTTGTATTTTTAGTAGAGATGGGGTTTCTCCATGTTGGTCAGGCTGGTCTCGAACTCCTGACCTCAGGTGATCCACCAGCCTCGGCCTCTCAAAGTGCTGGGATTACAGGTGTGAGCCACCGTGCCCAGCCTAATTTTTGTATTTTTAGTAGAGATGGAGTTTTGCCATGTTGGCCAGGCTGGTCTCAAACTCCTGACTTCAGGTGATCCACCTGCCTCAGCCTCCCAAAGTGCTGGGATTATAGGCGTGAGCCACTGCACCCGACCGGTGTATAATACTTTTTTAAATGTTTGATTCAGAACCAGGCATGGTGGCTCACACCTATCATCTCAGCCCTTTGGGAGGCCGAAGCAGGAGGATTGCTTGAGCCGAAGAGTTTGAGACTAGCCTGGGCAACATAGCAAGACCCCATTTCTACAAAAAAAAACAAGAAATTAGCTGGGCGTGGTGACAGGCAGCTAAAGTCCCAGTGACTTGGGAGGCTGAGGGAAGGGGATAACTTGAGCCCAGGAGTTCAAGGCTGCAGTGAGCTATGATCACACCACTGCACTCCAGCGTGCTGACAGAGCAAGACTGTCTTTAATAAATAAATAAATAAATAATAAAAATCTGTAAATGTTAGTTTCAGTTTGTTATTATTTTGTTGAAGATTTTTGCAGCAAAATTTATAAGGGATATTGGTCTGTAGTTTTCTTTCTTGTAGTATCTTTGCCTGACTTTAGTGTAAGGACAATTCTGGCCTCATAGAATCAGTTAGGAAGGGTTCCCTCCTTTTCACATCTTTGAGAAAACTTGGGGTTGATTTTTCTCTTTTTCTTTTTTTTTTGAGACGGAGTCATTCTCTTGTCGCCAGGCTGGAGTGCAGTGGCGCAATCTCGGCTCACTGCAACCTCCGCCTCCTGGGTTCAAGCGATTCTCCTGCCTCATCCTCCCGAGTTGCTGGGACTATAGGCGTGCACCACCACGACCGGCTAATTTTTGTATTTTTGGTAGAGACGGGGTTTCACCATGTTGGCCAGGATGTCTGGATCTCTTGACCTTGTGATCTGCCCACCTCGGCCTCTTAAAGTGCTGGGATTACAGGCATGAGCCACCGTGCCCAGCCGATTTTTCTTTAAATATTTGGCTGGACACAAATCTGGTCCAGGGAAGTTTTTGATTGTTGATTCAATCTCCTTCCAGTTATGTCTGTTCCAATTTTCTATTTCATTATAAATCAGTCTTGGTAGGTTGTGTGTTTCTAGGAATTTGTTCATTTTAGCTAGATAAATGTGTTTTTTTGGCATACATTTTTTCATAGTACTCTCTTCTAACCCTTTTTATTCCTGTAGAATCAGCAATAATGTCCCACTTTCATTTCTGATTTTAGTAATTTGAGGATTCTTATTTTTTAATAAATCAAGCCAAAGATTTCTCCATTTTGTTAATCTTTTCAAAGAATCAACTTTTGGGCTTATTGATTTTCTTTACTGTTTTCCTATTCTCTTTTTAAAATAATCTCTCCTCTATTTTTTTTTATTTCCTTCTTTCCGCTACCTTGGATTTAGTTTATTCTTCCTTTCCTAGTTTCTTAATGTGTAGATTGTTTATTTTAGGTCTTTTTTCCTTTTTGATATAAGCATTTACCATGATAACATTTCCTCTTAGCACTGCTTTTACTGCATCCCATAAGTTTTAGTATGTTGTGTTTTTTGCTTCACTTATCTCCAGATCTTTTCTAATTTCTTGTATGAGTTCCTCTTTGACTCGTTGGTTATTTAAAAGCTTGTTGATTTCTACATGTTTGAGGAGTTTACTCTTTTCCTTCTGATACTGATTTCTAGTGTCATATTGTGATCAGAAGAGATACTTTCAGTTATTTTAAATTTATAAAGAATTACTCTGTGGTCTAACTTATGGTTTATCCTGGAGAATATTCCATGTATCTTTGAGAAAAATTGTATGCTTCTGTTTGTGGTGAACTGTTTTCTATGTCTTTTAGTTTCCATTAGTATATAGTGATGTCCAAGTACGCTACATCCTTATTGATCTTCATTCTGATGGTTCTGTTTTTGAAAGTGGGACAATTGAAGTCTCCAACTATTATTATAGTAGTGCAAATTTCTGCCTTCAATTCTGTTTATTTCCTGTATTATGAACATGATGGATTGGATAAAAGGAATTTAGTGAAACAGAACTTTTAGTAGGAGGTTTTATTTCTGACTAGGAGTTACGGAGTGTTTACTGTGTGCTGTAGCTATTGTTGTCATAGACTAAAATTTCTTTTTCTTTTCCTTTCTTTTTTTGAGACGGAGTATCCCTCTGTCGCTCAGGCTGGAGTGCAGTGGCTCGATCTCTGCTCACTGCAACTTCCACTTCCTGGGTTCAAGCAGTTCTCCCGCCTCAGCCTCCTGAGTAGCTGGGATTACAGGCATGCGCCACCATGTCCGGCCAATTTTTTTTTTTTTTTTGTATTTTTAGTAGAGACGGGGTTTCAGCATGTTGGTCAGGCTGGTCTCAAACTGCTGACCTCGTGATCCGCCCGCCTTGGCCTCCCAAAGTGCTGGGATTACAGGTGGGAGCCACCGTGCCCGGCCGTCATAGGCTAAAATTTCCTCTGTTGTCTTTTTTTTTTTTTTTTTTCCTTTTTTGTCTTCCCTATTGTCTTTGGATTTTCTTTAAGATTTCTTTGTAAATAAGGTCTGAGACATTCCCCATTTCACTTTCTTCCACTCTCTTCTCCCCTCCTACCTTCTTTCTCCTAATTATCCTAAGCATTTTATTCCCCAAACTAAAAATACAGGTTCTTGGGGATAGAATTATTATTTTTTTCTTTTTTTTGAGACGGAGTCTCGCTCTGTCACCCAGGCTGGAGTGCAGTGGTGCAATCTCGGCTCACTGCAAGCTCCACCTGCCGGTTTCATGCCATTCTCCTGCCTCAGCCTCCCGAGTAGCTGGGACTACAGGCACCCGCCACCATGCCCGGCTAATTTTTTTGTATTTTTAGTAGAGACAGGGTTTCACCGTGTTAGCCAGGATGGTCCCGATCTCCTGACGTTGTGATCTGCCTGCCTCGGCCTCCCAAAGTGCTGGGATCACAGGCGTGAGCCACCGCGCCCGGCTGATAGAATCATTTTTAATAGGCTCTGCCAAATCACATTTTATTACAGTTGTTTTACTGTCTCCCTACTAGTGTGCAAGTCCCCTAGATCAGGTACTGCAGATTTTAATCTTTGCATACATTTTGCCTGGTATGTAATCAATTTTCGATAAATACTTGTGAAATTATTGTATGCAGGAGCTCATAAACATTTTCTGTTATTGTTACTCTTCATTAGATAACTCACTCCTGGCCGGGCACAATGGCTCACGTCTGTAATCCCAGTAATTCTGAAGGTTGAGGCAGGCTGATCACTTGAGCTCAAGAACTCAAGACCAGCCTGGGCAACACAGCAAAACTTTGTCCCTAGAAAAAGTACAAAAATTAGCTGGGCTTGGGGGCCCATGACTGTAGTCCCAGCTACTCAGGAGGCTGAGGTGGGAGGATCTCTGGAGCACAGCAGGTCGAGGCTTCAATGAGTCATGATTGCACCACTGCACTCCAGCCTGGGTGACAGAGTGAGACGCTATCCCAAAAAACAAAAGCCAAACCATAAAAACCTCATTCTTCTAGGTAGAGTTTCTGTCTTCACAGTGGTTTTTAATGCTGATTCATAATAGAATCTCTTTTAAGGAGCTACAAAATATATGTTGGGTCTACAGAAAAGATTGTTGACATGAGTGGAAGATAAGCTATTTCAGCATACATATGATAACTATAAACAAGAACCAAATGGACATTTTAGAACCGAAAATTCCACTCTCTGAAATGAAAAATTTATTTGGACTTTCTTAAGAGAGATTGAACATTACAGAAGAAAGAATGAGTGAACTTGAAAAGAGATCAATAGATATCATTCCATCTGAAGTGCAAGGGAAAATGAAACTGAAAGAAAACAAGGAAGCGAGTCTCCGTGACACGTGGTACAATATCATGCAGTACACACGGAACCAGAACCAAGAAGAAATGGCTGGAAAAGATGAAAGAAAAAAAAAGTTGATATAGTCTCAAATGTAGTGAAAAAACATCAACTTATAGATTCAAAAAGTTCATAAACCCCTCATAAAAATAAATGTAAAGAAAACCCTACCTGGACACATCATAGTCATCATACAGAGCAAATTTTGTGCATTCACAGGTAACAAAGATATGAACGACAGCTGACTCAAAACAATGGAGGCTCAGGATGTGTGAAATGGTGAAAGAAAGCTGTTGACTCACTATTCACACTCATTGAGAATATCCTTTAAAAATAGTAAGTGAAGACGTTGTGGCAGGTTGAACTTTCCAAATTTCACCACAACAACAAATGTAACCAGAATAAACAATCCAATTAAAAAGCAGAGTTTCCCCAACTAGGAAAAAAAAAAGCAAGCTGAAATTATTAACTGTCTAAAATATATGCACCTTAAATATAAAGCTTCAGATAGATTGAAAGTAAAAGATGGAGGCCGGGCATGGTGGCTCATGCCTGTAATCTCAGCACTTTGGGAGGCCGAGGTTGGCGGATCACTTGAGGTCAGGAGTTCAAGACCAGCCTGGTCAACATGGTAAAACCTCATCTCTGCTGAAAATACAAAAATTAGCTGGGCATGGTGGCAGGTGCCTGTAATCCCAGCTACTCGGGAGGCTGAGGCAGGAGAATCATTTGAACCCGGTAGGCGGAGGTTGCAGTGAGCCAAGATGGTGCCTCTGCATTCTAGCCTGGGCAACAGAGCAAGACTGTCAAAAAAACAAAAAAAGAAAAATCAATGAAGTCACAGACAATCTGAAAAAATTATCAACCACCTTGACCTAATAAACATTCATAGAATACTATACCCAACAACTGTAGAATGTTCATTCTTTTTGAGTGCACATAGTATGTTTACTAAGGTAGACCCTATTCTGGGCCTACGAAGAGTCTTAATAAATTTAAAAGGATTGAAATCATACAGAACACTTTCTTTAGTTGCAGTGAAATTGAATTAGAAGTCAATAAGAAATACAAAAAAGACTTTCATATTTGCAGTTTAAACCACCATGGGTCAGAGGAGAAAGCCTGTAGAAATCAGAAAATATTTCAAACTAAATGATGATGCAAAATATCAAAATTTGTAGGACATAACTACAGAAGGACATAGAGAGTATGAGTGCTCGTATTAGTAAACAAAAAAGGATAGAAATCAATGATCTAGGTTTCCACTTAAAAGCTAAAGAAAGAAGAGCAGGCTGGGAACAATGGCTCACTCCTGTAATCCCAGCACTTTGGGAGGCTGAGGCGGGCGGATCATAAGGTCGGGAGATTGAGACCATCTTGGCTAACGTGGTGAAACCCTGTCTCTACTAAAAATACCAAAAAAAAAAAAAAAAAAAAAAATTAGCCAGGCGTGGTGGCAGGCGCCTGTAGTCCTAGCTACTCGGGAGGCTGAGGCAGGAGAATCGCTTGAACCTGGGAGGCAGAGGTTGCAGTGAGCCAAGATCACGCCACTGCACTCCAGCCTGGGCGACAGAGTGAGACTCTGTCTCAAAAAAACTAGAAAAAAAAAAAGAGCAATATAAACCCAGAATAAGTATAAGAAAGGCAATAATGAGAGAAAATCTATAGAATAGAAAACAGAAAAACCCTGAAAGTAATAAAGTTAACACAGACATTATGGCTATTTGAAAAGAATAATAAATCATTAGCGAAACTCATCAAAGAGAGAGAGACAAAACTAAGTTATCAAAATAAAAGAGAGGACATCACTATGATTGCTAAGGATAATAAGGGAATATTGTGAGCAACTTTATGCCAATATATTTAAGAACTCAGATAAAAGAGACAAATGACTTGAAAATTTTTACTTGCCAAAAGAGACATATAAAATAATAGAAAATCTGAAAAACTCATATCTATTATAGGATTTGAATTTATTATCAAAAACCTTCAGACACATACATACCCCAAAAGAAAAACAACAAAAATTATCACCAAGTCCAGATGGTGTTACTGGTGAATGGTATCAAACATTGAAAGAAGAAATAATGCTAATCTTATAAGACTCTCAGGAAACTGAGTTTATTTTATAAAGCCAGAATAATGAGTATACCCAAACTTAGAAAGACATTACAGAAAAAGACAATGATAAATCAATATCTCTCATGAATACAGACACAAAAATATGCTTAAGAAAGTATTAGCAAATCAAACCTAGCAATATGTAAAAAAGATAATACATCATGACAAGTGAAATTTGACCCAGGAATTCAAGTTAGATGCAACATTTGAAAGTCAATTTGATTAAACATTTGAATAGCATAAAAGAGAAAAACAATATAATCATCTCAATAGACGCCAAAAAATAACATTTGATACGTTTCAAAGTGTCAAACGTTATTGTTTATTGTTATATTTCACATTCTATTAATGGTAAAAACAGCAAAGTAGAAATGAAAGGGAATTTGATCTGGTAAAGGGCATTGTCTCACTCCATTTCCTGCTGCTATAACCAAATACCACAGACTGGGCAACTTATAAAGAAATTTATTTCTTACAGTTCTTGAGGCTGGGAAGTCCAAGAGCATGAAGCTGTCCTCTGGTGAGGGTCACCACACAACAGAAGAGCAGAAGGCCGAAGCAGGCCTAGGTGAGAGAGAGGGAGGAAATCATGCCAAACTCATTATTTTTTATCAGGAACCCACTCACATGAAAATTAACCCAGTCCTGAGACAATAGCGTTAATCCATTCATGAAGATGGAGCCCTCATAAGCTAAATCACCTCTTAAAGGCCCCACCTCCCTGGTCAACATGGTGAAATCCCGTCTCTACTACAAATACAAAAATTAGCTGGGTGTGGTGGTGGTGCGTGCCTGTACTGACAGCTACTGGGGAGGCTGAGGCAGGAAAATCGCTTGAACCCAGAGACAGAGGTTGCAGTGAGCCGAGATCGCACCACTGCAGTCTAGCTTGGGCAACACAGCGAGACTCATCTAAAAAAAAAAAATTGGCGGGCATGGTGTCTCAAGCCTATAATCCCAGCACCTTGGGACGCCAAGGCAGGCAGGTTGCCTGAGCTCAGGAGTTTGTGACCAGCCTGGGCAACACGGTGAAACCCCGTTTCTACTGAAAATACAAAAATTAGCCAGGCACGGCAGCATGTGCCTGTAGTCCCAGCTACTGGGGAGGCTGGGGCAGAAGAATTGCTTGAACCCAGGAGGTGGAGGTTGCAATGAGCCGAGATCAGGCCACTGCACTCCAGCCTGGGCGAAAGAGTGAGACTCTGTCTCAAAAAAAAAAAAAAAAAAAAAAAAATTCAACATGAGTTTTGGAGAGGACATTCAAACTACAGCAGGCATCTATGAGGAAACTATAACTAACATCATATCTAATGGTGATTAATTAGATGTGTTCTAAGATATGGAATAAGATAAGCATGTCTGCTTTAACTATTTCTATTTAACATTGTACTGGAAATCCTATCCAGGGCAATTCAGCAACAAAGATGAATAGAAGGTATAAAGATTGGAAAGGAAGAACTGAGACAGTTTTTGGTTACTGACAATAGGATTGCTTACATAGAAAATCCTAAATAATCTATAAAATAACAACTAGAAATATATCAATTTAGCAGTACCATAGCATACAAGGCCGATGGACAAAAATCAACTGTATTTCTGTATAGTTGCAACAAACAATTTGAAAATAAGGGAAGCTAAATCAATTCCATTAGCAATAGTAACAAAAATAGTTAGAAATATGTTTACAAAAGATATGAAAGATTTGTACATGGAAAGTTTGCAAAATATTGTCAAGCTTAAGTAACAAATATCTAAATAAATAAATTTCATGGATTGAAAGACTCAAAATTGTTAAAATGTCAATTATTCTCATTCATCTCTACATTCAATGCAATCCCAATTAAAATTCCAGTAGGCTTTTTTAACTGAAAAAAATTATTCTATATTTAATATATACGGAAATGCAAACCATTTGGGAGGTGGGTAGTAGGGGGAGGACTTGAACTGCCTGATTTCAAGACTGACTATACAGCTCATAATTAGGACAATGTGGTAATTAGCATGAGAATAGCCAAATAAATAAACGGAACAGAATAGAGTCCGGAAATGGACACATACATATATATGGTCAATTTAATTTCAACAAAAGTGATAAGGCTATTGGATAAGGAAAAAAAGTCTTTTTTTTTTTTTTTTTTGAGACGGAGTTTCCCTCTTGTGGCCCAGGCTGGAGCGCAATGGCTCCATCTCGGCTCCCCGCAGCCTCTGCCTCCCGGGTTCAAGCGATTCTCCTGCCTCAGTCTCCCGAGTGGCTGGGATTACAGGCATCCGCCACCACGCCCCGCTAATTTTGTATTTTTAGTAGAGGCTGCGTTTCTCCATGTCGGTCAGGCTGGTCTCGAACTCCTGACCTCAGGTGATCCGCCCGCCTCGGCCTCCCAAAGTGCTGGGATTACAGGCGTGAGCCACCGCGCCCGGTCGAAAAGAGTCTTTTCAACAAATGGTACCGGAACACCATTAAAATATGGAGAAAAATGAACATCAATCAGCGCCCCCTTTCTCTTACCCACTCCTCAGCCCCAAGGTCGCCCTGGGAGTTCTTCGCAGGCAGGACCGTGACTCGCGTGGCTTTCGGGAGGCTGATTACCCACGCCCCATGCCCGTGCAGCGCTGGGTGCAGAGGAACCGCTGGAAGGACCTGTCCCCCGTGGGACCCCCACCAAGTCTCATCCCGTGTCATGTGCCAGATAGTCTCCCGTGGTTTAAGGACTTTCAAGACTCTTAACAGGTTAGGAAAATCCAGAAGAAAGGCAGAATTGGGTCCCTCGGGCTTGCCTGACACCAGGGACGGTGGAGTTGAGGTGACATTTCACTGGCATGGAGACCTGAAACCAAAAGCAGGATGAGCCGGGCACGGTGGCTCACGCTTGTAATCCCAGCACTTTGTAAGGCCGAAGCGGGCGGATCACGAGATCAGGAGCTCGAGACCAGCCTGGCCAAAACAGTGAAACCCCCGTCTCTACTAAAAATAGAAAAAAAATTAGCCGGACGTGGTGGCGGGCACCTGTAATCCCAGTTACTCAGGAGGCTGAGGCAGGAAAATCGCTTGAACCTGGGAGGCGGAGGTTGCAGTGAGCCGAGATCGTGCCACTGCACTCCAGCCTGGGCGACAGAGCTTGACTCCATCTCAAAAAAAAAAAAAAAAAAAAAAGGCAGGCTGAATCACTCGCCCGGTAGTGACGGAGGAGGCCGTAAAAGCCTCTTAGAGGCCAGACCCCGCAGTGGCCTCTGTGTCCTTCATTCCGCCACCCATCCGTCCACCGAGCGCCTGCTGGGTGCCAGGAACTGGGTCACAGAAAGGCTGAGGTCAACTCCCGACCGAGAAGCCTGGCGCTGGGACCAAGTGGCAAAACGACTCCGAATGCAGCGGCATCCACGCGGCGGCCGTGGTTGAGGAACAGAAGCTGAGAGCGGCAAGGGCGGTCACAGAGGAAGGAAGTTCAGGGTTAGCCAACAGGAGCCGCAGGTGCCCCGAAAAGGGGGCGGGGTCAGGGGTGCCCTGAACTCCGAATGCGAAGTTCTGTCTTGTCATAGCCAAGCACGCTGCTTCTTGGATTGACCTGGCAGGATGGCGCCACCACCAGCTAGAGTACATCTAGGTGCGTTCCTGGCAGTGACTCCGAATCCCGGGAGCGCAGCGAGTGGGACAGAGGCAGCCGCGGCCACACCCAGCAAAGTGTGGGGCTCTTCCGCGGGGAGGATTGAACCACGAGGCGGGGGCCGAGGAGCGCTCCCTACCTCCATGGGACAGCACGGACCCAGTGCCCGGGCCCGGGCAGGGCGCGCCCCAGGACCCAGGCCGGCGCGGGAAGCCAGCCCTCGGCTCCGGGTCCACAAGACCTTCAAGTTTGTCGTCGTCGGGGTCCTGCTGCAGGTGAGTCCCCACCGCGGTCCTGCCTGGGGAAAAGCGCGCCTGGCACCGGGAGGGGGCAGAGAGAGAGGGGGACGCGGCGGGGGTGCCTGGCCCGGGTCACTTGTGGCGGGGCATGTCCGGGCAGGAGGAGCCCGTCGTCGGAGTCGGAGGAAGAACGGGGTCCCCGGGGCCAGGCAGGAGCGACCCGGGCCTGGAGGCAGCAGAGCCCCCTCCCGCAGGAGGCTGGGCCCGGGGACTCCACCCCGTTGGCTGCTGCCTGGCGCGTCTCCCTCCTGCCCACACCTCACGATGTATCGGGAAGTTTCGGAATCGATAGAGCTCAAGTGTGTAAACTTCCAAGCCAACTCCCAGCCACACCAGCTGCGTGAAGGGGAGCGCCATTCTCCCCACTCCCTGATTCCCTCCCCACCCCCGTCCTTCTTTTCTTCTCTTCTTTTTTTTTTTTTTTTTTTTTTTGAAACGGAGTCTCTCTCTGTCGCCCAGGCTGGAGTGTAGTGGCGCGATCTCGGCTCACTGCAAGCTCCGCCTTCCTGGTTCAAGCGATTCTCCTGCCTCAGCCTCCCGAGTAGCTGGGAGTACAGGCTCCTGCCACCACGCCCGGCTAATTTTTTGTATTTTTAGTAGTCACGGGGTTTCACTGTGTTAGCCAAATCCGCCCGCCTCGGCCTCCCAAAGTGCTGGGATTACAGGCGTGAGCCACCGCGCCCGGCCCTCCATCCTTCTTTTCTTAGACAAATTGGTTAAACACGCAGCCCGGCAGGAAAAAGTAACTTTCTCTCCTCTGCTCGTTGTCTTCCGTTTCGAGTCCACTGAGCACACCGGCAGCAGTTTCCTTCCAGCCACTTTCTTGCGCATCAACAGGTACAGGGCAGCGAATTGACCACCACGAGGCAGGCAGCCAGGAGCGGGGCACGCCCTTCCTTCAGGAGGCAGCGTTTCCTGTGAAAGCAATCACTCAGTCTGGAAAAATGCCAATGCCTTCAGTTCTCTTTCAAGTTCATTAAGGCTCTACCAATTGTTCTCATCCAGATTCCTTCTATGTTAAGGAAAAACAAAACGAAAGCTAAGTACCTGAAGGATAAACCAGTCTTACAAGTGTCAGGAAATTTTACGTGTTTTTGTTTAACAAACTAAACAAAATCCAGGAATCCAATAGCATTTTGAAATCTCCAAATAATTACAGAATTTATGTTTTAAACGTCAGTTTATGTTAGGTGGAACCCACGTTTGACTCTTATTTTTAATACGCTTATTAAATGGCTTTCTTTTTGACAGGCTAGTGCGATTCCAGGTGGATGTAGGGCTCACCTGTATAGACAAGGTGAAACATCTGAATTTGGTGGTTTTGGAAATGTCACAGTCCGTTGGTGTGGCTATAAAAGAATACTTGAGGCCAGGCGCGGTGGCTCACGCCTGTAATCCCAGCACTCTGGGAGGCCGAGGCGGGCGGATCACGAGGTCAGGAGATCGAGACGATCCTGGCCAACACGGTGAAACCCCGTCTCTATTAAAAATACAAAAAATTAGCCAGGCGTGGTGGTGGCCGCCTGTAGTCCCAGCTACTCGGGAGGCTGAGGCGGGAGAATGGCGTGAACCTGGGAGGCGGAGCTTCCAGTGAGCCGAGACCACGCCACTGCACTCCAGCCTGGGCGACAGAGGGAGACTCCGTTTCGGAAAAGAAAAAAAATAAAAAAGAAAACTTGACGCTGGATAATTTTAAAAGAGGCTTATTTGGCACATGGTTCTGCAGGCTGTACAAGAAGCATGCCACCAGCATCTGCCTCTGGTGAGGCCTCAGGAAACTTCCACTGGTGGTGAAGGGGAAGGACAGCTGGATTCTGCCCATCAGGGGAAGGGGTGGGGAGGATGGCAGGAGGAGGGGGATGAGATCCGGAAGGGAGACGGGGAGGGGCCAGGTTCATTCTAACAACCAGGTGTCATGGGGAACTAAGATTGACAACTCCTGGGGGAATGTGGGAGGGGGCGGTTATGGCACCAAGCCTTTCATGAGGGATCCACCCCAAACCCCAACAGGCCCCACCAGCTACATTACGGTTCAGATTTCAACGTGAGCCCTGGCAGGGACAAAGGACCCGTAGCAGACACCAAGGCCTTCTGCCATCCCACAGGACCCTCTCATCCCACCATCCCTCAGCCTTCTTCCTGTGCATTTATAGGCACCTTAACTTTTAAAATTCTGACTGAAGAACAAATCGCATTGGATGTTTTCTATCAGTACATGCAAGTATCTCATTCTTTTTAACAGCATCATAATATTTAGTGCATGGGTGAAACACATGGCGTGAACCACAGTTAATTTTAATCTTCCATCCCATGGGCAATTGTTAACATTATGTCCTGCTTTTGTTTTTTCTAATTCCAGCAGCATTGTAGTGAGAACCCTTGTATGTGTCATATGTCCATATGTCAATGTTCCCTGAAGTATCGGGCAGCCCTTTAGAAGAGGAATTTTTAGGTACATGAGCTCATCAATGTAGAATTTTGTTTGGATATTGCTAAATTGTACTTCGGGAGAAGATTGTGCCAGTTTTACTCTCACACCAAGAATACAAAAGTGTGGCCGGGTGCGGTGGCTAACGCCTGTAATCCCAGCACTTTGGGAGGCCGAGACAGGTGGATCACGAGGTCAGGAGATCCAGACCATCCTGGCTAACACGGTGAAACCCCGTCTCTACTAAAAATTGAAAAAAATTAGCCAGGCACGGTGGCGGGCGCCTGTAGTCCCAGCTACTCGGGAGGCTGAGGCAGGAGAATGGCGTGAACCCGGGAGGCAGAGCTTGCAGTGAGCCGAGATCTCGCCACTGCACTCCAGCCTGGGCGACTGAGCGAGACTCCGTTTCAAGAAAAAAAAAAAAGAATACACAAGCGTGCCCGTGTCCCTGCACCCTTACTACATGGAACTTTCATTCTTTGCTACTCTAAGAGGTAAAAAATGATAGACCTCAATGTTGTATTTTTTGTTTCAGTGTTATTAGAGATTTTCAAGGATCCAGGAATTTTTTGAGACTGGGAGTAGATGACCTAGAGACTCCAGATTAGACCGTTGGGGAGGGAGCAGGGAAGACTGCAGTCGCACCTCTGCACTTAGGAAACTGTGGTCGGCTGGGGCCAGTTCCTGCCACCCGCCATGCCTGTGAATGGAGATAATGTCTCTGTCCTCAGACTGTCAGGATGACATCAGATGAGCCTGGAGCTGAGCTCAGTTTCTCACCCCAGGTCCTGGCTCTGTCAATGCTGGACTGGCCCAATCTCTGTGCCAGGTCCTTCCACCTCGTCTCGTCTCTCTCTTTATCAAAGTAGGAAATGAGAAATTCTGATGGCTCTGAAGCTTAGACACTCAGGCTATCAGAGCCCAGAGATTGGAGGCTGAAGACAGCCAGGGTTGGCCGTGCTCCTCTTCAGCTCTGTGACTCTGCTGTGGCCCCAGCTCCTTCCTATAAACTAGGTGGATATAAAAGTCTGCAGCGGCCCTGTGTAAACCACAGTGGTCTGTGTTGGCAGATGTGTGCTGTCGTGTGGGAGGACAAATCACATGCTCAGGGCTGGTGTCAGTCACTCAGGACTCTGGATCCCCAGAGCACCTGTCCTCTACCCAGCAGAGGCTGCACCTGCTCCCACCTGCACCTCCATACTGGCTCTCTGAGCTTGGGGCAGAAGGTTCTAAGGAATGGGGTGGAGCGCCATGGGGAGGGGCCGTGGAGGAACAGAGGAGCCAGACTTCAAGTTAGGACAAAGATGTCACTGCAGGGCCACAGCCTGGCTTACCTGCCACGTTTCCTTCCAGTTGTCCTTCTGGTGGGCACCCGGCACTGGTTGCAGTTTGAAGAGTGAGCAGGAAAGGTCTCCATCCATGTGGCTGCAGATGGCTGCTCACCCAGCCCCTACTGAGAGGCAACAGTCCCAGTTCTGGTCCTCTGTCCTGTATCCAGGAGTGACAGGGCAGCAAGGCTTTAGCTTCCAGGTCGGAGATGGGGACAGTGCCATGCCCTGAGCCTGTGCTGTTGGGCAGTTGGTGTCACTTAGTCTGGAAAAATGCCAGTGCCTTCAGTTCTCTTTCAAGTTCATTAGGACAGGTGCCCTGGGGATCCAGAGTCATGAGTGACTGACACCAGCCCTGAGCATGTGATTTGTCCTCCTACACGGCAGCACACATCTGCCAACACAGACCACTGTGGTTTATAAAGGGCCGCTGCAGATTTTATATCTGCCTAGTTTATAGGAAGGAGCTGGGGCCACAGCAGAGTCACAGCTGAAGAGGAGCACGGCCAACCCTGGCAGTCTTCAGCCTCCAATCTCTGGGCTCTTTGATAGCCTGAGTGTCTAAGCTTCAGAGCCTTCAGAATTTCTCAATTTCTACTTTGCTAAAGAGAGAGGTGAGGTGGAAGGACCTGGCATAGAGATTGGGCCAGCCCAGCCAGAGACTGCACATCTTCATTCAGGGTATTTTCCTAACCCAGGGATGTGGGGATTGTTGCTCTCATTTTGTCTGGGGAGAAAATGAGATTTAGGAGGAGGAAGTCCCCAGCATTTGGGACCTGGCCTGCTTGATAATAGCAGCTGCCTGTTGGACTGGGAAGGGCCTCTTCCGGATTCCCAGGCAGGTATCTGTGATAATGGGGAAAGGAGAAAGGGTCTGCTTTGTAGGGAAGAGCAGGGTGCACTCGGCACCTCAGACACTCGCCTGTGGCCAGGAGGGGATGTGAATCATCACATTTTACAGAGGAGAGGACCAAAGCTCAGAGAGGGAAAGTGTGTGCAGCTCAGAGGGGGAACGTGTGTGCACCTGGCCACAGGCAAGTCTGTCCAGAGCACTGGTAGGAATGAGAGAAACTAGGAATGACCACTTTAAAAACTTAGATGAAGAGAATCTCAAAGTTAAGTCATTGGAGTTTGTTGGTAATATATTTGTGTGGCTTAGGTCATGTTAAGTGCATCACACCCTCGCCCCCATGTCTGCTGTTGGTCTCAGCACTGGGTGGAGGGAGCGGGGACAGTCCTGATGAAGAGGAGAGGGGAGCAGCACCGGCTGGGGTGGGGCCTCTGCCGCTGCCTCTTCCTGTGTGGTTTTTCAGGGCTTAGGCTGCGCCTCTCACCTGGCTTGTCTGTGGGGAGGAGATCTTTGTTCTCTGGCTGCTTTTAAGATTTTCTCCTTAACAGTGTGGTTTCAGCACTTCGATGGTGGCAAAAATAATCTGCCGGAGCCATGTCTGTAGCATTTTTGGTCTCCCCTTCTGTATAATAGCAGCCGTGTTTTGGCTTCTGCAGGGCTAAAGTCCTCTGAGCAGCTGCTTCTCCACATCTCTGCCCTGCACTTGGCCTCTGGGAGCTCCTAGGGTTCCTTAGCAGAGTCCACAGGACTCTTCGGGGTCCCATCCCTGTGCTGTAGCCTGGAACCTGTGACCTGAGGCGGTGAGCTGAGGCCACCACTGGGCTCACCTCATGGGCTTGGAGGGAAAGTCACTCACCCAGGAAGTAGGTGATGAGCACTTTACTCTGAGAATGTCTGCGCCTGGTGGTGGTGGGAGGACAAATGAGCCCTGTGTCAGTCCTGCTCCCTGAAGCCCACAGTCTGGTGGAGGAGGTGTCACTAGGGACCTAAATAACTATCAGGAAGCATGGGGGCCACCTCCCCCACCCCCCACCTCCAGAGAGGCTGTGCCGGCTCCAGGGATGCCATCCCTCCCTACTTGACTCCAGCAGTTGCAAGGCCCCAGGTCATGGTATTGGTGGCTTAGAGGATGTGGTTTCATTAAAATCAACATTGAGGGGAATGATTGTACTAACAACAGCATGTGCTGAAATACAGTACTTGCGTGTGCCAAGCTCTGTTCTTAGCACTTCATATGTAAATGAACACACTTAATCCTCATACAACCAGACTGTACAGGAACCCTCATTGTCTTTGTTTTAGACAAACAGCATGAGACTCAGAACATTTGTTCAGTAGAGGGGCTGGGCAGGAGGATGAGCAACCCTCGGGGCAGCAGCAGTGATTGGGTCACTGGGTTCTGCTGACCTTTCCCAGGGGAGTATTTGGTGCTTTTTCATGAGGCCTGCATTCACCCAGCGCTGGGTCACTGCTGGGGGTACCTGAGAAGTCATGTAAAGCCACCTCTTATTTCCAGAATGATAGACATGTTTAGAGAAGAAGTGGCTTCCCCCAGACCATGAGGCTGGCCCGAGACTACAAGACAGATGGCTTGCTTCTTAACCCAGGGGTCTTTTTATACCAAAAGAACAAAGAAATAAAAAAGCCACGAAAGACTCAAAGGAAGCAGATTTTCGACCACAGCCAACCTCAGAACAATTCTGAGTTGCTCATTTTAAGATCAATAAGGCATTTTTTTAGGGTGTGTATGCCTGAGAGAGGAAATCAGTGTGAATATCAAACTTACCTCTGAAACAGCCTAACACAATGCTAATCCGAGAGGAACAAGGCAAGGAAACCCCCTGGTGAATGACTCATCTCAGGAAGAGGCAGGGCAGGGTCAGGAGAGTCTATGGAGGAGAAGACCTGGAACAAGACCTCTCTCTCTTGCTCTCTTTCTCTCTCTCCCTCTCTCTCTCTCACACACACAAACACACACACAACCTCACACCCCCATGAGCCCAAATCTGTGAACTGAGAACCTCACTTCTCTGACCTCACCTTCCATCTCCCTTAATCAGACGCCCACAAACCTCAGAGTTGTGTCCCAGCA
Organism: Homo sapiens; assembly: GCF_000001405.40. Lineage (NCBI taxonomy): Eukaryota > Metazoa > Chordata > Mammalia > Primates > Hominidae > Homo > Homo sapiens. The sequence continues at coordinate 23,218,033 of NC_000008.11, read as the reverse complement.
TCACTTGTTTTGACTGCCCTCCCCGACTGCCTTGACTTCGTATCTGCCTAGGAACCTGCCTGTGTGGACTTTTCCCTCTATGTGGACCTTTCCCTCTATGTCTACCGGTGTCCCTGCCACCAGTGGCATTTGTCACCTCTGCCTGGGCAGCCCCTCGTGACTCGGGTTATTGATGGCTGTGCCTCATCTCCCTGGGAACTGGAACTGTCCTAAGGAAAGGGAGGGTCGTGCCTTTTTCTTGATACCCCACGATTCCTTGCACAGCGTTTCTACCAGGCGCCGACATGCCCTCCTTGGATGAATGAGTAACATGGGTTCTAGGAAGCCCGCACCAATGCAGATGTGACGTCCTCAGCCTTTCATAGACATGTTTCATGTGAGAGGTGGGAAGAACAGCTGAACAGAAGGCTGAGCACTGTCCAGGTCCAGAGTCACCAGGAGCTCGTTGTCAGGTTTTCACTTGCTATTAGTAGAGATTTTTTTTTAAGGTACTATTTTTAGTGTTAGAAGTGAATTCAGGCCGGGCGCAGTGGCTCACCCCTGTAATCCCAGCACTTCGGGAGGCTGAGGTGGGCAGATCACGAGGTCAAGGAGATCGAGACCATCCTGACCAACATGGTGAAACCCCATCTCTACTAAAAATACAAAAATTAGCTGGGTGTGGTGGCATTTGCCTGTAATCTCAGCTACTGGGGAGGGCTGAGGCAGGAGAATCACTTGAACCAGGGATTCGGAGGTTGCAGTGAGCAGAGATTGTGCCACTGCACTCCAGCCTGGCAACAGAGCAAGACTCCGTCTCAAAAAAGAAAAAAAAAATGAATTCATCAGAAGGCATAATAATCATAAATGTGTATATGTCTAATAGTAGAGCTTTAAAATAAATGAAGCAACGCTCAAAAGGATTAAAGGGAGATCATGTCACCCCCTTCTCAGCAACTGATAGAACGATCAGATGAAAACAGTAAAATAACAGATCTGAACATTGTCAACCACCTTGACTTAACTGACATTTATAGAGCATATATGCAACATCTATGGGAGATTCCTTCTCTTCTATGAACATGGTACTTCACCAAGATAGACCACATTGTGAACTATAAAACAAATCTAAATACATTTAAAACAAAATAATATAAAATATGTTCTCTGATCTCAATGAAATTAAAGTGTTAAGCAATAACAATATCTAGAAGGACTCCAAAAATGTGAATATTAAGCAACATACTTATAAATAACTCATAGTTCACGAATGAAATCAAAGAGAATTCAAAATATTTCTTTTTTTTTTTTTTGAATTGGCTTCTTGCTCTGTCGCCTAGGCTGGAATGCAGTGGCGTGATCCCGGTTCACTGCAACCTCTGCCTCCCGGGTTCAAGTGATTCTCCTGTCTCAGCCTCCCGAGTAGCTGGGACTATAGGCACCTGCCAGCACGCCCGGCTCATTTTTGTATTTTTAGTACAGATAGGGTTTCACCATGTTGCACAGGCTGGTCTTGAACTCCTGACCTCGTGATCCACCCACCTCGGCCTCCCAAAGTGCTGGGATTACAGGCGTGAGCCACCGTGCCTGGCCTGGAGTTTCTTTTGGGGATGATGATGAAAATCTTCAAAAATTGATTTTATTGATGGTTATACACTTCTATAAATATATTTAAAGGAAAGAATTACATCATATATAAAGTATATCTCAGTAAAGTTCTTAAGGATTAAAAGAAGAATGGTATCAAAATCAATGACTCAGAGGTGTGCATTACTTACCCGTAAAATAAGTATAAATTAAACTCAAAGGTAGTAACAACATGACAAGGAAATAATAAGACTGAAATCAATGAAATAGAATTCAAACAATAAAAGGAATCAACAAGCTAAGAGTTGGTTCTCAGAAATGATCAACAAAATTAATAAAAGTAATAAACTGGCCGGACGAGATGGCTCATCCCTGTAATCCCAGCACTTTGGGAGGCCGAGGCAGGCGATTCACCTGAGGTCTGGAGTTTGAGACCAGCCGGACCAACATGGAGAAACCCCATCTCTACTAAAAATACAAAATTAGCCAGGCGTGGTGGCACATGCCTGTAATCCCAGCTACTCCGGAGGCTGAGGCAGGAGAATCGCTTGAACCCAGGAGACCGAGGTTGCAGTGAGCCGAGATCACGCCACTGCACTCCAGCCTGGGCAACAAGAGTAAAACTCCATCTCAGGAAAAAAAAAAAAAAGTAATAAACCAAACTTTAAAAGAAAAAAAGAACAACAGCATGAAATACCAATATCAAGAATTAATGATGGGATGTTATTACAAACTCTACAGCCATTAAAAGGAAAATAGTGGGATCTTATGAATAACTTTATGCCAATCAATTTGACAACTTGGATTAAATAGACAAATTTCTTAAAAAACACTACTTAGCAAAATAGCCACAAGAAATAAAGATAATTTAAATATTCCTAAAGCTGTCTATGAATTGGAATTCATTGTTTGTTTTGTTTGTTTATTTATTTATTTATTTATTTAGTTATGCTATTTTTTGAGTCGGAGTCTCGCTCTGTCATGCAGGCCGGGGTGCAGTGGTGCAATCTCAGCTCACTGGAACCTCCGCCTCCTGGGTTCAAGTGATTCTCCTGCCTCAGCCTCTGGAGTAGCTGGGATTACAGGTGCCCACCACCACGCCCAGCATATTTTTAGTAGAGACGGGGTTTCACCATGTTGGCCAGGCTGGTCTTGAACTCCTGACCTCAGGTGGTCGCCCACTTTGGCCTCCCAAAGTGCTGGGATTACAGGCGTGAGCCACGGCGCCCGGCCCCCCTGCTCTTCCTTTTCTAATTTAACTTTCTAATTTAAAAAATCTCCCAATTACAGAAAAGATGCAAAAATTATACTATACCCTTTACTTTGAACCACCTGAGAGCAAGCTACCCACAGAACGCACATCACCCTTATACACTTGAGTGGATATTTCCAACAAATAAGGACATTCTCCCGTATAACCACAATACAATCCTCAATATCAGACAGTAAGCATCAGTACATTACTACCAGCTAATCCTCAGACCCCAATGGTTTTCACTTGTCTTTATAATGTAATTTATTGCACAGAAATCCTGTCCTGAATAACTATACTGCTCTTTCATCTTTTTCTGACTCTAGTATTTCATGGGACATTGGCAGGCTGTTTTGGGGGACAGTTTGTAAAGTGCCTTTTTAAACCTGAAGTTCATTATTTAATATTTGATTCAGTATCCTGCTTTTTAAAAAATTTACACATCACCTAACCCTCATTAGTAAAAGCGTGTGTATGTCTGTGTGTATGTGAACACTGCCCAATCACAGGAGAATATCCATTTTTCTCAAGGGTACATGAAACATTCTCCAGGACACACTATATGTTAGGCCACAAAACAAGTCTTAATACAATTTTAAAAATTGAAATAAAACAAACTATCTTTTCCAATCACAATAAAAGGAAATTATAAATCAATAGCAGAAGGAAAACTGGAGAATCCACAAATATGTGAAAATTAAACAACACTTTTTTGCTGTTTTTTTTTTTTGAGACAGTCTGGCTCTGTCGTCCAGGCTGGAGTGCAGTGGCACAATCTCGGCTCACTGCAAGCTCCGTCTCTCAGGTTCACGCCATTCTCCTGCCTCAGCCTCCCGTGTAGCTGGGACTACAGGCACCCGCCACCACGCCCGGTTAATTTTTTGTATTTTTTAATAGAGACGGGTTTTCACCGTGTTAGCCAGGATGGTCTCGATCTCCTGACTTCGTGATCTGCCTGCCTCGGCCTCCCAAAGTGCTGGGATTACAGGCATGAGCCACTGCGCCCGGCCTAAACAACACATTTTAAAACAACCAATGGGTAAAAAAATAAATGAAAAGGGAAATTAGAAAATGTCTTGGGAGGCTGAGCTCTGTAGCTCACGCCTATAATCCCAGCACTTTGGGAGGCCAAGGTGGGCAGATTGTGGGAGGCCCCACCCCCCTCAAAAAAGAAAGAAAATATCTTGAGACAGATGACAGGCACACTAAAATCTCAGAACTCACCACTAAAGAACTTATCCATGTAACAACAACAACAACAAAAAGCAGCTGTACCCTCAAACCTATGGAAATTAGAAAAATGTTTCAAAAGAAAATATCTTGAGACAAATGAAAACAATATACCATAAGTTACAGGATATGAAAGCAGTGTTATAATGGAAAATGATAGCTGTAAATGCTCACCACATTAAAAGAAGAAATAAATGAACAATCTACCTTTTACATAATGAAGTAGAAAATGAAGAGCAAACAGCTGGGCGTGGTGGCTCACGCTTGTAATCCCAACACTTTGGGAGGCCGAGGTGGACGGATCACGAGGTCAGGAGATAGAGACCATCCTAACACAGTGAAACTCTGTCTCTAATAAAAATACAAAAAACGTAGCTGGGCATGGTGGCGGGCGCCTGTAGTCCCAGCTACTCGGGAGGCTGAGGCAGGAGAATGGCATGAACCTGGGAAGCGGAGCTTGCAGTGAGCCAAGATCGCACCACTGCACTCCAGCCTGGGCAACAGAGCGAGACTCTGTCTCAAAAAAAAAAAAAAAAAAAAAAAAAAAAAGAGGAGCAAACTAAGCCCAAACCAGCAAAAAATAGATCAGAGATAACAGAAATAGAGAATAGAAAAACTGCAGAGAAACTCAAAGAAACTGAAAGTTGACCCTTAAGAGAGATCTATAAAATGTACAAACCTTTACTTAGATGGACTAAGAAAAAAGACAGAAAACTTAAATAACCAAAACCAGAAATGAAAGAGGGGACATTTAAAACAACTTTACAGAAATCCAAAGGATTATAAAAAATACTATAAATAATTGCATGTCAACAAACTAGAGCACATTGATAAAACTGGTAAATTACTAAAAACACACTACCTACCAATATTCAATCATGAAGAAATAGAGATTTTGAACAGAACTATAGTAAGGAGATAGAATCCATAATCCAAAACTTCCCAGCAAAGAAAAGCCCAGGACCAGTTGGCTTCAATGATGACGTCTACCAAACATTTAAAGAACTAACATGAATTCTCAAATTCTTCCAAGAAACTGAGTTGGAGGGAACACTTTCTAACTCTTCGTGTGGGCCCCGCATTACCCTGATAATATAGAAGTGATGAAAGGAGGCCTCCATGTCTTGTTCCTGATCTTGGAGAAAAAACCTTTAGTCTTTCACTATTGAGTAGGATGGTAGCTGTTGGCTTTTCATATGTGGCCTCCAAATGTAAGATCTATAAGAATTATACAACTCTTGTAAGAAAACAGCAATTTTACCTTGGGGTATATATCCAAAAGAATTGAAAGAAAGGGCATAAAGAGATTTTGTACACCCGTGTTCATAGCAGCTTTATTCACAATAGCTAAAATGTGAACACAAACCAAGTGCCCATTGACAGATGAATGGATAAACGTAATACATATACACACAATGGAAAGGAATGAAATTCCAATGCATGGTACCGAATGGATGGATCGTGATGATTTTATGCTAATTGAAATATGACAGCCTCAAGAAAACCATAAAATACTGTATGTCTCCATTTATATGAAGTATGTAGAGTAGTTAAATTCATAGAAACAGACAGTAGAATGGTAGTTGCCACAGGCTGGGGGCATGGGGACAAAGAGACAAAGATGAGCACAAACAAATGGTTGAGTTTTAGAACTGGGAGAAAGATGCAAGTTCTGTCTAATTTTGGAGGCTTGGGGGAATGGAATGTGAGATTGATCTTGTAATGGGTGAGATCTGGAAGCCACTCATGCCAGTCCCTGCTTTGTCCCCACAGGTCGTACCTAGCTCAGCTGCAACCATCAAACTTCATGATCAATCAATTGGCACACAGCAATGGGAACATAGCCCTTTGGGAGAGTTGTGTCCACCAGGTACATTCTAAGACTGATCTCTAATCCTTTACACCTCTCTTTTCCTTACCCTATACTATATACAAAAATTATCTCAAAATTCATCAATAACATTCCTTTTCCATGTTCTTCAAGTTTTCTGTTTCCTACAGTTTCTGGTTCTTCTATTCAACAGATACTTATTGATCCTTTGCCAAATCCAAGGTTATGAAGCTTTATCCCCATGTTTTCTCCTAAGAGTTTTGTACTTTAACTCTTGATGCATTTTCAGTTAATTTTTGTAAATGGCATCAGATAAGCGTCCAACTGCATTCTTTTGCATGTGGCTATCCAGTTGCCATTCGTTGAAATGATGATTTTTCCCATTAAATGGCCTTGGCATCCTTGTCAAAAACCAATTGACCATAAAGGTATGGGTGTATTTTTGGACTCTCAATTCTTTTCCATTGATCTATATCTGTCCTCTTTCCAGTGCCACACAGTCTTGTAGTGAGTTTTGACATCAGGAAGTATGAATCTTTCTTTTTTGTTTTCCTTTTCCAGAATTATTTTGTTTATGCTGGGCTTTTTGAAATTCCATATTAATTTTAGGATCAGCTTGCCAATTTCTAAAATCAGCTGAGTTTCTCACAGGGATTGTGTTGCACCTGTTGCTCAGTTTAGAGGTTCCTGGCATCTTAACAATGAGAAGTCTTTTGATCCCAAAGCATGAGTTTTTTTGATTTATTTAAATCATCTCTAATTTTTAAAATAATGTTTCGTAGTTTGCAGACTATAAATTTTGGGTTGATTTTGTTAAACTTATTCCTAGATATTTAATACTTTTTTATGCTATTGTGGATAAAACCTTTTCTTAATTTCATTTTAGGATTCATTGTGAGTGTATACAAATATAATTGATTTTTGTACATTGATCTTGTATTCTATAACCTTGCAGAACTTGTTTGTTATTCTTAATGTTTTTATAATGGCTTCCTTAGGATTTCCTCTATATAAGAAAATATAATTTGCAAATAGAGAAAGTTTTACCTTTTCTTTTCCAATCTGGATGCTTTTTATTTCTTTTTCTTACCTAATTGTCCTGGCTAGAGCCTCCAGTACCATATTGAATAAAAGTAGTGAAAACAGATATCTTTTTTGGAGAACATCTTTCAGTTGTTCACCATTAAATATAATGTTAGCTGTGGGTTTTTGTAGATATTCTTTATCAGGTTGAGGAAGTTCACTTTTATTCCTAGATTATTTTGTGATTTTTATCATGAAAGGGTGTTGGAGTTAGTAAAATGCTTTCTCTGTGTTTTTGAGATAATCATGTGACTTTTGGTTTTCATTCTATTGATATAATTTGTTACATCAATTTATTTTGGGATGTTGAACCAACCTTTCATTCCTAGGATAAAACTTATTTGGTCCTGGTATATAATTCTTTTTTGTTTTGTTTTGTTTTTTGTTTTTGAGATGGAGTCTCACTCTGTTGCCCAGGCTGGAGTGCAGTGGCGCGATCTCGGCTCACTGCAAGCTCTGCCTCCCGGGTTCACACCATTCTCCTGCCTCAGCCTTCCAAGTAGCAGGGACTACAGGCGCCTGCCACCACGCCCAGCTAATTTTTTGTATTTTTTAGTAGAGACGGGGTTTCACCGTGTTAACCAGGATGGTCTAGATCTCCTGACCTTGTGATCTGCCTGCCTCAGCCTTCCAAAGTGCTGGGATTACAGTCGTGAGCCACCGTGCCCAGCCTATAATTCTTTTTGTATGCTTGTGGATTCAACTTGCTAGTATTTTGTTGCAAATTTTTGCAACAATATTCATAAGAATCGTTAGTCTGTAGTTTTCTTTCTTTATGAGGTCCTTTTCTGGTCTTCATATTAAGCTAATTGTATTAGTCCGTTTATATGGTGCTGATAAAGACATACCCAAAGCTGGCAATTTACAAAAGAAAGAGGTTTAATTGGACTTAACAGTTCCATGTGGCTGCAGAAGCCTCACAATCATGGCAGAAGACAAGGAAGAGCAAGTCACATCTTACTTGGATGGCAGCAAGCAAAGAGCTTGTACAGGAAAACTCCACCTTATAATAACCATCAGATATCATGAGACTTACTCACTATAATGAGAACAGCATGGGAAAGACCTGCCCCTGTGATTCAGATATCTCCCACCAGGTCCCTCCCACAACATGTGGGAATTCAACATGAAATTTGAGTGAGAATGTATCCAAACCCTATCACCCCTGGCCCCTCCCACATCTCATGTCCTCACATTTCAAAACCAATCATGCCTTCCCAACAGTCCCCCAAAGTCTTAACTCATTTCAGCATTAGCTCGGAAGTTCACCGTCCAAAGTCTCATGTGAGACAAAGCAAGTCCCTTCTGCCTATGAGCCTATAAAATCAAAAGCAAGTTAGTTACTTCCTAGATATAATGGGGGTACAGGCATTGGATAAATACATCCATTCCAAATGGGTGACATTGTCGAAAACAAAGGGCTACAGGCCCCATGCATGTTTGAAATCCAGCAGGGCAGTCAGATCTTAAAGCTCCAAAATGATCTCGTTTGACTCCTTGTCTTACATCCAGGTCACACTGATGCAAGAGGCGGGTTCCCATAGTCTTGGGCAGCTCCGCCCCTGTGGCATTGCAAGGTATAGCGCCCCTCCTGGCTGGTTTCACGTGCCGGTGTTGAGTGTCTGCAGCTTTTCTAGGTGCACGGTGTATAAGTTATCAGCAGTTCTACCATTCTGGGGTCTGAAGGACAATGGCCCTCTTTTCACAGCTCCACTAGGCAGTGCCCCAGTAGGGACTCCGTGTGGGGGCTCTGATGCCACATTTCCCTTCCACACTGCCCTAGCAGAGGTTCTCCATGAGGGCCCTGCCCCTACAGCAAACTTTTGCCTGGGCATCCAGGCGTTTTCATACATCTTCTGAAATCTACGTGGAGGTTCCCAAACCTCAATTCTTGACTTCTGTGCACCTGCAGGCTTAACACCATGTGGGAGCTGCCAAGGCTTGGGGCTTCCACCTCTGAAGCAACAGCCCAAGCTGTACCTTGGCCCCTTTTAGTCACAGCTGGAGTGGCTGGAATGTAGGGCACCAAGTCCCTAGACTCCACACAGCACAAGACCCTGGACTCCTACCAGGAAACTATTTTCTCCTAGGCCTTCGGGCCTGTGATGGGAGGGGCTGCCATGATGACCTCTAACATGCCCTGGAGACATTTTCCCCATTGTCTTGGGGATTAACACTCAGCTCCTCATTACTTATGCAAATTTATGCAGCCATCTTTAATTTCTCCTCAGAAAATGGGTTTTCTTTTCTAGCACATTGTCAGGTTGCAGATTTTCCAAACTTTAATGCTCTGGTTCCCTTATAAAACTGAATGCCGGCCAGGCGCGGTGGCTCATGCGTGTAATCCCAGCACTTTGGGAGGCCAAGGCAGGTGGATCATGAGGTCAGGAGATTGAGACCATCCTGGCGAACACGGTGAAACCCCGTCTCTACTAAAAATACAAAAAAATTAGCCAGGCATGGTGGTGGGTGCCTGTAGTCCCAGCTACTCAGGAGGCTGAGGCAGGAGAATGGTGTGAACCCAGGAGGCGGACTTGCAGTGAGCCGAGATCATGCCACTGCACTCCAGCCTGGGCAACAGAGCAAGACTCTGTCTCAAAAACAAAAAACAAAACAAAACAAAAAAAGAATTATATACCAGGACCAAGTAAGTTTTATCCTAGGAATGCAACATTGGTTAAAAACAAAGAAACAAACAAATAAACAAAAAAACTGAATGCCTTTTACAGCACTCAAGTCACCCCTTGAATGCATTGCTGCCTAGAAATTTCTTCTGCCACATACCCTAAATCACCTCTTCCCAGTTCAAAGCTCCACAGATCTCTAGGGAAGGGACAAAATGCCACCACTCTCTTTGCTTTCTTTGCTAAAATATAACAAGAGTCACCTTTGCTCCAGTTCCCAATAAGTTCCTCATCTCCATCTGAGATCATCTCAGCCTGGACTTTATTGTCCATATCACTATTAGGCTTTTGGTCAAAGCCATTCAACAAGTCTCTAGGAAGTTCCACACTTTCCCACATTTTCCTATCTTCGTCTGAGCCCTCCAAACTGTTCCAACCTCTGCCTGTTATGCAGTTCCAAAGTTGCTTCCATATTTTCAGGTATCTTTTCAGCAGCTCCCCACTCTACTGGTACCAATTTACTGTATTAGTTTTTTTTTTTTTTTTTCGTGCTGCTGATGAAGACATTCCCAAGACTGGGCAATTTACAAAGAAAGAGGTTTAATTGAACTTACAGTTCTACGTGGCTGGGGAAGTCTTACAATAATGATGGAAGGCAAGGAGGAGCAAGTCATGTCTTACATGGATGGCAGCAAGCAAAGAGAGCTTGTGCAGGAAAACTCCCCCTTATAATAACCATCAGATCTTATGAGACTTACTCATTATCATGAGAACTGCAAGGGAAAGACCTGCCCCACATGATTCAATTACCTCCCATTGGATCCCTCCCACAACTTACGGGAATTCAAGATGAGATTTGTGTGGGGACACAGCCAAATCATATCAGTAATATTGTCCTTATACAATGAATTGGAAAGTGCTCCTTCCTCTGCTGTCTTTAAAAAGGGTTTCTGAATAATTGGTATTAATTCTTCTTGAAATGGTTGGTATCATTCAGTGGTAAAGGCATCTGGGCCTCAACTTTGTTTTTCTGGTGAAAACATATACATGTATTTAGAATTAGCCAGCTGGATTCAGTTTAGATGATCCCAATTTTGTTGGCAACATCCAAGACATGGTAATCAGGAGCCAGTCGAACATATGCCTTCTTCTCTCCATCAGGCCTAATCAGGGTGTTGAACCTTGGCCACATAAACATCATAGAGCTTCTTCACAACCTGTTTGATCTGGTGCTTGTTGGTTTTAACATCTACAATGAACACAAGTGTGTTGTTGTCGTCTTCTATCTTCTTCATGGCATACTCAGTGGTCAGTGGAAGCTTGATGATAGCATAGTGGTCAAGCTTGTTTCTCCTGGGGGTGCTCTCCAGAGTCTCAGTATCTTGGGCCACCGGAAGGTGGGTGATGTATGGATATTCTTTTTTTCATGGCAGTGGACACCTTTCTACACTGCCTTCTTGGCCTTCAAAACCTTTGCATCGCTTCAGCTTTAGGAGGGGCAGGAGCTTCCTTCTTTGCTTTCAGTGCCATCTTGTGAAAACGACTTTTCTTTAGGAGTAGTTTTGATAACTAAGTCAAAATCTTTACTTGCTATATGTCTATTCACATTGTCTCTTTCATCTTGATTCAGTTTCAGTAGTTTGTGTCTTTCTAGGAATTTGCCCCTTTCATCCAAGGTACCTAATTTTTTGTTGTACAGGTTTCATAGTATTCTTTTATAATTTTTTTATTTCTATATAATCTGTAGTAATGTGCTCTCTCTCATTTCTGATTCTAATACAGTCATGCCTCAGTTAATGATGGGAACTCATTCTGACAAGTGCATCATTGTGCAAACATCATAGAGTGTACCTCCACAAACCTAGATGATATAGCCTACTGCATCCCTAGGCTATGTGATATAGCCTATTGCTCTTAGATTACAAACCTGTACTAGTAGACAATTGTAACACAATGATAAGTATTTGAGTTCCTAAACATGTGAACATAGAAAAGGCCCAATAAAAATATGGTATAAAAGGTTAAAAAAGATGATGTAGTTGTCTAGGGCACTTACCATGAATGGAGCTTGCAGGACTGGATCTTGTCTGGGTGAGTCAGTGAGTGGTGAGTGAATGTGAAGGCCTGGGACATTCCTGTACACTACTATGGACTTTATAAACACTGTACATTTAGGCTACACCAAATCTGTAAATTTTTTTTTCCTTCCTTCAATATTAACTTCGTGTAACTATTTTACTTTATAAACTTTTTAATTTTTAAAACTTTTTCACTCGTTTTAACACTTAGCTTAAAAAACAAAAACTGTACAGCTGTACAAAAAATGTTCTTTCTTTATATTCGTATTCTATAAACATTTTTGTATTTTTAACTTAAACTTTTTTTTACTTAAAAATTTTTTTGTTAAAAACTAAGATAGAAACACAGACATTGGCCGGGCGCAGTGGCTCACACCTGTAATCCCAGCACTTTGGGAGGCCAAGGCAGGCGGATCACGAGGTCAGGAGATCGAGACCATCCTGGCTAACACAGTGAAACCCTGTCTCTACTAAAAATACAAAAAATTAGCTGGGCATGGTGGCAGGCACCTGTAGTCCCAGCTACTCGGGAGGCTGAGGCTGAGGCAGGATAATCGCTTGAACCTGAGAGGCAGAGGTTGTAGTGAGCTGAGATTGCGCCACTGCACTCCAGCCTGGGTGACGGAGTGTGACTCCTTCTCAAAAAAAAAAAAAAAAAGAAACACAGACATTAACCTAGGTCTACACAAGGACAGGTTCATCAACATCACTGTCTTTCACCTCCACATCTTGTCGCGTTGGAGGATCTTCAGGGGCAGACACACATGGAGCTGTCAACTCCTATGTCCTCTGATAACAATGCCTTCTTCTGGAAAACTGCATGAGGCTGTTTTATAGTTACCTTTTTTATTTGTAAGTAGGAGTACACTCTAAAATAACATTACAATGTATAGTATCAAAAATACATAAATCAGTAAGTCATTTATTATCATTATCAAATATTATATATAGAACTTCATTATATGTGCTATACTTTTAACTGGCAGTGAAGTAGGTTTGTTTACATCAGCATTACCACAAACACCTGAGTAACGCATTGACTTATGACATTACTAAGCGATAGGAATTTTCCTCCTCCATTATAATATTATGGGACCACCGTCACATATGTGGTTCATTGTTGACCGAAACGTCATCATGCAGTGCGTGACTATAATTTGAGTCTTATTTTTTCCCTGTGCTAATTTTTTAACACAATTAGTTGTGCCAATATATCGATCTATTTAAAGAACTAGATTTTGAGTTCATTAATTTACTCTGTTGTTTTTCTGTTCTCCGTCTCATTAATTTCTGCTCTAATCTGTATTATTTTCTTCCTTCTGCTTGCTTTATCTATAGTTTGCTCTTCTTTTTCGAGTGTCTTAGAGTGGATTATTAGGTTATAGATTGAGATATTTCTTCTTCCTTAATAGACATTTAGGAAGGATATTTCTTCTTCCTTAATAGACAATTTCTCTGTAAACTTCAGCTACGTTAGCTGTATCCCATAGGTTTTGGTATGTTGTGTCTTCATTTTCATTCGTCTTATTTTCTGATTTCTCTTTTGATTTCTTTTTAGACCAGTTGGTTATTTAGGAGTGTGCTATTTAATTTTTATATAGCTGTGATGTTCCCCAGTTTCTTCCTGCTATTGATTTCTAATTTTATTCCATTGTGGTAGGAGAGTGTATTTTGTATTATCTCTATCCTTTTAAGTGTATTGAGGTTTATCTTATGGCCAAGCATATGGTTTATTTTGGAGAATGTTCTATGTGCACTTTAAAAGAATGTGTATCTTGTTTTGATTGAGTAGAGTGTTTTATAGACATCTGTCCAGTCTAGTTGTTAATAGTGTTGTTCAAGTCTACTACTTTCTTGTTGATGTTCTTTCTAGATTTTTTTGGTATGAATTCCTATAGGTTAAGGAAACTATGCTTTGCAGTGTGGTTTTCATTGCAAGTATTTTCTCCTACTTTGTTTTCATCTTAGTCAAGATTTCTTCCATGCAGTTTTCTTCCTAATTTTCATATAGTTAACTTTATGCAACTTTTTAGTTTCTCGTGAGACTGAGAAGGTCCTTTCTCTCTCCAAACTTGTAAGAAAAATTTCTCATGCAGTACTTGTGTGATTTCATACTTTACAGTTGACACCTTGATAGACCTAGTCTCTATTTCCTTATAGGGAGAGCATAAGCAAGAAGCTTTATTATTTTTCAGCAGTAACCTTAGTTGCCCCAGCGCCATTACTGAATAATCATATTTTTATCATCGATAGTGTCATCATCATAACACATCAGCAAGGAAGTTTTTCCTTCACAGTGGCACGGTGGCTCACTCCTGTAATCCCAGCACTTTGGGAGGCCGAGGCAGGTGGATCATGAGGTCAGGAGATCGAGACCATCCTGGTGAAACCTAGTGAAACCCCGTCTCTACTAAAAATACAAAAAATTAGCCAGGCGTGGTGGCACGCTCCTGTAGTCCCAGCTACTCGGGAGGCTGAGGCAGGAGAATCGCTTGAACCCAGGAGGCGGAGGTTACAGTGAGCCAAGATCACGCCACTGAACTCCAGCCTGGTGAGAGAGCGAGACTCCATCTCAAAAAAAAAAAAAAGCCTTTATTATTTTTCAGTAGTAACCTTAGTTGCCCCAGCACTATTACTCAATAACCACATTTTTATAATTGGTAGTGTCGTCATCGTAACACATTATCAAGGAAGTTTTTTTTCCACAGTTTGGGTTTTCTAAGAGTATCTTTCAATATCAGTAAATATGAATCAGAGGAGAGGGATAAATAAATGGGCACTGAAAGGGGAGAGTGAGGTCACCTGAAGGGGCGAAGCCCTGGAGGTGAAGGTCGAGCCTCCAGACATGGGCTCCCGCTGGCGACAGCTCCTGCAGGCTGTCACCTCAGTGCCTGGAGACCCTCTGCAATCCAGGGCAGCATGAGGTAGGCCTTCTTTCTGTGGATCATTCTTTGACTCTGTATAGGGAGGACCCTTTTTCCTTCCATTTTCCTCCCATGGCAGGTGGCATGGGCTGTATCTGAAGCCTTCCCCTCATCGCTGTATTGTTTCTGCGCCTGTTTGTACCTTCTACTGACCAAGAGCTCACTGAGGGCAGGGATTAGGACTTTTTGTGAGTTTCCAGGGATGCAGGTGGCATTGCCCTGGTCTCTAGGCCTATGTGGCCATTAATCACTTAAAACACAGCCACTTTGAATTGAGATGTGCAGTGAGTGAAAAATACACTCTGGGTTTCGAACACTTAGTATTCAAAATAAAAGAAAATATCTCAATGTTTTATCTTGTTTACATGTTGAAATGCTAATGTTTTGGATATTTTAGGTCCAAAAAGTACATTGTTAAAATTAATTTGACCTCATTCTCTTTTTACTATTTTAATATGGCTCTCATAGAATTTGAATTTTGCATGTGGTTTGTATTGTATTTCTGTCAGCAGCGCCAGTCAGAGGTGTGTATAGATGCAGAATTGACGACAAGACCAAGCCAAGAAGATGGGATTTCTCTGTCTGGGGTCTACTGATGGCCAAAAGAAGAGTTTCCTAGCCACCGCCACGATCCTCTGGGAACTCTGTGGCAATTCATTCATTGGCTTTTCTCTCCCTTCCCAGGATCTCATAGATCAGAACATCCTGGAGCCTGTAACCGGTGCACAGAGGGTGTGGGTTACACCAATGCTTCCAACAATTTGTTTGCTTGCCTCCCATGTACAGCTTGTAAATCAGGTACAGAATGTGTGGACCTCTTGTCCAGAGGTGGAGTGAGGGGCAGTGAGGTGGGAGTGGTAGCCAATGTGAGTCAGGGAACCAAGTTCCAGCCCAACTTGGTCTTCATCATACCCTGTTCCATGGTTATGTCTTAGGTCCATAAAATGAAACAGAAAGAAATCATTTTTATAATGCATGCCACCTGGTAGTGCAAACTATCAGCTCCAAGAGGGTAGGGGCATCATTACAGCACAAAGAAGGCCTGGCTGAGTGGACAGGGCTGAGTTTCAGCGGTGGTACGGGTCTGCTCTGGGGCCACGCTCCCCCTGGGCTGTGTGCTCCTGGCAGGTTCTCAGGCTCACTCAGCCTTCAGTTTCTCAGGCGCCTCCCTCTTCCTCAGCAGGCTGGGTTTTTGGGAAGTCACCCAAGGGCTCCTCTTCTTGCAGACTCTCTCACATACCATGTGCCTCCTTTGCTACTGACCATGCGATCTAAATGGTGCTTTTTCCCTAATCTGATGTAATAAATAATGAATCATGGTCCTTTTGTATGACTCCAAGTGTTGGTGACAGCTGAAGGGTGGGTGTCCTGTGTGAGCCCGAGTGTGCTGGTGCAGAATCTGGCCCTCAGAACTCCTTGGCAAACTGAGTTGAGCTGAGCTGAGGGGGAGGGAGTTGGGGTGGTGAGGAAAGGTCAAGGGACACGTCAGGGAAACACATTCCCAAAACCTTGTACTCTGTCATCAGATGAAGAAGAGAGAAGTCCCTGCACCACGACCAGGAACACAGCATGTCAGTGCAAACCAGGAACTTTCCGGAATGACAATTCTGCTGAGATGTGCCGGAAGTGCAGCAGAGGGTGAGACAACAGCCAAGGGGCTCCCAGCAGCCTCAAAGAACCCACAGAAGCAAGGAACCCTAAAAAGACCCGAGTCTCCTTGTACCCGTATCTATCAGCCCTGACCCCATGGTGCCTCCACCCCCATAGGTGTCCCTGAGCCTGTGGCGTCTCCTGAGCCTGCAACCTGCCCCTCCTGGTCCATCTGCCTGTCCCCACCCCTGTCCCCTGCAGTGGCCCCTTCTCACCCCTCCCCAGCACTAGTCCCCTTGGCCAGGCTGACTTGTTCACTAGGCACAGGAGGCCATGACTTAGGGCCCACAACAGAGGTACATGAAATATTTTATCTTGAAATCATAAGAAAATAATGGTATAGAATCCAGCTGGGGTTATATTTATATTTAAACAAATTGAGTCATAAAATGTAATTTTTAATATTTGCTTTTAATTCAAGAAGACAGAAATGCCCACAGCCCGCAAAAATCATAATAAGGCCATGGGTGGAGCTCCTTCAAGTTCCCATGAGGACCTGAGCCCACCCAGCCAGCCTCACCCCTGGCCCCTGATTTCTCAATAAGTCCTGTCTTTTTCCTATTTTGGTTTTGGAAGCAAAGAGTAATTGCTCTTCTCTGGTCCTCCAGTGTTTGCTGTGATTGAGAGGAACCAGCAGACAGGTGGGGGCGAGGGCTCACTTGTACTGTGGGTTAACTGGAGGAAGGGGCTCAGCTTGTGGCCACACGGGCTTGTGATCTTCCCCTGGAGTGTGATTCCTCCTAACGCAGGCCTCCCCTGCAGCCCAGGGAAGATTAGTGTGTGCCCAGCACAGAAGGCTCCTGGAACTGCAGCTCTGACCCCAGAGCAGGGAGGCCAAGGGGGTAAAGTGTGCATGCTCAGACCCTTCCCCAGCCTAAACAAGGGAGCATAGGGGGACCCCCTGCAGATACGAGGAGACTATCCTTCCCCTGACGCCTTCTCAGGGACATTGGGCAGGGAGAGTGGCTCCTCTTTCATCCCACCTGGCCAGCTTTCCATCAAGAGTCCCCCCCCTCCCTCCCTGTGTGTACCCAGGTGCCCCAGAGGGATGGTCAAGGTCAAGGATTGTACGCCCTGGAGTGACATCGAGTGTGTCCACAAAGAATCAGGTACAAAGCCCACTGGGGAAGCCCCAGCTGCAGAGGAGACAGGGACCAGCAGCCCGAGACTCCTGTCTTTTCCTGTCTTTTCTCAGGCAATGGACATAATATATGGGTGATTTTGGTTGTGACTTTGGTTGTTCCGTTGCTGTTGGTGGCTGTGCTGATTGTCTGTTGTTGCATCGGCTCAGGTAGGTGCTGGCTGAGGGCAAGGGCTCTGGGCACTCTCTGCCCTGCCTTCTTCTGTTCCCACAGACAGAAACGCTCACCCCTGCCCCAAGTCCTAGTGTCTCTGGCCGGGCTCTATCTTCCTCCTTGTGATCACCCCCCATCCTCCCATCCTGTGCAACCCTAGGGCCCTGGTGTCATCCGTCCCTCTCCCAAGGCTGGGGGTCCCCTCATCTCCCAGCCAAGTCTGGGAAGGCAGGGCCAGTTCCTCCACTGGTCAGGCCCATCCAGGCAGGGGGCAGTCAGCTCCTCAACTGGATGACAAGAGTCGAGACGAGAAGTGGTTGTGGGATTTATGTAGCTTTGTTCAGAGCAAAACACAGAGCAGAAAACAGTGATGTTCCACTTGTTTGTTTTTAGCCTACTTCCCTTTATGCTCCCCGCTCCTGAAGGATCTCCCGAGTTAGCAGGGCCTCATGTGGATCCCCAGGCCCGGGGATCTTTGTCCAGTGTCCCAGCCCCCAGCCCACCCCTGCCCAACACTGCCCTCTAAGAAGGAGTGCTGCATGGGCCCCTCCCTGGCCACTAAGGGAACCGTCTTCTCTTCTAGGTTGTGGAGGGGACCCCAAGTGCATGGACAGGGTGAGTTGATTTCTCCAGGAGCTGGGGGCATCAGGGGCTCAGGAACTGCTTCTTGCCCACAGTGTAGTCCAGGTGGGTGGGTCCCCGTGCTCTCATGGCTGCCCTGAGTCTCTGAAGTGGCCTGGATGCTGTGCATTGACTATGGGGGACACAGGCCCTTTTGAGCATCATACAGGCTGGTGGGCCATTCTGTAGCCCTGTGCTTCCTACAGCCCAGGTGAGACCCTTACCCCACAGCCTGTACCCTGGGGATGGGGTGAGCCCCCAAGCCCAGCACCAGGGCCTGGCCCCAGCAGCAGGTCCTGGATGTGCTGAGCATGGACTTCCTGGAGTGACCTCACTGGGAGGGGGTGGTGGCAGCAGGTCCAGCCGTGCCCTACGGACCCCGTGGGGAGCCCTGGGTGTGGGCTTCTGAGTTGGCTCTTTGCCTTCCTAAGGTGTGTTTCTGGCGCTTGGGTCTCCTACGAGGGCCTGGGGCTGAGGACAATGCTCACAACGAGATTCTGAGCAACGCAGACTCGCTGTCCACTTTCGTCTCTGAGCAGCAAATGGAAAGCCAGGAGCCGGCAGATTTGACAGGTGTCACTGTACAGTCCCCAGGGGAGGCACAGTGTCTGCTGGTGAGTTGGGGACAGGCCCCTCCAAGACCTTGTAGGCAGGGGGTGAAGGCCATGCCTCGGCTCTCCTGGTCAAAGGGGAAGTGGAGCCTGAGGGAGATGGGACTGCAGGGGACGGGGCTGCGTGGGAAAAAGCAGCCACCCTCACAAGGGGACAGGCACTCTTCCAAATGTCTGCTTCTTAGTCCCTGTCCTGTCCTTGCCATGTCCTCAGAAACTGGAGCTCCAGAGGAATAGAGTGGGGGTCACAGGGTTTGTTGATGACTGAATAAGGCTGCACGGTCTCCACTGTGTGCTCCTACAGAAGTTAGGGAGCCCTTGCTCATAACAGCAGGGATTTTAAATTTACTCTGAAATTATTATTGCATTAAACATATTTGGATCTAAATCTCTGCCCAAATTTCTGCATATGGTTGTATGGAGGATTCCAAGAAGAAGCACAATTTCCAAGTCAGCCTGTAACAGTGCTGCTTACTGTGTACACGCACATACACGCACATGCACACACATGCATGTACACACATGCACACACACATGCACGTACCCACACATACAGGTACACACATGCACACAGCCCCCTAGTGTTGGTTTGTACCAGTTCATGTATTTTGATTTGACATTGAAGGGCTTTTTCTTTTCTTTTTTTTTCTTTTTTTTGCTATTTAGGAAAACATTGTTTTAAACGAACATTTCTTTGTTTTCACTGTTTTTGCGTAAGATCAGTGTCTTGTCTCTCAGAGTCTTTATGAGAAGGCCTGCTCTCCTACTCATGCTTTTTCTCACATTCAGACAGTAGATTCCTAATTTCTTCTTGCCCCTTTTTGTTCTAATATTTTCAGGTGTAGAAGCTTTAATTTTTAACCAGTGAAATCTGTAGATACTTTTACCTTTTCATTGCTCACTACTGTAGAAAGACCTTTTGCCAACACAAGACGAACTCCTCTAACTTCTTATGGAGATATTTTTTTCAATGATGTGATTTTTGCATATAACTTTATAATCTAAATGGAACTTGTTTTGTGTTTCAGTGCAAAGCGAGGCACTCCCTGAATTGTTCTAGTCACTGTCTGGTTTTTCCAACCCCTTTGAGCTGCCGATTCTCCCATTTCCCTCTGCTTTGGGTCCCTCCTTAATCACAGGTTAAATGCTCATCTAGACAATGATCTCCTTCCACCTAGACTGTTCCATTCAGTTCCTTTCTTGCATTAGTACCCATTTATTCTAACCAAAAATGTAATTAAAAAAAAAAGAAGGCAAACATTAAAAAGGTCAATAATCTCCAGCTTGATAAGGTGCTTTGACATGAACAAATAGTTTATATATTTAAAATGAGAAAATTTAAACTATCAAAAGGTACTCAGTAAGTAAAGAGAGCATCCTCCACTCTGCAGTGCCCTGGGTCTTTTTCCTCAAGTAACTATGAGATATCATTTCTTGTGATTCTTTGTCCAAATCTATGCATCAGTGTATGTGTATACAAAAGACATTATATTATTAACGAATGGTCCCCAACCTTTTGGCACCAGGGACCAGTTTTGTGGAAGACAATTTTTCTATGGACTGGGAGGTGAAGATGGTTTGGGGATGATTCAAGCACATTACGTTTATTGTGTACTTTATTTCTATTCTTATCACATTATAATATATAATGAAATAATTATACAACTTATCATAATGTAGAGTCAGTGGGAGCCCTGAGCTTGTTTTCCTGCAACGAGATGGTCCTATCTGAGGGTGATGGGAGACGGTGACAGATAATCAGGCATAAGATTCTCATAAGGAGTATGCAACCCAGATCCCTGACGTGCACAGTTCACAATAGGGTTTGCACTCCTATAAGAATCTAATGTTGCCACTGATCTGACCGGGTGGAGCTGAGGTGGTAATGCCAGCAATGGGGAGTGGCTGTGAGCTATGTGGGACCAGAGGTTTTTCACCATCTCCATGGTGACCCAAGGGGGAAAGTGATGTGCTGCAGGTTTCCGGGCTGGCTGATGGTCAGAGTCAGTACTAGACTGCAGGACCCCTGACTCAGACCAAGGCATTCCCCACTGTGTGTTACAGGGACCGGCAGAAGCTGAAGGGTCTCAGAGGAGGAGGCTGCTGGTTCCAGCAAATGGTGCTGACCCCACTGAGAGTAAGTGTTTTGCTCCTGGAGATGCAGCAGAAATGGTGGGAATAGGGACGGTGTCCTAACTGGTGTCCCCATTGCTGAGAGTGCTCTTCCAGAGCATTCCATGCCAGAAACTGGGGGTCCTATGCTATAGACCATCAAGACCCTAAATTGTCTTCTCCCATCTCTTCTTCCCACTCTACCTCATCCTTTCTGCACCCTATTAATGACACTAGCCACTCTGTCTATCCTCTTCTCCACCTCCTCTCTTCTCCTTTGTTGTTCAGGAGAACAACAGCCCTGAGGGGCTGCCCTGTCCTGCATGGCACCACTGACTTCAGTGGGCTAATAGCTCTTTATCTGTGCCTAAGCCCAATTTGCAGAGCTGTTGTATAAACTACATACTGATTCCAAAGACTTAATGCAAGAAAGAATGGAAAATATTCCACTCATTATTTTGTTACCGAAACACCAGGTGTTGGGTCTAGGTCTTGGTGCTCACTGCACAGAGGGCCAATCACTGAGACAATTAGTATTGACAAGGAAGAATACTTTCATTGAGTGCTGTAGGCAAGGAGATGGGAGCTCAGTCTCCAATTCATGTCCCCTGATGGACTAAAACTAGGGGTTTATATAGTAGGGATAAAATGTAACAATGTGGGCCGGGCACGGTGGCTTATGCCTGTAATCCCAGTACTTTGGGAGGCCGAGGCGGGCGAATCACAAGGTCAGGAGATCGAGACCATCCTGGCTAACATGGTGAAACCCCTTCTGTACTAAAAATACAAAAAAAAATTAGCCAGGCGTATTGGCGGGCGCCTGTAGTCCCAGCTATTCGGGAGGCTGAGGCAGGAGAATGGCATGAACCCGGGAGGCAGAGCTTGCAGTGAGCCAAGATAGCGCTACTGCACTCCAGCCTGGGTGACAGAGCAAGACTCTGTCTCAAAAAAACAAAAAAGTAACAATGTGTAAGAAAACAGGAACTAGGGAGGGGTAAGGAAGCAATCAAGATGAATGAGGGGTCCAGCATCCCATTGGATGTAGTGATTTGTAAGTTTCAGTTCTTTGATACTTTGAGAGGCCTGAAGGTCATTTCCTGAAAAAGGAACTCAGATAAAACAAATGTAAGATTTGAGCTTTAAGAACAGAAGGGTCAATTTCTATGTTTATCAAAACAACAACAACAACAAAAAAACCTTTTGATGGACATATTGGGTTGATTTCAGTTCTCCCTTTCTATTTATCAATCCCACAGTCACAGAGAGTCTGGTCCTGGATCTTTCTGGCTGCTTCATGGTTGAGGAGGGGCATCATGGGAAGCTTCACATACCATGGGTGACCTCATGGCCACCCAGGAATCAAAGGTTAATTTAATACTAAAAGATTGTGTTTCTTCTGAAACACAATCTCTCTCTCTCGGCCCCACTTCCACCAAAGACAAATTATAGCAGGACCAATGTACCTGCAAAATAAGTTTAGTTCCATATACGTGGCCTGATTACCCACACAAAGTGCAGCAAAAATCACTGTCCACATAGGCTCTCCTAAGTTGGCTTTGCTGGAACCTCTCACGAGGCCATTGCAATCAAAGCCCTGAGAAAATAACCATTTTATCCAACTGTGTTCCATTGTAAAAGAAAACGTTGTTATTAACCATATGTAAGCAAACACATTGCCATGAATTAATAGTCACAAATAATTTAAAAATTCTAGAGAAATTAGGCAGAGAGAGAAATATGCCTCAAATTCTGTTTACAAAAGTATACTCAATATACTTAAAGTATACTTAAAGGCTATAAATAGCAAAGAAGAAAAAAGTTCTCCAGACTGGAAAACAAAACCAAAAGAATCAGCAATATTTCAAACCAACAAAAGCCATACGAATTATTTCAGTCCTCTATTAGTTCAGTCCACTCAATCAGCTCCTGCCCAGCTTCATGTTTGGTTAACAATCACAATCTTTATGAACACATCAGTCTTTCTTCTTTTTTTGTTTTGAGACAGAGTCTCACTCTGTCACCCACGCTGGAGTGCAGTGGTGCAATCTCATCTCACTGCAACCTCCACCTCCTGGGTTCTAGCAATTCTCACGCCTCAGCCTCCTGAGTAGCTGGGACCACAGGTGTGCACCACCACATCTGGGTACTTTTTGTATTTTTAGTAGAGACAGGGTTTTGCCACGTTGGCCAGTCTGGTCTCAAACTCCTGGCCTCAAGTGATAGACATTCGCCTGCCTTGGCCTCCCAAAGTGCTGGGATTACAGACATGAGCCAATGCGCCTGGCCACACATTGGTCTTTCAGTTACTGCACTGGAAGTTTTCTCTGTAATCCAATGACAACAATTTTTAATTATATGAAAAATTTACTTAAAACATCCCATTTACATTTACTCAATTCTTTCATTTTTAAGTTTATCCAGATTGCTTCTGAAAATTGAGATATTAGACACCATCATTTAAAGTTAGTTAATTTCTTTGTCAGCCATTTTTTTAATAGCCAGTGAACATCAGGTGCTCACCTAAGAGCTTCAAAGTTAAATATATAGATATTTTCACCAATAAGTCAGAAGACTCAGCTGTTTTCATTAAACCAACAACATTAATTTAATCTTACTTATCAAAAGCTTGACTCAAAGATCATTTTGTTTTGGTTGGGCTTGTAGTCTTAAGTTTTTGTGCCAAACTGATATCTCAAAATATCTAGCAAAGACAAATATAAGCCCAGACAAAAATGTATGCTGACAATTCTGAAGACACTTCTGTTTTCTTATTTTACCAATAATTTTAAAGCTGACTTGTTTAGTAAGGATTTACTTAAGTCACATGAACTTGAAAATTGCTTGGAATTATTTACTTTATTTATGAGTACTCTTTTACTTATAAGTCAATTTGGTAGACACAACATGTAACTTAATAATAAATGTACATACACATAAACACATCTAGACCTATATGCACACACAAAGATCCAATAGCTTTTACCTTTGAACTCTCTCCATGAGACAGTAATACAAACTCACCAGTCTACAAATATGTTCACATGGCTGAAATTTGTTAGCTCCAATAGATAATTCAGTGAAGGTTGTGAACCCAAATTTTAGGTAAAGCAGTTTCCATGGCAGTTTGATTTTTAAAGGCCAAACCTCTGCAGACTCCAAACAGCATCGCAGAGAACACCACCTAGAACCAACTAATCAGGCCCAATGCTGCTTAGAACAGCAACATAAAAGCCTGGATACAGGAACTCCATCCTACTTTCTCATTCAGCAGCAAACTTCAGTTTCCAAGCAATATTGGAGCCAAACAGTATTACAAAAGAATACCAAGTTTACTGAATTCCAATTTCCCATGACTCTAGCAAACACATAGAAATAATCACCAAAACATAATACAACTGCTGCAGCAACAAACAAGCTCCAAGAGTGTCCAGACTGAAACAGGCAGGGTGCTTCCTCTCTCCATTGGTTAGGTTTGATCAACCTGCCAACAAAAATTGCTTTCAAATTTCTCAAATTGAGAGGAGCCAGTCGTGCTGCCTGGTACCCACAAAAGACACTCACTTGCCCTGAAACAACACACAATTACAAACAAGCCTCCAAGAGTGTCCAGACTGAAAGGCAGAGTGCTTCCCTCTCACAGTCACTTGGGCCTGTTCAACCTGCAAATGGAAATTCCTTTAAAAATTTCTCAAACTGAGAAGAGCAGATCCTGCTGTCTGGG